>NC_000020.11:39041991-39345022 GCF_000001405.40 Homo sapiens | reverse complement strand
TTTGTTTTACTTTTTAAACTTTTTTGTTAAAAACTAAGAAACATACATTAGCCTAGGCCTACACAGGGTGAGGATCATTTAATAACACTGTCTTCCACCTCCACATCTTGCCCTACTAGAAGGTATTCAGGGGCAAAAACACACCTGAAGCTGTCATCTGCTATGATAACAATGCCTTCTTCTGGAATACCACCTGAAAGATCTGCCTGAGGCTGTTTTACAATCAACATTTTTTTTTTTTTTTTTTAGACATAGTCTCACTCCATCGCCCAGGCTGGAATGCAGTGGTGTAATCTCGGCTCACTGCAACCCCCACCTCTTGGGTTCAAAAATTCTCCTGCCTCAGACTCCTGAGTAGCTGGGATTATAGGTGCATGCCACCATGCCCAGCTAATTTTTGTATTTTTAGTAGAGACGGGGTTTCACTATGTTGGCCAGGCTGGTCTTGAACTCCTGACCTCAAGTGATCTGCCCAACCTGGCCTCCTAAAGGGCTCGGATTACAGGCGTGAGCCACCAATCAACATTTTTTTAAAATAGGAGTACACTCTAAAATAATAAAATGTATAGTATAATAAATACATAAACCAGTAACATGATCATTTATTATCACTATCAAGTATTATGTACTGTACATAATTGTATATGTTGTACTTTTATATGAATGGTAGCATAGTAGGTGTGTTTATTCTTATATCACCAAAAACACATGAACAATGCATTGCACTATGACCTTACAATGGCTATAACATCACTAAGTGACAGGAACTTTTCAGCTCTATTATAATCTTATGGGACTGCCATCATATATGCCATCTGCTATTGACCAAAATGTTGTTATGCAGTGTGTGACTGTAATATGTGTCAAAGGCTTAAAATCATTGTGTCTCTCACAGTAAATGCTTAATAAATTGTAACTACCATTGTCATCAGTTTTATGAAGCAATAAGATGCCAGCACAAAAAAAAAAAAGATAAAGAGACTTATTATTTACTGACTGCCTATTGTCTAACAAACACTGGCTAAACACTTTACATAAGTTTCATTTAAAATAAAACACAGTGCAGTACCATTAATATTGCTCTTTCCAAATGCTAAAAATGTTCCCAGAATTGCTAAGTAATTTACCAAAGTTGCTTATCTGTCTGCATGCATATTAGAGATATCATCCAAGTATAATACTTTTTGGACTACTGCTGCTACTTTTAACACCACAGGACAGTTAAAAAAGTGGAAGTTTTAAGGGCTGAATATTGAGTTCTCCTAATTCACTCAATCTAATTCTGAACACAACCCTGACCTCCAAGTTAGACGAAACACAAATCTGAGCATCACTCTGAATCCAGCCTAACCTTAACTATAAATTAACAAACTAAACATAGTACTAAACCATTCATACTCGAAACTCAAAATTAATCTTGCTTCTAAGCCAGAGTCAAGAGTTTTCCTTGACTAAGCTTATCCTAAAATCAAAACAAACTTAAACTGGCCATAATCCCGAAGCAAACCTAAACATCACCTTAAATCTATCCCTTCATCAAACCAAGCTCTCCCTCCCACGACAGATGGCTGTGGGCTCCATCATTAGTACTGGTTCTGGTCAACAGGCTGTGCCTATTTAGAGTGATGTATTGAAAGTTATCTTATATTCACATCTGGGTTTAGTAAGCATTACTACTTTAATCAATTAGTGACGGCTGCAATGGAAAAAGGATTGGCAAGGGGCAGAAATTACATCACATGTTTGTCAAATCTATTCCCAACCTTACCTCTAACCAACCTAATCTCAAATTGCAACCCTACCTTATGCAACAATTAGCATCCTAAGTCCTACCCCGGAATTTTGAAGGGTCACAGGCAAAGTCCCCAAACTGTCATCTTAACCCCATCACTTAAAAGATAAATTGGAATTGCTCCGAAAATTTATTCAGTTGAACCATATGAAACTGATGGTATTTGACCATTTTTGACTTTGAAAAGTGTTACCTTCACATGGTTTAACCTGATAATTTATGATTCCCAGAGCAGGCTCCCTGACTGAGATGGTGAAGAAGAACACAATAGGGGGGATTTCAATCCTACTGAAGAAAAATATATTTCTTATTGCTAGTCCTCTCCTTGATGTGGTGAGAGCTATGGGGGCAAGGCCAGAACTCAAGAAAGCAACATCTGGCTGGAGCAGGAGGGATCAATTTTTCTGTGGTCTGACAATAAATTAGCAAATGGAACCTCAAGTGTTTAGGAGCAAAAAAGACTCCTCTTCCTCAGCCCTTATGCCCCCTGCTCTCTCCCCTGCCCCTCTTCTCTCTCCAGCATCCTGTCCCAACCCACCTCTTCAGAGTCTCATTCTAGTTCTCTAGGGACTTGGAGGAGTCACGTGATGTTGTCTGGAATTCCCCAGCAATTCTAACTGGTTTTCATAACATCTTCATTTTATAACTAGCTTGTGGCTGTTTCAGGATTTACAAGAAAGTTACTGCAAAGAGAGCCCTTAATTTGGGGGAACTGACCCTCAGGGAGACAGCCCATGCTCAAAGGAGGAAGCCCCCACAACTGAAGCCATCATAGATTGGAAACAACCTAAATATCCTTCAGTAGGGGAGTAGTTAAACTAAACTAAATTCACACAATGCAATATTATGCAGCATTTAACAGAAGTGAGGTAAAATTTTATGTACTCACATGGAAAGAACTCTCAAATATCTTGTGAAGCCAGTACTTTGGGAGGCCGAGGTGGGTGGATCATGAGGTCAGCAGTTCGAGACCATCCTGACCAACATGGTGAAACCCCGTCTCTACTAAAAATACAAAAATTAGCCAGGCATGATGGTGCACACCTGTTATCCCAGCTACTCAGGAGGCTGAGGCAGGAGAATCGCTTGAACCTGGGAAGTGGAGGTTGCAGTGAGCCAATATCGTGCCACTGCACTCCAGCCTAGGTGAGAGAGCAAGACTCTCAAAAAAAAAAAAAAAAAAGTACATTGTGGGTCAAAATGTAGAGTGGATTGAGTGTTGGGGTGCTGCACATGTACACACACACATGAATGTATAGAAAGTATCTGGAAAGAGAAATGCCAAAATAATGACAATGGTCATTTCTGTTCAGGAAAGGTACTAGGAAGAATGGTCAATGGGGACTTTGACAGTATCCATAAAGTATGATTTTTTTTTTGGCCATAAGAATATATTTATGTTTACTTGTATGATTAAAATTAAACAATTTTTAGGCCAGGCATGGGTGGCTCATGCCTGTAATCCCAGCACTTTGGGAGGTCGAGGTGGGCAGATCACCTGAGGTCAAGAGTTTGAGACCAGCCTGGCCAACATGGTGAAACCCCGTCGCTACTAAAAATACAAAAATTAGCCAGGCATGGTGGCAGGCACCTGTAATCCCATCTACTTGGGAGGCTGAGGCAGGAGAATTGCTTGAACCTGGGAGGCGGAGGTTGCAATGAGCCAAGGTCGCGCCATTGCACCCCATCCTGGGCGACAAGAGTGAAACTCTGTCTCAAAAAATAAATAAATAATTTTTTAAATCATCAAACTTTCTTTTTGCAGTAGGCTTTTAGACAAAAGTCTTTGAGTTTCTCTGTTACTTAGCTGGTAGCTACCATCTCCAGCAGCTGACGGAGGTCCAAACAGAAGAGCCCCAGCAACAAATCCACCTATGTGAGATCCTTACCTCACCATCAGGGGTTAGATTGTGAGCACAGCTTCAATGACACAACCACAATGTGAAATTCAAGCATTGTTCCTAAATTACTTTTGGATCCTAAAGCTATGCAAGGTGGCCAGAGAGGAGCACACAGCATTCCTCCTCCATCCCCAGGTCACACAACGCAAGAAGGAAGAGCCAGGCAGACAGAGAGCACACGTGGCAACTAACAATATATATAAGGGAATATGGTGTGGGTCCTTTTAAGTTCTCAGCTAAATGCCTAAAAAGAAGTGGTGGGAAAGTGAGGAGCCCTACTAGGAAGGAGAGATGCCTCCAAGTTCTTATCTTTGGCCACAGGCTTGAGCTATTTGGGTGTGGTGTTCTTCTAATGCCCAGGCAGCAACCTTTTCTGTGTCATTATCCCTAGAGTTTTTGCCTGAAGGTTTTAATTTTTAAGTTTTTTATAATTTCCACTTTTATTTTAGATTCAAGGGTACATGTGCAGGTTTGTTACATGGGTATGTTGTGTGATGCTGAGGTTTGGGGTATGAATGATCCCGTCATGCAGGTAGTGAGCATAGTATCCACTAGGTAGTTTTTCGGCCCTTTCCTCCTTTTTCTCTGCACCCTTTAGTAGTCTCCAGTGTTTCTTGTTTCCTCCACCTTTATGTCCATGAGTACCCAATGCAATGTTCAGCTCTCACTTATAAGTAAGAACGTGCGGTATTGGTTTTCTGTTCCTGCATTAGTTCACTCAAAATAATGGCCTCCAGCTGCATCCATGTTGCTGCAAAGGATATGATTTCATTCTTTTTTATGGCTGCATAGTATTCCATGGTGTATATGTACCACATTTTCTTTATCCAATCTACCACTGATGGGCACCTAGGTTGTTTCCCTGTCTTTGCTATTGTGTTCATGGCCAGTGCTGCAAGTCAGTTTATGCTTAAGTTTAGGAGCTAACCTAGTTTGGTTTCCCCAGAAGCAGACTCTGAGACAAAGATTCAAGTGCAATTGTTTTATTTAGAAGGTGATCTCGGGAAATACCAATAAGGGAGAGAAGGAAGAAAAAGCAGGCAATAAAGTGTGTATTATCAACCAGGTTATTGCTATGGGCAACTGGAGCATGATCCTGCCGGGGAATTCCAGAAGCCAGCATTGCACATGCACTGCAGAGTTATCCTACCTGAGGGGTGAGGGAGTTGAGGTATTTACACATCAAATTCTACTGCTCACTGGTTGAGGGATGCTCCTGAGGAATGTTAATTCTCTGGTACTTCTGGCTTGTCACATGCTTGGGCCACGTGGACCCTCATGGCCAGAGAAACCTTAAGTAAAGAAATGAAGGTGATGGCAATTGGAAGTTCGGTAAAAACAAGAAAATTTGAACAATAAATCCACAACCTATACAGATCCGCACCTATATTCCACTGTACTCAGTACTATTCAAGCAGCCTCTGAGGTTCTCTCTAGATGCTTGGGCTGAGTGTGGTCTTTCAGAAGAAGAGGCTACTCTGAAAGAGATTTCCAACACACCTCATGGCCAGAGGTCATCCTAGCTTGTACAGCAATTGACAACCGAAGTCCTACTCTGTCATTTGCCTGCCTAGGAATGCCCAGCAAGCCAAGCTCCCTGACTTTCATGGGAAGCCCTGTGGTCTCTGCTCTCCTTACAGAAAAGGAGAAATGACATAGAACCATTCTCTTCTTCAGGTATTGACTGCAGCTGAATCTGACAACAAAAGCAATAGAGACTGAATGTCACTTTTTATACGATTCAGTCCTCCCAGTGATTGTATAATACAGTGATTTAAAATCTAGATTCAAACCAAACTTTTCTTAGGTGTATGTCATGAACAGGCCACTGTACCTCTCTAAGCCTCATCTATAAAGTTTATGAAGTGCAAATACCTGCCTCATAGGATCGTGTGCTATGCACACACATACCTAGAAAACATGCATAAGCACTGAGCACAATTCTTGGCACACAGTTAATAGTGAACAAATGTCAGCTGGTCCAGAAGTCGAAATTTTAACAATTTAACACCTGCTATCTTCCCAACTTACTCCTTGGAGCTATGGGAAAGAAAAAGAGAAAACCTCATCTCTCTTCAAGTAGCAGTAATCTGAGTCACATGGCTATGAGTCCTCAGACAGGAAGTCTGGTCCCTTGGGTCTTAGAGAGGCTGCAGCCAGAAATGCAGAAGTGGAGCCCAGAGAAGAAACTGATAGGGACAGGGTACACTCTGTGACCCTGTAACCTTGGGTAGTAGGAAGATGCCCCTAGTCCCCCAGCACAGCCAGCCCAACAAATCCAAGTGCAGCCATTCTGCTTCTATTGACCAGCCCTGCTCTGATTTAAATTTCAAACAGCCCACAGTTTTATTCTTTCCTCACCATCCCTGAAAGCTAACCATTATGGAT
Organism: Homo sapiens; assembly: GCF_000001405.40. NCBI lineage: Eukaryota > Metazoa > Chordata > Mammalia > Primates > Hominidae > Homo > Homo sapiens. The sequence goes on along the minus strand of NC_000020.11, from coordinate 39,338,941 downwards.
TTTACAGGCCTCAGAGCCCTCGGCTCACACACTCGATTTGCACAATCTTTGCATAAGGAAAATGGCAGTCGATGCAAACTGAATTAATTGTAATTGACCATAATATGCTTACAGAAATGCGAAGGAGTTTTCATTAGCAGATAAGCCCCAAAGTATCTGCCAGATGATTTACATCTGCATGAACACACTGCATGGTCACAGTTAATTATGAGACCTGCCACAGAAGGTGCTTCATCAAACCCTGGCAGAGGCCTTCTGAGGGCCAGTGACACCTCCAGGGACTGACCCATCTTGACTCGCTTCCTTTGAAGAGCTCTGAAGCTACTTCTTGTGATGAGGCAGAGCCAAGCTGCCCCTGCTGGGCTCAGGCTGGGCCCTGCCTGCTTCTCCAGCCTCTGTGTCTTTCTTCTTCCCTCCCCTGGAGTGGCTGATCCTTCCCACCCCATCTCAGAGCCTCAGTCCTTCTCCATCAGGTCATCATTGTTAAGGCTGTCATTGAACTTGTGTCCTGGTTCAGACAACAGACTTCCATTTATTTATTCTTTTTCTAGCAAGTATTTCCCAAGTGCCTCCTATATGACAGCCTCTGTGCTATTGGATACAACACAGACATGGACCCATTGCATGGAGCTTACAGCATAGTGATGACTGAAAGATTGAATGAGTAATCACATTAATATCAAATGGTGATAATGGAATGAGCAAAAAGAACATGGTAGTAGGAGGGAAACTAGGGCACTTAGAGAATGTGGATGAAGAAGATTTCTTAGAGGAGATGATGTGTTGAACTGAGACCTGAAGCATGAGAAGGTACCAGCTATGTGAGGTGTTAGGCAAGAATGTTGCAGGCAGAAGAAATGGCATGTGCAAAGTCCCTGAGACAGGAAAGCAGCTGGCATGTTTTAGTGAATGAAGGCTCATGAGGCAGCAACATGCAATATGAGTGAAGCAGAGAATGGAGGAAATTGAGGCAGGAGAGCAGATCATGGAGGACCTTCCAGGCCAGGCTTGCAAGGACCTTAGATTTAATTCCAAAAAGACTGCCTGAAAGGGATTTAAATGAATCTCTTTGAGTAGAATCAGGTATTTTTAAAAATCACTCTGGCTGTTAGGAGTGACAGAAAACTAGATTCTTGGAGACATGCAGAAAGATCAGTTAGAAGAAAGCTGTTAGAAGAAAGACCAGTTAGAAGAAAGCTGTGAGAGCCATCCAGGCAAGAGATGATGGTGTCCATAAGCAAGCTGGGGTAGTGTCAAGTGGGTAGGGGACAGGGCCTCTGTCTTGAGGCCCTGTGTCTGAGCATTTTTTTCTGCATGATACCTCCAGCAATTAGAGGTCAAACTTGATCTCAGTAGCCTCCATCCCTGGAGTTATCAGCCTCATCCCTGTACTCCAGAAGAATTCAGTACTTCTGGAACTGATGATTACTACCTCTTGCCTGAATTCTCTAGAACAGCACTGTCCAACAGAAACACAATAAAACCCACATATATAAATTTAAATTTACGAGTACATTTTAATAATGTAAAAAGAAACAGATGAAATTAATTTTAATACTATATTTCCATTTACCTCAATATCTCCCAAATAGTATCATGACAAGATGTAATCAACATAAAAATTATTGATGATATTTTACCTTTCTTATGCCAAGTCTTCAAAATCCAGCGTGTATTTTACACTTACAGCACGTGTCATTTGAACTAGCCACATTTTAAGTGTTCAACAATCATCTGTGGCTACTTTTAGTAGTCACCACACAGCTACTACAATTACTGCTGCCACAATCACTACCACAACCCACTGGTGGGGAGCAACAGGTGGTATGCCCTGGGCCATAGGTGATTTGCGTCTGTTACTTCCAATCTTCAAAATATCCCAATGTAATAGATATCATTATTAACATTACATTACATGTGAGGAAACTGAAGATAAGAACTGACAGAAGTGGAGAGTAGACAAAAGAGGATGGTTTGTGTTTCCCTAAAATAAATTTGATACCAAAAAGGAGAGAGTAATAAGTGTAAAACTGCCTCCATATGCCCCTACCTTCTTTGACTCTGTCCCCACCTTCTTCCCATTTCTGGATCCAGAAAGCCCTCATCTGCCCTGATGTTGCTCCAAAACTGGAATTCTTTAGCTCCAGTGGCAGGCTCAACCCTCCTCCAGAGTTGCAAATCAACAAGATGGCAGGAATCAATACTGAATACACCATAAGCCCATTTCCCCAGACTGATAAAAGTTCAGATCCAGGGCAGGTGAGAAGGATTACAGAAAAGGTTCAACCTTTCATCCCGTCTCCTTCTATCAGCCAATGTGCACCTGATGTTTCTAACAACTACAATTAGCTCTTTTTAAAGTTGTAGTGGAATTTAATTAAGCACACTCCATGCTGTGTGACTTCTTAAAGCAGGCACAATGTAAGGAACAGACTGGTGATAAGCTAAGAGAATGTGTTGGTCCTTGTTGCCCAGGGCTATTCCTCAGAACTACAGGCTCTGGGGTACACAGCTGGTGGGACTCAAGACCTCTATGCCTGTGGACATATGCGAATGTCTTCATTTCCTGACCACCCTGCACACATGCATACCTTGACTTATACCACATGCTCTCCACACCTCCAACTGCTCAAAAGTCCTCACTCACAAAAAGACAAGTACATTCACATAAGCATGTACTATACACGTATGTGTATGTACACCCAAGTAGGCATCCCGGAACTCAAAAGCATGTACATTTAATCACATGCACACTTACTGCCCTTATTTTGTGAATGGCAGCATCCACCACCTAGTCCCAAGCCAGAAATTTAAAAGGTATTTTCAGCCTCTCCCTCTCTCTTTCTCTCCATTTCCAACCTATCATCAAGTCCAAGTGATTCTACCTTTTTAATAATTGTTGGAATTCTTCTCATTATTTTCTTGTTAATAGCCATACACCCTGAACCAAACCCATTTCACCGTTTTTTCTCTCCTGGATGACTGAATTGGCAAAATATGGTCAGCACTAGTAGGCACGGTATATCAGGGATAAGAGAAGCTATCCGTGGCAGATTCATGGGACATGTTAAAGAACCCGATCAGGAGACAAGCCCAGAAACAGGGAAACTGAGATCAATAAAAGACAGACCTTGGAGGAGCTGGTTTGAAAGACAAGGAGAACAAAGCCCAGGAAAAAATAAAAAACAAGAAAGGAGAGATTTCCTAAGAAAGAATAACCAGATGCAACATATTGCAAGGAAGTGAATAAGAGGTCATTAAAAATTTACCTATAGATTTGACCACAAGGAAACCAGTGATGATCTTGACAAAGGCAGTTTCAGAGAGACAATAAAAATATTTAGAGGTGGTGGGAGGTGAAGAAGTCAGGTGAGTGAATGTAGACTATTTTTCAAATAGATGGCTTTGCAATGGCATTGACCATGAAGGGAAAAAGAGAGAGCCGAGATTCTGGGTAGAAGGGGTCCAGGGTAGACACTGATTGCTCTGTCTTCCCATGATCATGCTCACCTTCCCATAGAGAACTGCTCTCCCAGAACTCCAACAATGAGATTCAGATCTCAACAGCCAATCAGAGTGCCCCTTTTCACAGGTGACAGCGACTGGTCCAAGAATAAACTCATGACCCAAGTAGAGACAATTAGAACTCTTCATCAGATTTTGTATTTATTCAAACTAGATGACAATGGTCCCTTTTCTCTTTGATGCCAAGCCGCAGGAATCTGGTCTGGCACTACCTACAGACAAGTTTCCATCACATGGAAAAATAACTGAAAGAAAAACACTAGCATGGGGACACGAATACAGATGAAGAGGGGTGACATCTTAGAGTCCTGTTGTCCCTGTAGCCAGCTCCACTCCTGACTCTTCCACAATTTGTTCATGTAATATAATAAACATCCTTGTTTCACTTAAACTAGTTTCACTTAGGTTTCTGTCCCTTGAAACCCCCTAAAAATATCCCAATATAGAACTGACAGTCATTACCTTGATCAGAGGAATTTTGCTCATTTCTTTTGGATGAGGAATTGTAGACTGAAAGTTGTCAGTGAGTATAGTGGGAACAGTTGAAAGAACAAGACATTATTGATGAAGTGAGGTCTTTGGAGCAACATGCACAGTTATAACTGGAAGGATTCACATCAAACATTCAACTGGAAGTGGGCAGGACTGGCTCTGTAATTTGTAGGGCTCAGTGCAAGATAAAAATATGGGGCCCCTTGTTCAAAAATTATGAAAAATTTCAAGGTGACAATAACAGAGCATCGTCTTCACAAGGGGCCTTTCTGACAGTGGAGTCCTGTGTGACTGCACAAGTCACATGTGCATAAAGCCAGTTCTGAAGGGGGCATAGTCTGAAAGGGGGGCAAGCAGGGCTAGATGGTATGTAATCTAGATGTACTCCAAGAAAGATGTAATAATAATCTAGATGGAAATATTTGGGGGTGCAGGGATGAAATTCAGGTGGAGCTTCTATTTTTTCTAAGAAGAGGTAGAGTTATCTGCTGTGAGTAAAAGAGTTGGTTTGGGGGCGGAGTGCAGAATAAAGGTTAAATAGATGCTGGAAGATGAAACATGGGGAGCCTTAGAAAATCAATCAATTAGTAATGAATCCTGTTCTCTGAAAATGTATAAACTCCCAGTAAGGACCAATGTAGCAAGCAGTGAGCTGAAGTACCTTTGACAGCCTCGCAGAGTTTGATTATACACCGCAGCATGTCGTCGGCTGCCAGCCTCCCTACACAACTGTTATTTGCTTATTCAGGACTCCCTTGCTGTTCTCTAAAATCAAAGCTTCACTAATAACCATATTTAGTATTTTCCGAGGACTTCACAAGCCATAATTAGTTAATAACTCAATTTAGCTGAAGAAAAGGCACAAAGCAAAAGTCTGTAAGAACCAGGTGCCTTTCCTTTTCATGGCATAAGAAAAGGGTTCTTATACCAAGAGTCTGTGAGTCCTGAAAGTATATGCAACCATTGTGTGTATGAATGTGTGTGCATGTGTGTGTGCAGGCTGTGTGTAAAAAATACCCTTATTAGGTCCTCGTAGGGACATCTGGGCCCAAAAGAGGAAAGCACCACAGCATTGTAGGAAGAGTTTAAGATACAGATTCAAAAAACCTGGGTTAGGACCCAGGTTTACCCACCTAATAGTTGTCGGATATTGTACAAATCATTTCCTTTCTTAGTGCCAGAGTATCCTTATCTGTAAGATAGGAAGAATGCCTTTCTCTGAAGGTTGAAATTACATAAAATTCTGTAAGTAAAAGTCCTGGCACAAAATCAGAACTGAGCATTGTGTCAACTCTCTGTCTTCCATCTTTGCATTCATTCCACAGCTACTTCTTCAGCACCTACTGTGTGTCGGACTCTGTTCTAGATCCTGGGCATATAGTAGTGATGAGAACACAGTCCCTGCTTTTTCATTGCTTAGCCTCTTGAATAAGCAAGCACATGTGTGGTGACAGTAAGTGCTACGAGAAAGATAAAACAGGCCCTCAAGCACTCTGCTGGGAGAAAGGCCCTTTGTTCATCCCCCAAAGCAAAGCATTCACCACGTTTTTGGAGAATCTCATGTCTCCAGGATCCCTCCAGTTATTTATTGGTGCATAGCAAACCACCTCCCAACTTGGTGGATTAAATCATTTCCAGATGCTTCTCAACTATGGTGGTTCCACTTACAATTTTTCAACTTCATAATGGTGTGAAAGTAATACACACCCAGTAAAAACCGTCCTTCAAGTACCCATTCAACCACTCTGTTTTTTACTTTCAGCATGGTATTCAATAAATTACATGAGATATTCAACACTTGATTTATGGACTTTGTGTTAGATGACTTTTGCCCAACATTAGGATAATATGTGTTCCGAGCACATTTAAAGTAGAAGAGGCTAAGCTATGATGTAGACTAGGTGTATTAAATGCATCTTCAACTTATGATGTTTCCAACCTACAGTGGTTTTATTGGGATGTAGCTCCATCATAAGTCAAAGAGCATCTGTATTTAGTTCACAAATGTACATTTGCTCAGGACTGCACAGGGAAGGCCCATCTCTGCTCCTTGCAGCATCAGCTGGGCAGCTTGACTGGGGCCTAGAATATCCACTTCGAAGTGGCTCACTCACAAGACTGTCATCTGAGAGCTCAGTCAAGGCTGAGGGCCAGCTAAGGGTTTCTATTCTTCTCCACATGTTTCTCATCCCATGGGCCACTCAACGGGCTACTTAGCCTTCCTTATAACGTGGTGGCTGAGTTCCAAGAATGAGTGTTCCAAGAGACAGTAGGTGGAAACTACCAGTTTCTTAAGGCCTGGGCCCAGAAACTAACACAGTGTAACTTTCACCATATTCTGTTGATCAAGCAATCACAGTACTCAGATCCAAGGTTAAAGTGCACAACCTCCCATTTCAATTGGAGCAGTGTCAAAGAATTTGGCAACTAGGTTTTAAATTCACCCTATCCTGAATAGGCCTTCTGTCTTCCCCAAACCCCTAGGACATATATGCAAGGGCTTCTTGGATATTTTATCCCAAAAGTCTAAGACACTTTTTTCTTCTAGGCCTGAGAGCCTGAAGACTACGTAGACACCTTACATGAGTGTTAGTTACCTTTTACCATATAACAAACTCCTCCAAAACTTAAAACAGCAATTCTATGGGTCAACAATTTGCTTTGGGCTCAGGTTGGAAGTTCTTCTGCTGATCTTGGTTGGGATTCCCCATACATCATGATTGGCTGCTGATCATGACTAAATGCCTCTGCTTCTGTGGGTTGGCTGGTGGTCAGTGGGGTGACCATATGTCTCTACCCATCCACCAGACTAGCCTAGGCTTGTTTATTTGGTAGTGGCAGGTTCTAAGAGACGAAAGCAGAGGCCCAGGCTCATAATTCATAAAAAGTCATTTCTGTTGCATTCTATTGGCCAAAAGGAAGGCAAAAAGCAGTCCTGATTAATGGAGTGGAGAAATACCTCTTTATGGAAGAAGCTACATAATATTGTGGCCATTTTTATAATCTACTATAAGAGCTCTTCATTCTGCAGCATAAATGGCAGCAGCTTCATGGACAAGCTAGACTGGGAGTAGTCCTGTTGTCACAGTAAGCCAACTTCCGAATCTGATCCTTTTTTTTTTTTTCAAGAAGCTTCCCTCAGCAATTCTTCACTGCTTACTAATGACATCAAACACACAGAATCTATCAATGGAATTGCTTTGAGAAAGGGAGTCAAGGATAGCATCTAAGTCTGCATGCTCTGGAGACAGATATACCTGGACTCATACACCTTTCTTTCTCAGTTAGCAAATTGATGACGTTGGGGAAGTCCCTTGACCTTTATAACCCTCAGTTTCTTCAGGAGTAAAGTTCAATGGTAATAGTACCTAGCTCACAAGATTGTTGGGAGGTGAGATAACATATGATAAGTGCTTAGCATAGTGCCTGGTATGTAGTAAACATTCAATACATCGTTACTGTTTAGCAGCAGCACTAGAAGAATCAGAAGTAGGAGTAGCATTGAATTTTGCTCAAAATCACTGTAACAATTTGCAAAGTTGTAAGATAAAGAAGTCAACTTCTCAGTTAAAACTAACAGAGAAAAGCTCTCTACTACTTAAGTTACAAGACTTTATGACAATTTATCAGTTTATTTATAAAGGAGGTAGTGTACATAAAGGAAGTTGCTCATTTGGGGGTAATATTGAGGAATGTGAGTACCACTACATAGTCATTTTATTCCCTTTTCGAGTGTTTATTCATTGACTTAAATCAGAGTCTCTCAACCTGGAATCTGACATTTGGATGGGATAATTATTGGGGAAAGGTGAAGGGCTATTCTGTGCAATGTGGTTCCACAGAACTGGTGGCCTCTACCCATCAGATGTCAGTTGCTTCATTCACCCACTCAAGTCATAGTGATCAAAAATGTCTTTAGACATTGCAAAAGTCCTTGGGCAAGGGAGAATGGAATCACCCCCAGTTGAGAACCATTGGCTTAAATGAATGTCTTTGCCCAATTTACCATCTCTGGTAAATTGAAAAAAAAGCTTATTCTAATCCAATGAACTCTAGGAGTGAAGTGTCTCTGGAAAAGTGGAGTTGGAACTATAGGTTTCAGATCCAGGTCAGTGTTAGAACTATCCAGAGAAAAAGGTAGCTGAGGGGCTTGGGGGAAAGAGGACTTCTGGGATGTCTGGGTAAATTACCAAGGGATCTTCTGGAAGTGACTGCTAACATATTTGGCCTTGCAATAAACGTTCTAGAATGCACTGAGGTTCTGTGTACTGGTTAGCAAGCAGGCATGTTGCTGCAAATTCTAGAAAAGTAAAAAGATACCAAGAGGACCCCCAAATTGATGGCCTCCAGGTAAATTCCTTCTGTCTGGTTGATTCTGTATAGCACCAAGGTAGGAATGGGATGGCATTGACTTGATCCTCCCACATAGCTGAGGACCAGTGGCTGTGCAAGGAACACTGAACGAACACTGGATATGCTTGCAAATCAAAAACTAACTTCCTCCAAATAGGAGGTCTGAACAAGGCAAGCACTCATCCTGGTGTGCCCAGAGAATTTCCAGTTTATGTCTGCTGTCCTGACATAACCGTAAAGAACTCCTGCTTTTACTCTCAAAATTGTTCTTCACTATTCGAACAACAAATTATTTTGTCATCCTAAGTGACTTTTAATTTCTCAATTTTAAGAACCTATAATCCTGGGAATCAAAACTTGTATTCAATGATTTGGGCAGTATTTAGGGTATTTCACTTCTCCATACATCTACAACAGATAACTGTGATGCTTTGGTTTAAGGGTTTGATGGCATTTTTGTATATTTCATGATCTCTTTGCCCCTGAGAATGGCAGAAGATGCCTCAAAAATCTGCAGAGTCCTCACATCATATTGATGTGTCATGTGATGCAAATTCATGTCACGGGGGCACTGACTCCCTGGCCTCTGTCTTAGGTACCTTTCCCATCCCATTGTGGGGCTGGCCACTACTCCAGCCCCAGCATCCATCCAGAATTGATTAATATGGTGAAGGAAAGGCATTAGAAGTAACTGAATACCTGACCTAATTCTCAAGGAATCAGTTTAAGGAAACAGCTGTTACCACCCCAAAAGAGTTTATGGCAGCTGGAGATCACTTAGCTGTCCACTGCCCGACACAGCAATGGGCTACAGGGGAAGAACTGAAAAGAGAGGCATAGCTACCAACAGGCAAATAATTTTTGGTAGCCAAAAATGTGGCATGCTACATCCAGTCAAAACAGATGGCATATTCAGGTGAATTGGAAGCTATCACTGAAGATGATGGTGGTAGGGCCTGGGTAGATACACATCACAGCACAGGAATTGCAGGAATAAACAAATAGGTTGAGGAGATTATACTTACAAGCAAAAATGGTATAAAACTCGAAAACTGCTCAGTCTTATGAGAGGAAGAAGAAAAAGATGAAGGAAAATCTACATTTATGGAATAATATGAAGAGAGTGGGTTGCTGGAAGCAGATAAAGCTACCCTAGATGAAAGGAAAATAGAAGAAGCTTGTAAAGCTTAAAGTGATGTTGGAGGTGAAGATGCTCTTTTGCAAACCAAAACTTGTGACCTTTACATCACATATGGTAAATATTACCAGATGGCACAACTATGGTTTTTTGGCTATGATGAGGAACAGCAGATTTTCACAGCTGAACACATGTATAAAGACATCATTCAAGACCATGTGAAGAAAACAGTGACCACTGAAAATCCCTCCACCAATCTCCCTCCACCTCCTATGAGATAATGGAGAAAATCATTAAGACTACTGCAGAAAAAAGGGGAGAACATTTGGTGTTCACGTGTATCTTCTAATTTTCTTGAAATATGTGCACACTGTCATTCCAACCACAGCATATGACCATAAAAGACACTTCACAATGTAACCAAGAGAATAAAGAATCTACTCTAATTGGTTCTAATTTTTAAAGCATCCAGTACATGTAACCATTGGCCTTATCCACCAATACATAAAATTTCTCTTTAATAAAAGGTCATATGTTTATGCATTAAGTTTTTAAAATGTTCCACTACCAAAAAAATAAGCTGTGTGTCCCTATGACAGCCTTACAGATCATCTCCTGCTTTGCGTTTCTTGCCTCAGTACAGATATCTTCCATTTTGCTTGCTACTGAGGCTACTAAGGCAATCTTATATCTTTAGTAGTCTGCTGCTGCCTTTCTGTCAAGCACTGTTTACGTGCAGATCTTTCCAGAGTCTTTGGTCTGGTTTACACACTCAGAAACTTGACTACGTAGTATGTGAGAGAGGCTGACTTCAAACTGAGATCTACAGTCCAGTGTTCTCTCCCTGCCTCTATGTGGAACCCTCAATATTGGCCTGAAGCCAGATACATTGGGAAGATCCTCCGATAAGGATGAGGGAGGAGCAAGGGCACCCTGTGTCCCAGCCTCTCTGTTAATCATACCGCTCTGCCTGAACATGAATGAATCCACCCAGTGCTGAGAGCTGAGTCTAGAAAGATCATCTCTAGGGGCCTGGTACCACCCACTCATACAAGGGAAGGGTTTTAAGAGTTGGAGAGACCTGGTAATGATTTATACTTCAAAATTATAACCCTGGAAATAGGACGGAAGATTGATAGTAGTGGTCAATGACTAACAGTGGGCAGTCAGTTAAGAACACAAAATTCTGCATTCAAAATTAGACACAAACTTGAATATGTATTTAGAATATGAAAATAACTCATAAACTACAATTTGTTAAAGTGGCAGATACCACTAACATTACAAACTCCTGAAAAATAGCATATTTTTGTTAATTAGCAGACTGATACAACTCTATAACAATTTTTCCTACATTTTGTTGCCGGCATAGTCTTTGATCTCCTCTTCATATGATAATGAGCTTGTAATGTCATTTTCTATAGAAAGAAAAGAAAAGGAACTCAGACTTTCTGAAATATTTTCCCTCTGGTGTGGTGGAGTAAAACTGGTATCCTTCAGCTTCGCAGCTTTAATATTGGCAACGCCACCTAAATTTTTAGGATTGTGGACAAATTTTAAAAATTTCCTATCCAGTTTATTTTATAGATGAGCTGTGAGATTTCAGGACATTTCAAAAGTTTTCTTGTGTAATCAGTAAGCTTAAAACTGTTTGTGGTCGGGTACAGTGGCTCATGCCTGTAATCCCAGCATTTTGGGAGGCCAAGGCAGGTGGATCACCTGAGGTTGGGAGGTCGAGACCAGCCTGATCAACATGAAGAAACCCTGTCTCTACTAAAAATACAAAATTGGCCGGTGTGATGGCACATGCCTGTAATCCTAGCTACTTGGGAGGCTGAGGCAGAGAATCGTTTGAACCCGGGAGGCAGAGGTTGTGGTGAGCCGAGATCACGCCACTGCACTCCAGCCTGGGCAACAAGGCAACAAGAGTGAAACTCCGTCTCAAAAAAAAAAAAAACAGGAAAGAAAAGAAAACTGAGTTGACAACATTCATGCCCTTGTTCAAGTGTTCTTGAAAGCCCCAATGCAAATGAGAGTTCTTGAAATTTAAATGCTATTAGCTTCTCAGTAAATCCACGTCTGAATTGTTTACAGTGTCAGGTCTGTCACTCCCTGAGCACTCCTTCCTACTCATTGTCCATCATGTCCCTCTCATTCAGTCTTTTCCAACCACTCTATCTTCCTGTCACATAACGTTCATGTTCTTTTCCAGTTGCTGAGCTTTTGCACAGGCTGTGCCACCTGCCTAGAATTCCCTTCCTACTACAACATAACTCTTTTTATTTCTCCAACTCCTTCAGATCCTTCTTTCATTTCAGTTATCATTCGCTTCTGGATGCCATCCCTCACTATGTTAAATCCCCTATCATAAGCTTTCTTAATACCATATACCTCTCTCTCAAAACATCAGACGTGATTTTACATGTTGTTATGAGATTAATTAGATTAAGCTCTCTTTCTCCCAGGAGAGCTCCAGGAGGCTGGGGACCATATCTGGTTTGGTTCCCTTACTGTATCCCCAGTACCTAGTACACAATCTGGCTCCTAGTAGGGGGTTCAAGTAGGTATTTATTGATTGCATCTTTGGATAACTAAGGGAGAAGAAACCTAAATTAAAATTGGCCAGTGATCTCTCCCTCCCTGAAAGGAAAAACAAAATCAAGAAAACAAGGTTTGGTTTCTCTTTGGCTTCATTTTACCTGAGTCAGCTGCCTGTTGTTGAACCTCAGATATCTTGCCAGCCTCCATGAAAATACCTTCATCCTAAAACCTGCCTTGTGCGCCTTGAGAAACCACAGATGTTGCTATAAATACCAGAGGAAATCAAAATTTGAAGTCTGAGGTGAAGAGAAATATGGATGAAATGATTAATAAAATACTTCAGAAAAGGATACAGATATAGCATAGCTTTGGGGAGAAGTTGAAGTTGGGTAGCTATATTTTCAAAAAAGATCAAATATCACATCCCACCTTCACATGCTGACCCAAATTCCACAACTGGAATATATCTTGTGGCTGGGTCTTGGTCCGTCTATATATGGTTGAGAACACTGGCTTCTCAATGGGTTACTTAGGGCTACTCCAATGTTTCCGCACTAGAGGTACATTCCTTTTGATTGGGTGCTGTGCTTGAAAGACTGTTAGACTCTGCCTTCTCCAGCTCCATGTCACTTTCTGTCCCGGGGCCCAGCCCTTTATGACTCAGCCTCTCTCAGTCCCTGAACAATGCTGCTAAGAAGAGAAACACTTAGTCCAACCAGTGGGTGGGATCTGGAATTATATTTGCTATCCATAGATTTCAAATTACAGGAAACCCAGATAGCCACATGCCCCTTAACTAATTCTCTCTTCTAATGAAGTGTAGTCATGGGTTGAAAATTACATGTCAACTTTGTTGCTTGTCAGGGATGGTAGCTGAGAAGGATTCAAGGCTGAGTCCAGGCTCAGTAAGGAGGAGAATTGTGTTTGGTTGGCAATGTCTGCCATGATCAAGGCAAAGGATGGTAATGGCATGCATGTCACTCATTTGGTTTCCCTGTTTTGATTCCTGAAATTTGGTCCAAGCCTTATGCCTGGGTTCTAGCCCAACTTTAACTTAAATTTCTCCAAGGCTGAGGATCTGCCCTGAACCCCATTGACATGCTGTAGGGTGACATTTCACAAGTGCTGCCTTGACCCAGTTTTGAAATTATGGCTAAAAATTCTCAATTTCCCTTCATGGGCAGTTTGCTAAGCCAATCACCTTCTTTATCTGGCTTCCACTCCCTTGGGCCACTATGCAAGCACCCCAAGAACTTCCCTTATCAGGTCCCCATTTTCCAGGGCCAAGTACCAAACAAATAAACCCTAAACCCAGGAGCCCACATAATTGTTCACATTAGCTATTGAAACCTAGCTACCTCCATGCCACTTGCCACCTCCTATTGCTCCAGCTTGCTGTTACCATATCCCCACTGCAACCCCATATGGCCCTGCATGGCAGCCTTCTTTTTGTCACTCACTTGGAGCTGTAAGTAACAAAGAGTTCTGTTTCTCCATCTATCTGAGTGGCTCTGTGTTGTATCCCACTATCCAAAAATACTTTAAATCTAATAAAATACATGTATCCCATAGTCCCACCTAGTCACTGCCATCTCTCTGAGGACTAGACCCTTCTTCTAAAACTGCCAGGAATATCTATGCATCTGTTTCATATCACACAACCCTTAGTTCCCTGGGATAATTTATCAACCTCCTGCTCAGAATTTTAGCAAAACTCTAGGTAATCTTCAGCTCAGTGGATCATCACTTTCACCTCTGGCACATGGGAGTATTGTTTGGGATTGGGGGACCTGCGCGGCCCTTAGGGGTACCATTTTGTATTTGAGCCACCCCTTCCTTCCTCTGAGACCTCTGACCCACAGATGGCTATAGAGCCTACTAAGGGGTGCCTCTTTCAAAATATCTGCAAGACAGACTGACTAAGTAGACAAGGAAACTCCATTCTACTTTTCCTTATTTGTAAATATTCTCCTTTGCTTTCCTCCAACCATCTTCCAGGTTTGCTTCCTTGGCGAGAAGAGGGTCATGCCATACTTTCCTTTTATTACCTATCCTCAGGACAGACGTTCTTTTCAGAGTAAAGAGTTAAAACACTTTTACACCACAAATGATCAATTATCAGGAAATACCTAGACTTCTCTAATCATAAAAATATCTTGTTGGGACCCCCAGGATATACCTGTGTTGTTGGAAAGAAGGATGGGGTCCTAGGAGAGGGCTAAAGAGGGCCTAAGCAGATGGAAGGTCCCTGATCCGTATGGGGAAAGGCCAGGCCATGGGGCAGAGAACACCCAGGGAAATTCAAGATGAGAGAAGTTCACAGAAATTCCTAATGAGAAAATTTCATTAGGAGTTCTTTGAGTTCTCTGGCAGATATGTCACACTGGGAGGATGGTGTCTATTTCTTGAATAGAAATCAAGAATGTATCCATATCTGATTTACAGCCACGTCTGGACTTGCTGCAACCCAGGGCGGAGAGGGTCTTGGAATCATATCCTATGAGGACTTCCTAAAAGAACCAAGGACTCCAAGCCTGGAAAATACTTAATAATAATGTATTGCATATTTCAAAATAGCTAAAAGAGAGGATTTTAAATGTTCTCAAGACAAAGAAATGATAAAGATATGAAGTGATGGATATGCTAACTACTCTTTCTCTAATTTGATCATTCCACAATGTATACATGTACAGAAATATCACTTTGTTCCTCATAAATACATGCAATTATTATTTATCACTTAATAAAATAAAACTTAAAAAAAGACAGTCTGCACTCAGAAAGGAACTAGAGCAGTCTCATTATTTTAGAGGTGATGGTGATTACAGATATCTCTAGAAAGTGTTTCATGTGCTAAACACTTTATTTATTGTGCCTCACCAATGTACCTTATAGGACAGGCGCCATTATTATGCTTATTGAACAAAAGAAGAAACCAAGGCTCAGAGATGGGAAGTGACTTGCTCAGGTCACACAACTATACCTGCCAAGCCAGGACTTCAGCTCCAGTTACTCTGGCATCAAAATCAAATCTCTTAGCCACTGCCCTACTTCTCAAGGAATAGATGTGTGCTCTGACCCAGAACTTCAGCAGTGTCCACAGTCTGAACTCAGGTGGGATCTCCCTCCAACGTGCCTGCTCAATCCAGCTCCTCCAGGCCCTTCCAGCAAGGCACTAGGGTTTGGAGGAGCCTCCGTGAAAGCAGCCATGGTTATCTCCAGAACGATGAAGTGATCATTTCACTGTGAAATGAAATCAAGTGAAAATTCAGGATATTTTCTTATATGAAAAGCAAGATAGAGAAAAATGTGTGTCTTGATTTGAGTTACTTTAGATGCTGACTAAAGACAAAGAGTTGTATAAAAGTAGTTTATTTGATGTGATCCCTGAAAATTGATAAGGCTGTGAGAAAGTAAGATGGGAGAAGAAAAAGCAGCCATTAAGTGTGTGTTTTCAAGTCAATTTCCATGTGGTACTCGGAGCTTAATACTGCTGAGGAGCTCTGTGAATCAGTGTAGAAGGAGCTGCTCTGTAGGTTTGACTGTGGAATCACATATGCATTTTACTTCATTATAAAAATATATATATAATTATGTTTTTCAATGAATGTGTATTATTGACATGTGAAATAGTAATTTAATAAATACAGCTTAAAAGGCAATTGTTATAAAATTAAAGTAAAATGGAATACATGAATAAATCTATACATGAAGTTGAGGGTACAACCATACAGATAAAACTATGTCAAGTGATTTTAAGATACAGGAATCTGGCAGGACATCCCCAGCCTAAATGAATTAAGGAAAAATAAAAACCCTTAAGTTGTTTTTACTAATCATACCTTAGTGGTAGTGCTGGTATTGCTCCTCTGAGACAATTGAGTGTGCATGGTGGCATAGAACAAATGTGGTTACCTTTGGGAACTGGGATACTCAACAGGAGAAACAAGAAATACAGATGAATGATCAAAGAAAGTAAGTAAAAACGAATTGAGAGTATCAATATAAACTCAAGGTTTGTTTTCTCTTTTAAACAAGATACATATTTTGTACCGGTATCCACAAAAAAGCCCTAGAGACAATGACAAACCTAGTAGCCATGAGTACTCCAAAATGAAAATTGTGCTATCTAAATGTCATTCTTAACTGACAAAAGCCTGAGACTAGGTTTGAAAAAGAAAGTGTAGGAGATGAGTCTGGAACCTACTGTCAAACCAGACAGCAGGAAGCTACTAAAAACCATGTGATCATGTTTGAAAAACTCAGGAGTCAACTTAAAGTCTCCCAATGGCCAGACACAGGAGAATTTGGATCTCAAAAAGAACAATAACTGTAATGGATTGAAATTTACCAAGAACTTAAAAAGTCTATGGGTACAAAATAATAGTAATAATAAAATAAAATAAGCTCATTCGCATCCTATGTAGAATACTAGAGAACCAACTCATTATTTGAAAAACTAGAAAATAAAGGGAAGAAAGTAAGCATTAACTTGCTTCTCCTATATAAACTATTTCTCAGGATCACAAATAGCTAATAAGATTTCTTTAAAATGTAATTCAGATAATAAATGAAAAAAGAATGAAGTAATTAAAAACTACCAGATTAAAGCAATCTTCAGTGGTTGCTAACTTCAGAAAGAAAGAAAACCAGACTTCCTAGTAGAAGTCCACAGTACCATACATGAAGTATTCTTGCCAAAAAACCAAACCTGAACCTGATCAAAACTCTAGATGTAACCATTAATTTATAGAAAACACCAGGGACACAGGAACATGATAAACCATACCATACCACTAAGATCCAATCATCAAAATGCAGACTGTAGGAAATTCTTTAAGATAACACAGTTTGTTCAATAAATAAATATCAAGGAAAAAAGAATAAAAGAGACTTAAAACACCTATCAACCAACTGCAATGTACCGACCAACTGCAATGTACCGACCTTATTTGGATCCTAATTTAAACAAATAAATTATAGATGTTCCTCCACTTGTGATGGGATTACATCCCAATAAATCCATCATAAACTGAAAATATCATTAAGTCAAAAATGCATTTAGTACTCTTAACCTACTAAACATCAGAGCTTAGCCTAGCTTACCTTAAACATGCTAGGAACACTGACATTAGCCTAAAGTTGGGCAAAATCATTTAACACAAAGCCTATTTTATAATAAGGTATTGACTACCTCATGTAATGTATTGAATACTGTACTGACCACGAAAAATAGAATGGTTGAGTACCAATGTAGTCAAAAAATGGTAAGTTGAACCATTATAACTGTCTATATTTCTAAAATTATCCAATAAAATTTAAAAATTTGAACAGATTGGATAATAATTATTATTTCAGGGCATGATAAAAGTATTTTGATTTCTTAAAAAAATCTTTATATTTGATGCTGAAAGATTCAGAGGTGAAATTATTTGATACCTGAGGTTTGCTTCGAAATAATACAGGAAGGTAGAAGGAATTGGATGGGGGATACAGAAAAATAAGTTTGATCAGTAGTTAACAATTTTTTAAGCCAGGTCATGAGTGCATAAATGTCTGTTATACAATTCTGTCTACCTGATCTTTGTTTAATATTTTTCATTAAAAAAAATTAAACACACACACAGTAAAAATTAATAGCAGTTGCCAATTTTGCTGCAAAGGAAATAAGACGTAGAGCTAAGCTCAACACAGGGAAGTCTGGAGCAAACTGAGAACATCCCCTGCCTCTGCAGAAGAGGCAGGTTTGGGGCTGTTTCAGGACTGTAAAGACCTCACAGAGGTGCTTGGTGAGGGGTTTAAGAGGCTGGGCCCCGGCATTGAGCAGGTCACTCCAGCTCTGTTGCAGGTTACATAGTCAAGGTGCTCCAGTGTTCTCATCTGGTGAGCGGAGATCACAGTGGCAGCCCCCTGGTTCAGGGTGGAAGGGATCAGATGAGCAGATGCAAGGACAATGCTTAGCCAAGTTCCTGGCTCATATACAATCAATCATTGCTAACTATGATTGTATTATTACCTTCATCTTCCTGATGAGCTACCATGGCCTAAACAGATGCTGTGGGTAGAGACTTACGCAAACCTCAGCTGTGGCTCAGACTCTCAACTTACCTGCATCTCTCATTGGTCACCCTTGGCACCTTCCTGTTACAGTTGCCAGTGGAGAAAATGAATGGAGCCCTTATCTCAAACCTCGATTTCCCAGAGCCTTCTCTCTCACACTCCTTCCATTACTCTCTTTCTCCGTCTCTCCCTCTCTTGCTTTCCCCAATCCTTCCTTCTTTCCCCAAAGCAGCACTTTCTACTGTGACAAGTGAAGCAGTAATCTAAGTGATAATTTAACTCCTTGCTTCCTACTTAAAAATCCCCCTAATTACTGGGTAATGGGTCCGCAGAGGCAGTTGGGCTGGGTGAGCTCTGCCCTGCAGGCACAGCTATAGTTCATCTGTCCGCTCCCTAGTAGCACTCTAAAGTTCACCCTTACAAACATGTCACTGAGCCGGTAATTGAGTGACTGGTCATTAGGTTCCATGCGCAGTACCTGTGGGTCACCGATCACTCAGGGGTGATGGATCTTTCTCCAATACCTCGGCTGGGCCAGCCACAGAGCTTTCTATCACCCCTGAGCAGAACATTACTCTCTGGGAAGACTGGAGCGAGCCCCGGTAGACCATCTTAACTGTGGGCTTCATCAGCCGGAGGAGAAGGCAGGGCAGGAATATACACCCCCCTTGCTTCACTCAGTGCCTTGCCCAGCAGCCTTTCCTTGGAGGCTCTTCTAGAAGACACTGATGCTAAAAGACGCCATGAGACAGTGGGGATTCAGAGCAAGAATAATTATGCTGTGGAGTTAAATTCTATTTGAGAAGAGAGGCACTACTGTAAGACAAGTGAAAAGGGTTGGGGCTGTGTGTTACCGGATGAAGCTAAATGTACCAGAAATACATATCACCTCTGAGCTCTGTATCCTTGAGTAAGTCATTTGACCTCTCTGTTTCTCAATTTTCTCATTTATGAAATAGAGATAAGAGTACCTGCTTCCTTTCCAGGGTCGTTGCTCAAGTTTGTCTGAGGTAATATGTGTGAAAGTGTCTAACAGTGCCCAGCACCCAGTAGATAATCAACAAATGTTAGTTCATTCTAAATAAAGCCACCATTTTCCTCTGTTTTCATCAGTAATGCTATTTTTTCCCTTTGCTGATGATGGAGGGAGAATAATATAGTGGCTCAGGCATAAGCTGTGAAGTTAGGTGGATTGAAATAAAATTCTGATTCTAGTATTTGATCACTATATAGCCCTGGGCAAGTTGCTTAACCTCTCTGAGCCCCAGCTTTCTACTAAATAAAATGGTAATATTAACAGTAGCCTGTAGCCACCTCATCATAGAGTTCCTATAAAGATTAAAGGAAATAATACATGTAAAATAGCACAATAATTGGCAAGTCATTGGAAATAATCTTTAGATAAATGCTAGCTCATATAGGATCCATGTTTGAGGTGATAAGAAATATACGACCTTATTCATGCTCCATCTTCAAATATAATTTTCTCAAATTTAAATTGTCAAGGAAATTCAACTTTTTAAAAACCTAAATCTACCTCCAATTATACCTACTTCAAAGACTTCCTAGCCCATTTGGGGGAATGGGGCTTGAGGTAGGGAACAGCTAATTCAGAATCAAATCTATCTCTTGTTTAGTGCCAGACTGGGTGATACAGAGCAGAGATGCTGCAGGGGACTGAGAAGGAAGAGACAGATGTGGAGGGAGGGCCCGGGAGAGGTGGGGCTATGTCGAGCTTAAGAGGCCTGAGCAGGAGAGCAGGTGGAAATGTGAGAAGGGCCATCCAGATGGAGCCATAGAAGCAAAAGCCCAGAAGCAGGGATGTGATGCATCACATTCCCAGTAGGACACAAGGAGTCCAGTCTGCTGACCCACAAGGTTTGTGCCAGGAAGGAAGCAATAAGTAATTCAACAAACAAAAAATATTGAGTGAAATCCCATTCTGCAATGAACATTAAATTAAATACCTCATAGAATACCATACCAATGCCGCCATAATTTGCAGAAAAGTCTTCCACTTTTATTCTTAAAATATTTGGATAGCTCACATTTTTAGTCCATTATGCTGCACACGCATAGCCCAGGTTTTGATTCTTGAGCACCCAAGGACCAGGTGACCCTGCCTAGCAGCCAAGAACTCAACTTGGGCAGCAATGATATCTCTATCCACAGGCCAGGGTCTGTGGGATGACCTAATGGTAGATTTGGTTTTGTTTTTATTATGTTATTAAGTACAGAAAGGGGTACAAATGTAAATGCTGATATTAGCTATAAGAAACATAGTTTTCAGACAGGTAAAGCAGTTGAAACAAAGATGAAAATACTTAGAAATTCCCCCAAATGACAAATCTTCCATTTCAAGTACTCATTGGCCATAGATTGGTCAACTGTATATTTGGCTGTGAAGAAAAGGATCAAAGCGTATTTAACAAATATTTATATAGAGCTATGTGCCAGGCACTGCTTAAAGCAATTTACAAATATTAACTCATTTAAAAATTAAAGAGACATAAAAGTTAAAGACACAAATAATCACGAGGCACCATGGGATACACATAAATAGAAGAACAGCCTACAAAATAAATGGCCTCTCTTCAGAAATGTCAAGGTCAATTAAAGACAAAGAAAGACTGAATTACTATTCCTGACTAAAGGAGACTACAGAACATGACAACAAATTGCAACAAGTTATCCTTTTTTGGATCAGAAATCAGAAACTTTTTTTGCTAGAAAGGATTTTAAAGTGACCACTGATTAAATTTAAATAAAGTCTGTAGATTGTTCAATTGTATTTATTAGTGCTAATATCCAGATTTTGATAATGTTTCTGTGATTATGTAAAAGAAAGTCCTTGTTTTCAGAAAATCCACACTAGTATATTTAGGACCAAGGGACATCATGTTCACATCTTACTCACAAAAATGGTTTGAAAAAATAATAATAAAAATGTATAAAGAGAGAGAAAATGGTAAACATTAGAAATGCTAACATTTGGGGAGTTTGAGTAAAGGCATACAGGCAATTTTTGTATCATTTTTACATTTTTTCTGTAAGTCTGAAATTATTGAACAAAAAATTATAAAATCATAGAACATATGTAATCAAAACATTATGTCTAAATGATATGGTACTATTTTAATTTTTTAAAATCATTTTTCTCTCTGGGACCAAACAGCCCTTAGACTTTAAAAGCTATTTGGTGACTTTTGAAACTTTAGCTTTCATATATACCTTTAGGCAGGTATTATGTAAGAAAGCAGGAGAGAGGTTTAACAATGAACTTCTGCGGGGATTCAAGTGGGAGATGAGGTTGGCCTGAACTAACATGGCAGCCATAGGTCCTTGAGTTGGGAAACATATATATGAACACGACATATTTTGAAGGAAGAAGTTCCTGGACTTGGTGGGTAACTGAATATTGCCAGAAGATGAGGGGAAGGAGGAAGATGGAGATGCAAGACTTGGGAAGCTGGAGAATCCATGCACTTGATAGACCTAGAACCAGAACAGGAGACAGAAGACTGAGGTTACATTCTGCCTCTGCTACCATTCTGCTGTGTGATCTTGAGGCAAGTGACTTGAATGTAGCAGAGGCAGAATGTAACCTCAGTCTTTCATCTCAATGATAAAAAGATACTACTGGACAGAGTGATAGCTTTCTATTCTAAAAGCATTTTCCGATTAAACAATGCCAGGAAGAGGAACAGTCAATAGGCAGAGAAGTGCACAACACCTATGTTGTGTTGAAGGTGACAATATAACATTTGAGTGGAAGTTTAAGGGAATATTAGATTACAATTTATGAAATTGTTGTTTTTGTAAGTTAAAAATAATCAAATACTGTCAATTCCAGTATTTATCCATGTAAGCCAGCCTTATCCATGTGAGCCGGGAATGGATATACAAATTTAGTAATCCACTAGATGGATGTAAGAGCTGAAGTCCCAGAATGAATCAGCTTTCTGAGGATGGGGAGTATTGAATGAAAACACAATAAAGCTGAGAAGAGAACTTAGCTGGTCACAGAGATTACATGGATTTGTTAGTCATAAAAACAAATATTTATTGGAACCCAACTATGGGCCAGGCACTCTGCCAATGGTAAGAATCCAGAAGTGAATAAAACAGGTGCATTTTCCTGAGCTCTTGAAGATCTTAGTGTAGAAGAGAAAAAGGAGCTGGAAAGAAATTACAACTGTAGCCACTATTAACACTAGTATTTACTGAGCACTTACTCCATGCCAAGCACTGGAATGAAATCCAGACATGATGGGCCTTCTTAGGGTGCCCTTGGTTTTCACCCCATCTCACCTTGAAGTTACACTTAGCACTTTATCAGATACCCCTTCAAGGATTCAGATACACAGATGTTAGTGCAAAAATGGTATTGTACTAAAGATGTCCTAAGGAAATGAAAAGAAAGCTTCACATTGCTCACCAGACCGGAGAAACTTGAATAAATCCCCTGTTCTTCTGCCCACTGTCCCAGTTCCACTGTACCTTGTTCCTTTCTCCTGCCAGTTGCCTCTTCTCTCTTCTCTCTCTGCCTATCCATGGCCATAGCCTCTCCAAAGCCACTCTATGATGCTGTGCAATCTCATCCCAGCTTTCAGTTTGTGTCCCTCACTCACCTTAGCAGGGACCAAAATAAAACTGTTGTTCTTGGTGCATGTGTTCCCCCAGTAGCTTCCCTCAATCCCAAGCTGTTTATCAAAGAGTTTGGTTGCTTATGAATGAATTATTCAAGAATTCATCAAATCTAACAGTCCTCATGTGGGAAGCAGAAAGAGAAGCAGGGGAAAGATTTCACACTAAGAATATAAGATTTTCAAAAAGTATGGAAAAGACAGATGAGAAAGAGAGAGGAAGAAAGTCTTTCTCTCAGTTGCCACCTACCCATTGTCTTAAATTCTCAAGTCAATGCTAAGCAAGATATCGTTATCCACATTCTATAAAGAGAAAAACTGATACCATAGGAGAATAAGAAACTTGTTTAAGGCCATATGACTAGGATATGGCAGCTCTAGGCTTCAAACCCAGGTGTATCTTGTGCTTTCCACTTCTCCATCCTGAGAGGGTGCAGGGAGGTAGGATCAAGTAGACAGATTCAGTGGAATTCTGGACTAAGACCCTCTGTGCATCCTCTAGAGAAGCTGGAGCCACACCACTTCTGCAGCTCTGTGGGGGAAGGAAGATTTGGTTTGGGTTTTTTGGGTAATCAGAACTGAGAGTCTCAGTCTATCTAGATATTTTCTAAGTAATAGAGATGTATGGTAAGTGAGCTAAGGAAAACTCAAGAACCTGTGCTCGGGGACAACAGCAACTATAGTAGAGTTGGGCAGTCTTGCAGATACAGAAATTGAAGTTAAGAGGGAACTCAGGGCAGCAAGAAGATTGGGAATTGCCTCCTCCTCAGGGACTACTCCTAGCCACTGAGCACGCTTCAACCAGTCATCACATGTCTAATTTATTCCCCCCTCACTAAGAAGTCACTGATTCTCTCTCTCCACTCAACATGTGCTCTCTCTGCTCTGGAATTACTCCGCATGACTTTAAGTTCTGGTGACTGCTTATAGCCATTTCTCCATTTTTACATCATCATGAGCCAAGTTTGGGAAGGAAAGAACCAGAATACCAGATTTGAGAAGAAAGGCGAATCTGGTTTCAGACATGCTGAGTTTGAGATGCTTATGGGGCATTCAAAAGATAGCGAAATGGGTAAACTTGGCCAAATGGGTAAACTTGGCCAATTGGGCCAATGTGCAGCTTCTCACCCCATCTCCATCTATGCTCCGGGGTGTAAAGCAAAAGTCTGGGCTGGAAATGTGAACTTAGGATTCATTCACCCTCTAGGTGGCAATTGCTCTAAACTAACCAAAACTCAGGGTACTCTTAGTTTCCTCATTTCTTGGTTGTTCAGGATTCTCATATAGGCAGCTCATGCGGCAGCATAGTAAACAGTGGTTAGAAAATGCATGCATGGTCTTTGCAATCAGACAGAGCTGAGTAAATCCCAGCTGAGCAACTGACTAGATTTGTGAACCAATGAAAATCACTTAATATGTTTGAGCCTGTTTCTCATCTCTAAAAAGGAACAATTATTTGAGGATTTAAAAAAATAATGAGACCAAAGGAGACTAAGGAGATATGACAACTAAAGGCAATGTGGTATCCTGGATTAGATCCCAGAACAAGAAAACAGAGGACATTAGCGGGGAAGCTGATGAAATCCAAAAAAAATCTAAAGTTTACTTAATAATAGTGTACCTTCATTAATTCCTTAGTTTAGACAAATATACCTGGGTTATGTAAGATGTTAACACTAAGGGAACCTGGACAAAGTTCATACAAGAACTCTCTGTACTATCTTTGCAAGTTTTCTGTAACTCTAAAATTGCTCCAAAATAAAAAGGTATTTTTTAAAGTAATGGATACAAAGTTCCTAGCATGGGCCTGATATGTACAAGCATTTAATATATTCTAGACACTATACATTAACGAATGTGCTGGGCTGGGATAAACTGAAAATCTCTGGGGTGACTGATGTTCATCACTTTATGAACCAAGTCTTTGTAACAGGCATGCAATCTGAGATAATGCACCTACTTATCCACTGTATTGTCTCCTCCCTGGCCTCATGAGCTCCCATTCATTCCCACATTTTGCCATCTTTTTCATAATTGAGATTCTCTTCTTTAGCGGTAGGAAAAAATTTTTATTTCTACCTTCTTTTTCCCGTGTCCAGTCTTGTCAGAGGACTATTCATATTGTTAGTCTACAAAAACATAGAAACAAAATTTTGTTCATCCTGCATATTTTTACTAAATAAATAAAACTATTTTCCCATAAATAAAAATGGCAGGATACAGGTTACTTCTGCTTCTAGAAGCAGTCTGTTCTTACCTGCCTTTGGGGTATGAACCAGAGCCCCCACATAAAGGTAATTTTTCTCAGAAGCAATACATCCTGCCCATTGTACTACCCGCCTCTCAAAAAGCAGCAAAGCTCATAATTTGGACTCAGATGCACCTGTGTTCATGCATGTTCCCTTCCTAGGTGGGTGACCTTGAGCACAAGGAAGGAAAGACACCCTTCCTGAAGACCATCATAAGATTACATGGAAGCATCAGGCTAAGGAATCAGGATGGACAAGTGACAATGTGAGAACTAGAATTGGGGAGACCTCGATCTGAACCCCTGCCTTAATCACTTGTCACCTGTTAGCCCTGAGCATCCCTGAGTTTCTAAAGACAAGATAAAAATACTTACCTAGAGTTTTGGGCATTAAATTGTATGTGTGTTTAGCATTGTGCTTAACACAGAGAGAGCAAATATTCAAGATTTGCTGTTGTTACTATCACTACAATTATTTTCAGGATCATTTGGGTGAAGGCTTAGGGCCAACCAAGGCTCAGATTCCTCCTCCCTTCATTCTTGTATTGGCTTAAGCTAGGTATGATGAAGACAGGACAGTCCTGGCAGGTGTAGGAATGGCTTATGCCTGGTTTCAGGAGCTAGCACAATTTATCCTAATAGCTGCTTCCAGCACGTAGTAAACCCCACATTTTTATAGGGTATAAATGCGGGTTTGAAAATACAGAATCTCATAACCAGTGATTCCCAGACATTCTGTCAAGAGCAGAATTATACTCCAGGCTAGTAAAATTATACCCTGTGTCTGCTTGTAGAATGTGATGGTGTTTAAATTGGGCTCCCCAAAGTCCTAGTGATTCCACAAACCAACCTTCTCTTTTTCCCTACCACACTTTAATGGTAGACAGTACACCATGTTCCCCCACCTCAATTCACCCACAATGTTGGACAGTGGACAATAACATAAAGTTACATTTAAAGAAAGAGTTCCACAGCTCAAGGATTTTCCAGGACTGTGATGCATCAATGTGAGTCAGAGTCAGGACACCCAATCTGTCCCTTTGACCTGGTGATCTAAGAAGTTTAACATAGAAGAAAATATGATGAGTTCCTTTGGGTTTCAGTGTTACATAAGAATGATGACAACTAACAGAGAGTACAGGGTACACTATGGAATCATGTACATGTATTAAGGGTTATTTCACACACCCACACATACACTCCTTTTCCCCCAACACTTTTGTCCACTGGAGACATGACAACATTATTCAGAGAGGGTGTAACAAAGTGAGGAAGGCTGGAGGAGATGAAGAAGAAGCATATAACTGCCTGGGGAAGGAACCCCAAAAAGTAGCTGGCAGACACTGAAGTAGAAGAAAGCAAGAATGAGAAGACAGTGCTCTAGGGGCAGATGTTGAAATGTCAGGCTTGAACGGCTCTCAAGGGTCTGAGGTCTGCTTCTTCTCACCAATTTTCCCTGGGTGAAAGCTGCATAGTCTCCCTCCCTACACTGGAAATGGCAAAAGTGGTCTATGAGCAGCTGGTGTACATCACAGTGACCCAGCCCGGACTCAGAACCATGCAGCTGGATGGTAGTTGTCAGATATTCTGCAGGGCAGCAAGCCTGGCTCTGTGTTAAGCCATTGTTCCAGATGAGAACTGTTCATCAGTCTGCTAGGACAATGTGAATAAACTGATTTCATCTTTTAATCTCTGCCACTGAATGGACAGTGGCTGCCTGGAACACTGTGCAGCAGAGTAGCTCCATGATTGAATAGTGATGTCTGTTGAGGGAAAAGGGTGGAAGAAGGTAGTGTCTGTGCCACATATTTGACACTCTACACTCCATAAAATTAAGCTTCTTTCCCCCTTCTTTCATGTGTCATTTCCCAAGAGGATGTGTTTTGACATAGCTGACATTTCTAAATCCCTGTTGTGTGCCAAATGCTGTCATATATGCTCCATTTAAACTAGATCATTTAATCTGCCAAAAACAGTTAGGCATATTGTGGTTATGTTTGGTTATTTTTAAGCCCTTCTAGAGATGCATTTGAAATACTATTGGATGAAATACAATATTTCTGAATCTGATATTTGCTTCCTAACAATCCAGTAGTTATGGTGGGGTATAGTTGGAACAAAAGCGACCATGAGTTGGTAATTGTTGAAGCTGGGTGACTGGTACATGGAAGTTCACGATTCTAAACTCATTTCTTTTGTATAAGTTTTGTATGTTTGAAATATTTTATTAGAATGAAGTTTCTTTAAAAAAAGTTATTAGTTATTTATAGCTAGTAGCCCCAATTATGCACATGAAAACTGAGGCTCAGAAAAGTAAATTACATTCCTAAAATCAAACAGTTTATAAGCAAGGTATAGTAGATACCAAAGTGTGCTGCACAGAACTCCTTTCAGTTAATTGCTTATACCTATCTGCAGGAGGCTCAATCAAGAAACAGACTTCAGCAATGACCTCCTTCAGCCTCTGTCTCAGCTTCTGAGGGTCACCTCCCCTGAAGTCATGTCCTTTATAGAGAAGCCAATAACAGAGCAAAGCAAAATTGTAAAAGCCCAGCCTTAGGAGCTTACCCTAGGATGACTCTGATGATTGATATTCATCCCAGGGCTTTCTTCTGGTTGGCCCAGGCTTTGTTGGACCTGTATCACAATTTGACTTTTCCTTCTGCCCAAACCTGCTATTCCTCCTGCCTTTCACAAGTGTTGATCCCGAACAAGCATCTCCTTCTGGGGAACCTAACCCAAGAAACAGGGGAACTGAGATTTCAACCTAGATCTAACAAATGTACAGCATGAGTGAGTCTGCCAGGAAAGGAGGTGGGAGCAGGTGCTTCTGGTAAGCCCCTCAATTGACAGTGTTCAGCCTCCGATTGCTCCCCCAGCCCAGGGCTGAGGAGACCGGCATAGAACAGGAGCTCATGAACATTGAGAGACAAAATATAAGACAGGTCCTGCGTCCAGGACTTTCCGAGCAGCAGGAGGGCATCATTGCTAAGCTCAGAGCGGACCTTTCCTGGCATCAGTTCCCTGCAGGCCCAGCTGGATGCAGCTGCAAGAGGACTTTGAAGGCAGCAGCTCATGCCTTGACCCAGGAGGCCTCCCAGCAGCCCGACCTCAGAGGCCAGACCCGCTCCCAGCACCTCTACATGAAGCAACTCAGCTAGATGCCAGAGCCAGCAGGTGGCTCTGAAAATGCCCCATGTGATTAAAAACCTCATTTCCATTCCTGGTCTCTGGTTTGCATGGCAAAGAGAGCTGTTTTTCTGGAATGAATTATCCCTTCCCTGCAGATGTCTTCAAAGGCTTATAATCCAAAACGGGCTCTCAGAGACCCAGCCTCCCAGGGCCGCCCATGCACACAGGAAGTCACTCCTTTGCGGGCACAGATGGGCTTTTGAAATGTACGAACAGTGCTGATGTGGCAGAAAATGCCAGCCATGAGGGCAAGAGTCAGTGTCTCTGATGCCTGGCTCTTAGGGGAGCTCAGAGTACCTTTACCTTCACCTTCATTCAGGGTGAACTCATCCTGGTTTACCTGGGACTGTCTCAGATTTAGCACTAAATGTCCTATGTCCAGAAAAGCCCTTAGTCCCAGGCAAACTGGACAGTTGATCACCCTACCTTCACTGACAGTTTGTCAGGGACATGAGAGGGTTTAGGCCAATTTGCTCCGGTGGTTAGTTAGCAGTAAGGCCCTTCTAAGTCAAATTGAGATAAATTATGTATATATAATTATATCATATACACCATATACCATATCTATAGCCAATCATTCATCCATTTATTTTTAGCAAACATATATTAAGCTCCTACTGTTTGTCATGGCCAAATAATAACACAGATCTAGGAGTTCCCAGTCCAGGGTAGGGATTCTTTACTTGCAGGGGTTCATAGAAGGCTTCCTGGCAGGTGATGGGGTAAGTCTGTAAACTCTAAACTTACTGCAATACTCCCTGTGTCTAGGGGGTCCATAAACTAAAGATGTTTAAGCATCCCTGGATCAATAATAAACGTATGAAAAGATAATTACAATAGAACTCTGTATCTCTCAAGGGGCACCAATAACGAAATCTTCTAGCCTCTTGATTCTCAAAATGTGGCCCATGAACCAGCAGCATTAGCATCACTCAGGAACTCATTAGAAATGCAGGTTCTCTGGCCCCACCCCAGACCTACCTAATCAGATTCCTCTTTTTAACCTAGTCCCCAGGGGATCTGTTTCACATGAAAGTTTGAGAAGCACTGATTTTTGTGGTATCTGTGTGTTGGGGCCCCCAGCAAGCCACCTTCCATGAAAAGTGATACAGTGCTGGTTTCAGGTCTTCATGAGACCAAACAGCTTCTGCTTCTGCACTCAGAGAGCTCTGAGACCACATGGAGAGAAAGCCAGGCCCAGCTGTCCCAGCATCCCAGCTGAGCCAGCCCCAAACATCCCCCCTGCTGAATGTAGCCACACAAGTGACCACCTTCAAAAACTGCTTCACCAAGTCCAGCCAGATGGTAGAGTTGGAAGAATAAGTAAAATAGGTAACTGAAACAGAAATTGCTGAAAAATCACCCTCAAAACGTAATGGCTTGAACAACAACCATACAGTTGCAGGCTCTCCCTCTCCACATGGTCTTTTCCAGTCTCTCTCTAGAGGATGTAGGAGTTCTTACATGGGGTCTCAGAGCTCCCAAGAGTCCAAAAGTGGAAGGTGCCAGGCACTTCTTAAGACTTAGGCACAGTGTCACTTCTACTGCACTCAATGGACCAAAGCAAGTCACAGCCCAGCCCTGATTAAAAGAAAGGACATGAATACCAGGACGCATAGTTTATTGAGTGCTAGCAATGTAACAGACCACCAGAACTCTCAAACTTAGCTGCACATTAGAATCATGTAGAGACCTTTAAAAAGTATGGATATCCAGACTCCACACACCGCACTCACCCCACCAGAGACTCTGATTTAATTGGTCTGGGTACAGCTGAGGCACTGGATGTTTCTAAGTTCCCTAAGTTTTTTTTTTTTTTTTTTTTTTTTTTTTTTAGACAGAGTTTTGCTCTGTTGCCCAGCTGGAGTGCAGTGGCGCAATCTTGGCTCACTGCAACCTCCGCCTCCCGGGCTCAAGCGATTCTCCTGCTTCAGCCTCTGAAGTAGCTGGGACTACAGGCGTGTGCTACCATACCTGGCTAATTTTTGTATTTTTAGTAGAGATGGGGTTTCACCATTTTGTCCAGGCTGTTCTTGAACGCCTGACCTCAGGTGATCCGCCCACCTCAGCCTCTCAAAGTGCTGGGATTACAGGCATAAGCCACTGTGCCCAGTCCCTAAGTAATTCTAATATGCAACAGAGCTTAATAACCACCAATCTAGTGTGTTTACTAAAAAGTGCAGATTCTTGGGCCTTATTCCAGACTTCCTGAATCTGCGGCTTTACAAGTGGGGCCTATGGAAGGCTGCCTTCTAAAATGACTCCCAGTGATCCTGGCCTAGAATTCAATCTCCTCCTCTTAAGTATGGGCAGGACCTAGAAACTTGCTTCTGACAAATAGAATACAGCAAAAGTGAGGAGATGACACTCCTATGATTAGGTTACAAAGGACTGACTTTCATCTTACTCTTCCACCTCACTGTCTGTTCTTGCATCTCTGTTCTGATGAAACAAGATGTTGCATTGCCCTATAGAGAGGCCCATGTGGTGAAGAACTGTGAATCCTGCCATTAACCACATGAATAAGCTTAGAAACAGATCCTTCCCCAATCGAGTCTTCAGATGAGACCCCAGCCACAGCCAACACCTTGACTAAAGCCTTGTGAGAGATCCTGAGACCGTGAAGTCATGCTTTGCTTCCTGTTACACAAAAACTGTAAGATAATACGTGTGTGTTGTTTTAAGCTACTAAATTTGGGGATAATTTGCTAAGCAGCGATAGATATCCAATAGAGGAGCCGAAAATCCTTTTAATTAATTCTCCAGATGGTTCTTATGTACACTAAGGTTTCAGAACTGCTGCAATATATTTTGGAAAGTGTCATAATAGAAGACCAAATGTCTGTTACATCCAAGGATCCTGTAAGGAACAGATAATATTAGGTCGCAAAGGAACAAATAGATCACCAGGTGCAGAAGGAGCCAAGGGATCCTCAACCTAGAACGCTGTCCCATTCACCGCTTTATGCCAGCTCTCAGTTCTCAGCTTGGTTAATAGTTTAGTTAGGTGGCCTGTAAATGTGTACACCCACTATGAAAAACAGTATGGAGATTTCTCAAGAAAATTAAAAATAGAACTACCATGTGTTCCAGCAATTCCCTATTTGGTATTTATACCAAGGAAAAGAAATTGGTGTATCAAATGGATACTTGCATTCCCATGTTATTGCAGCATTATTCATAATAGCAAAGATATGGAATCAACCTAAGTGTCCATCCTTGGAAGAAGGGATAAAGAAAATGTGTCACATATGCACAATGGAATACTATTTGGCCACATAAAAGAATAAAATCATGTCATTTGCAGCAACGTGGATGGAACTGGAGGTCATTATGTTTCATGAAATTAGCCAGACACAGATAGACAAATACCATCTGTTCTCATTTATATGTGGGAGTTAAAAAAAACTTGATCTCATGGCCAGGTGCGGTGGCTCACGCCTGTAATCCCAGCACTTTGGAAGGCCAAGGCAGGTGGATCACCTGAGGTCAGGAGTTTGAGACCAGCCTGGCCAACATAGTGAAACCCCGTCTCTACTAAAAATACAAAAATTAGCCAGGCTTGGTGGCAGGCGCCTATAATCCCAGCTACACGGGAGGCTGAGGCAGGAGAATCGCTTGAACCTGGGAGGCAGAGGTTGCAGTGAGCCGAGATCACACCATTGTACTCCAGCCTGGGGGACAAGAGCAAGACTTCATCTCAAAAAAAAAAAAAAAAAAAAAAAAAAAACAAACCACAACAACAAACACACACACACACACACACACACACACACAAAACTTGACCTCATGAAGATAGATAGTGGAATGATAGATATCAGTGACCGGGAAGTGTGTGGTGTAAGGTAGGGCTAAAGAGGGGTTCAATAATAGGTACAAACATACAGTTAGAAGAAATAAGCCCACTATTCTGTAGCAGACTGGGTGACTATAGTTAGCCTCAATGTATTGTATAATTCAAAGTAGCTATAAGAGAGGACTTGAAATGTCCCCAACACATGGAAACAATAAATACTCAAGGTGATGGATAACTCAAATACCCTGACTTGATCATTACACATTTTGTGCATGTAACAAATACTCACACGTACCCCATAAATATGTAAAATATTTTGTATTGATTTTAAAGAAAAATCCTTTCTATCTACCGTTGGGCTCATGGCAGGTGGCATGTTAGGTGCCCTAAGAGCTCCTGCCATATCCTGAGTTACCCCTGAAGGCAATGCCTGAGACAGAGGCTTGAGTGCAGGTAGCTTATTTGGGAGGTGATCTCAAGGAGTGGTAGAAGGTACTGGGAAGAATGAAACAAGAAGAGGGTAAAGCCCATTCAATAATATGTTACCGAGCTATGAGCAACTGGGACTCAATCCTGCAGAGATGCCCTAAGTAGCTATAGAGAAGGCTTTTCAAAATTTCCACCCAAGGTATGAAAATGAGGGCCCCGGTCCCCTGGTGGCCAAAAGTGCTTCATGGAGTGTTAAATTTCTGCTCTTCCAAAAATTCCCAAGCGTCCAAATTATTGAGAGGCTTCATGCAGGTCTCCCATGCAGCAGTGACAGGAGGAAAGACTCATGGTAGACAGCAAGAGGCTCAGCTGAGACAAGGGGCTATCATGCTACACCTGCACACAGCTGGTACATACCAATGGATGGAGTGAAAGGCACTGGGGGTATAGGGTGGCAGTGAGAAGATTGCTAGGACACTAGGCACAAGAGGTGTCCACTACACGCCATCCACAGTTGTATAATTGATTCTTTCATGAGTCTCTTTCTTACTAGAATGTAAACTCTGGGAAAGGTCTTCTTCTTAATATACCCTTATTTCCTCCCACCCACCCCCAGCACAGTACCTGGCACATAACAGGGGCCACAAATATTTAAGTACTTAATCTAGCAGCATGGCTTAAAGGAGCCGGCACCCAGGGTGCTGGGGTACTGGAGGTGGCGTGGGCATGACATCAGAGCTGAGCTGGCTGGAGTCTGTGTGTAACGATGGAGATGAGAGTCTGTGGAGACCCTTGAAAGATCCAAATAATCACAGAAAAGGCTTGAACCGGGATCTTCAAGTCTATGAGGCTGAAAGGTAGGTAAAGGACTGAGAATAGAACCTGAGAGATCAACACATTGACCAGCAGAAAAGGAGAATGTAGCAAATACAGTCGGTGCCCCACTCAGATCCCCTTTACCAGGTACTGCCTCACCGCAAGCAGCTCATAGCTGCCCCATTCTTTGGAGAATTGTCCTGGGTGGGCACTACTTATCGCCCTGGAAATGCTTGGGAGTTAGCTCCCTCCTTCACCCACTAGGGGAGGTCCCCAGCCCATAACTGATTGATGGTGGAATACAAGAGCCCAACCCCATGCCCTGAGGTAGGCAAAGCCTGTGGTGCCATTCATGGTCCCGGGCTCCCCATGTGCTCAGGCTGAGGCTAGTCTCCAGCTAAACACACAACTTGATCTAGCTTCTTCCCCAGCCCATCCTGCTTCTCTCACCTCATCATGAGTTCTTCTGGAAGGCCCTCCCTCAACTCATCACATGCACAGGCTCTGCTTCTAGGGAACTTGACCTAAGATAGTGAATGTGCAAGTTCCCCTCATACCAACCATAGCCAAAGGAAGAACTGTCCTCAGAGAAGCAAGAGTCAAACTTCTGGACACCTTAAATCCTGGGAAATTTGACTCAGTTCATCAGGCTATTTTTGATGCCTACAATGTGCCAAGCCTTGTATTAGGAGAGGTAGCATGTGTTGTCTTAATTAACCCTCCCAACAACACTCCAAGATGGGTATGTGTGTTGGTTTCTATTGCTACATAGTCAATTAGCACAAATTTGGCAGCTTAAAACAACATAAATTTACTTTAGGAGTTCTGTGGATCAGAAGTCCAGGCACAGGTTAGCTAGGCTGTGGTCTCATCTGCAGCTCAGGGTCCTCTTCCAAACTCATTCAAGTTGTTTATAGCATCCAGTTTCTTTTAGTATGCCTGAGATCATGTTTTCTTGTTGGCTGTCAGCTAGGGTCCCTTTTAGCTTTTAGGAGCTACCCTCAGGTCCTAGCAATGTGACCTTCACAGGCAATTTATAACATGGCTTTTCGCTTTTTTCTAGGCCAGCAAAAGAGCATCTACTGCATTTTCTTATTATTTTTAAGGACTCACCTGATTAGGTCAGGACCACCCAGGATAATCTTTTTTTATTAACTCAGAGTCAAAAATGATCAGGGACCATAGTTTTATCTATAAAATCTCCTTTGCCATATAATGTAGCATAACTCCATCACATTCATGGATCCTGCCCACACTCATGGGAAGGAGATTATATCGGGAATGTTCAACAGCAAACATAAATCTTGGATGCCATCTTAGAATTCTGTCTGTGGCAGTATGATTAGTTCCTACCCTTTGTAGATAGGAAATCGAGCCTTGGAGTAGTTAAGCTGCTTGCCTTGGATTGCATAGCATTTAAATAAGGAATGGACCTTATCCCTTCTCTCAGCTCCCCTCGGCTGCAGATGGATGGAGTGTGAAGCTGACCCCATATCCAGACCTCTCTAGCATCCAAAGATATGTATCTTTTCTCTCTAAAGGACAGAACTCACGAAAGATGGGGTGAACAAAAGTTGGGGTAGCATAGGCTTCGAGGTCAGGAGATCTGATTCCAATTGCTGGCTCTTCCTCTTACTATGTATGACTTGGAGCAATTTATTTAACTTTATGAACTTCTGGTTTTTGTTGATTAAATAGAAATGACATGTAGTGAATAGTGCTAGCGACTATCAAATGTCCACGTAGTCTTGTATCTTTCCCAGCCCCCCTTGCACTTGGGTTGGGCCATGGACTGAGTTCTGGTCAATGGGATATGGGTGGAAGTGATGTCAGTCGCTTCGAGGCCTGACTTTTAAACACACCCAATAAAAGTCTCATTTCCTCCCTCCCTTTATCATAGTGACCCTGGGGGCCACACGTTGCAGATGTTGTAACTGCAACAGAGAGCCCACCCAACCCCATCAAACTAAGAGTGAGAAATACAACTTAATCACATTAAGCCACTGAGATTTCACAGTTTGTATGTTGGGACAGCTGGAGCAATTACCATAATACAAATACCTAAGTCTCAGGGCCTTTGGGAGGATGGCAGGGGATTGGTACATGAAGCACCAAGCCTGGGATTTGACATAGAGAAGGCAATCAATACATATTAGCTATTACAATGAATTGATTATAAAATGCATCACGAGTAGTTTATGTTTTTTTAATAATGAAAACTCAGGAAAATTCACTGGAAATAAGTCAACTAACTTTTCCAAAAAATATCAACCCACTGAGATTACTTTAAATGTTGAAAATAACATGTTGATAAGGAAAATGTTGATTCTATGTGTTTTACCTCAAGAAAGGCACCACTTATTAACTCTCTTTAAGAGAAGGAAGGAAGAAGGAAACATACCCTCTAATTTTTGTAACTCTGTTCATCATTTTCTCCACTCAGCACAAGTTTCCTGAGTAGGTCCACTCTGTATGTGCCTTGGATGGCTGCTAATTCAGCCATGGTCCTGCTGCCCAATGGTCAGAGCAGGTGGTCACTAAGGCTCTGACCAGGGTTATCAATCAATAGAACAGAGATCTCCGTGCTATGAGCAGGGGCTGCAGGCTGTTACTCAAACTCACAGACTCCATGCCCTGAACACAGGTGAGAGTGAAGCCTGGCTATGAATGTCAGTGCTGCTTCTACCATGGAAAGAATCCATTTGCCAGCACTTGGATGTTTCAAATTCAAAGTAGACAAGGGAAGAAAAAATCCCAATTATTTAGTCAAAGGAGAGTTGATATGTTCGTGGGCTAAAGGTAGATTCTGAGTAGGGAATTTCGGAGAGGCAAAATGGGGAAAGCCTGAAGAAGTAAAAACAAGTGTTGTGTACTTGTACCCTAAAACTTAAAGTATAAAAATAATAAAATTTAAAAAAAAAACAAGAGCTATAGATATTTATGAAAGCAAGTCAAGAAAGAACAAGGAATCTTTGATCCTGTAGGTGAGAAATGTGGCTGTTGTCAATCATTCCACAATATATACACTATCAAAACATCACACTGTGCCCCATAAAAACATACAATTATTATTTTTTAAGAACAAAATATTACAAATACATTTAAAATACATGAGGAGAGAACAACAGGCCAGCTCGCAGCTCATGCATGACAAACTATGAAACAAGATCTGGTCAGACAGGCGGTAGTCCAAATCGAGACTTACCACAACCTTCTTTCACATTGCTAACCTTTAAAGAGCAGCAGGGCTATTTGAAAAACACACTGCTGAGTGTTTTACCTAAATAGCCCCCTTTAACTCAAACTCACCACCGCCCTGAGAATTAGGTGCATTATTACCTACTTCATCTTCAGACTACTTATGAAAACATAAAGACTGAGAGACTGTAAGTACATTTCACTGGGTCATACAGCTATTAAATAACAGAACCAGGATTTGAATACAAGTCGTCTTGATTCCACAAATGGGCCACTCAACTACTAGAATCTCATAACCAACACTGAGCAAGCATCCTCATATACTAGGCCCTTTCCTAAATATTTAATGTAGCTCATTTTAATTTTCACAACCCTGTGATGTTGTTACTTTTATTATTGCCATTTATAGACAAAAAACCAAAGCTAAGAAAGGTTAGGTGGCTTCCTCAAAGTTAGAGGGCTAGAAAGTAAACAGTCTCACTCTAGATCTCATGCTCTTAACAATGACCTAGAGTCTACAATCTACTGAGTAGTACAGTCCACCAGGAGGCCAGGGCTCCCTGGGGTTGGACACTGTCCTTCCCAAGACTCTTTGGCCCAGGTCTTTCGTCATTTCCTCTGGCCATAGAAGCCTAGGCCCTATGATTGGGGCACAACTTGACTAGAACACCAGGCCCCCAGAGATTTAGTGAGCCTAATTCTAGTTGAGGATGACCTTCTGCACGTGCCAATTGACTTTAGTAACATGTAAATGATGGGTTATAAATCAGAAGGCAGGTGGCCCATTGTGAATCATCCATTCCCTCCAAGTTCATCAAGACAGACGTGCATAAATTCTGGACAGATTGTGGTAGGTGCTGTCCTTTAGATTTCCAATTAAATGACCCCTAACTTTGTTTAATTCTCAGGAGACAGGCTGTGCATTAATATGCTAATGAGTCATCCAGGAGGTGTTCATGGGAACCTCCTAGTGCTGGTGTGACCTATGACCCTCTGCTCTTCTGTCCTGTTGAGAATGGGGCAGGCCAGGTAGAAAACTCAGGCAGGCGGGTCTGTGAGGCAATGAAGACTGCTTCATTGAAGGGTGTCGGAGATGCTGGGGGAACCACGTCATCACCATCTGCAAAGATGGGGATGTGAGGATGCTGGGAGCACCATCATGTTACACAGCCCAGTGTGACTTAGGAAGCCCTGGCCACCATTGTACTACCCAGGGGTAACTCTGCCATATCCTGCAAAACGTTTTCAGACCATGTTTTCCCAATAGCCTTGGTTGGAAGGCAGAGCACATTTCTATTGAAGAATGGCAAACTTTCTTGGACTGAGCATGGGCTTTAGGTACCAGTCCTGCCACAAGTGCATTCTCATTGTACATTTTATTTTACATACCTGAGCATCAGTTTAATCAAAGGAAAGTAGAAATGTGGGAATGCCTATGACAGGGCTTAATAAGCAAGTCGTTGTCTAGTAGACCAGTGTCAAGGTCTGTTGGTGAGTCCCAGGTCACTATGGTTGACTTTATCCTATCCAACATTTTTATCAACGATGTGGATGAAAATGTAGACTGTGGATGTGAATGAGATGCAAGAGAAAACAGAGATAAAGCGTCAAACTAATGAAATAACATTTGATAGAGACATTTGCTAAGTCCTGCAATAGGATCTCAAAATCATCTGCAGAAGCATAGGATGAGGGAGACACAAACAGCAGCTTCTGTGAAATTAAAAATAATATATAGGACATGTCAAAGCTTGGGCTGACTATATAGATTCAATCTCATTGAAAACTCTGATCTGGTGGCCAGAAGACAGCATTTACAATATGAATGTTATTAATATTAGTAGATACAGAAAGTTTAAAAGGCAGGAGTTCTATTCTCACCTCTGCATATAGCTGGCACACCCTAATTCTGCTGGTTCAACACAGGGCACCAGCCTCCAAGGAGGAGGGCACCCTGGAGGGTGTGCAAACCCACCAGGGAACAGAAACAGATTAGGCTGGAAAATGCAAGACAGAAGGTGGACATGATGAATACATTCTAAAAGTCAGTGAACTGCCCCGTGAGAAAAGAAGCAAAGTCCATGGATGAGAGTTACAGGAAGGTGAATGTCTTTCAGCCTCCAAGACATCCAACAATAGCTTGCAAGGCTTTGGAGGGAGGATGCTTCAGTCCTGGGAGAGTCCAGGCAAAGCCCACGAACACTTTGATGGGACAGGAGAGAATAATTCAGGAAGTGGGAAAGGCATTAGAAGCAATCATTCCTAAGGCATTTTCTCAATCTGCAATGTTAAGACCTCTGTCCCCAGTCGATTTTTCAGATAATTCATCTTAAAATATTAAATACAACTATATATATAAAATATGATATTCTCAAGATGAGTCCCCTCTCTAGGGCACTATTTTCCAAAATGACGTCCCTGGACCACCAACCCCTAAAGGATGCTAACAAGAGTAACACGAGAATTCCACAGGGGAACACTTGGGGTTCACTGAACTAGAGGTGCTTCTTTCCTGCAGGACTTATCAGAGCCTTTAATATGTCAATATGCATTGCAAACCTCCAAGATAGGGTGGGGATAGAACATGCCATGTCCCCAATTTCAGTGCACTGTAGAACCCTTTGTTGTTATTGCCTGTGTAACATCAAGTGGAACTACAGCACCACCAGCTACAGCTTGAAAGGTGCTACTAAAAAAGGAGAAGCACACTGTGTCCTGCAGCCTGAGTCCTGGGATAAAGCTGCTAGATTCAAATCCTGACCATTGCGTGCACACTCTGTTAGATATATCAGCCTCACTTCTGTAAGCCTCAGCTTTCTCATATAGAATAGAATAATAGTAATATCCACCTCAAATGGTTACTGTATTAAATAAGATAATAAGTATAAAGTGCTGAGCACAGTGACCAACATGTGGAACTTAGTAAATGTTAGATATTTTTGTTATTGCTGTTAATTCCCCTTCAGTTCCATCCTTGTAGAAAAATGGCCTGTTTCCCTTGTGCCTGGTTTGCCTTTTGATTCATTTCCTCGACAGGCCATGGAGGAAGATCTGGTAGTCCAAGACGTCCTTGATGAAGTATCAGAGTCTAAACAAGAAAAAGAAACTACTGAACACTTAAAACAGAGGGACTTCGATGCCAGGAATCTGTCACATGGGTAATGGAAGAGCTGAGAGGCCAAACAAGGGCCAGTGAGTCAACCCAGAGATAAACAACAGCAGGAGATCACCACCACCGCTAGGCCAGAGGGTCAGAGGAGAGATGGGATGACCAGGAGCAAGGGTCTTCTGCCAGAAGCTAAGACCACAGGAGGTCACCTTTAGGGTCTGGATCCACAGAGGAGACCAGCTGCTCCTGAAGACATTATCTGAGTCAGAGAGGAGAGGGAAACAGAGACTTTCCCAGCTCCTCCTGTCTCCATCCTCCCCTCCGCTGTCCTCCACTCCCCATCAATGCTTCCCAGTGGATCCCAGCTGAAGCCACCTGACCTGGGATCCTGGGAAACAGCCCCCTGCTGGCAAGATGAACGGGCTGTGGGCGGCCAACAATGAATGTGAATTTGCCCCTGAGTGTGTGCAGCCACCTGAATAGTCAGGGGTGGCAGATTCCCTTTAGCCAGAGCAAAGCCTGTGGTTCTGTTGACCAGCTGCGAAAAAAGGAGACGGTCCACATCCAGCTGTTCCTGCCTTCCTAGGAGGGGTCTCACCCGCCCTTCTCCAGCAGGCCAGCTGGGCAGCTGCAGGAGGATGGGCAGTGGTCATTCCAGGGCATCTCAGGCCTTTGCTGCCAACACTGCCGGCAAGAGATGCTCCCTAGCCCCAAGGCAGGACCAGGAAAGGCTGTGCCAATCTTGGAGCTCCTCTGGTGTTTGTTGCCCCGGAGTTATTTTTATATCACATTTCCTCACATTATGGCAATTTACATACTTCAGCAGAGCACATGAGTGTCCAAAACACAAACCAGGAACAATAACACATCACCAGGAGCTTCGCAGATACCCCAACCCAGAGAAGGTTTCGGAAATCAGTTGCTAAAACAAGTGGTTCCCTCATCCCGAGTGGGAGAATTCTCAGCAACACTTGACAATAAGTGGACGTGATGAGGACCACAAAGCACCACAATTCCCGCTGGATTGCACATTGAAAGCTGCATTCAGCGCGCGGAGCCCATCAGAGCAGGCATTGTTGCGATGAATACGAAGGGATTGCGGAATGAATTGCTGCTTCATTGCCAAGTGCTTCCGATTCCGTGCTCCTGCCATCTGTGTCCTCCGGAAGACACACAGAAGTAAAGGTCCAAATGGGGGCTGGCTACAGGCTGGTGAGGAGGGTAGCTCCCCAGGCAAGGGGAGCCCTAAGGAAGATGAGTGGGAGCACAGGTAGGGGTCAGAGGAGTGCAAGAAAATTCATTGTCTCTGCATGGTCAAGTTCTAGACTTACAGAAACCTAAACACATAATCAGATGTAGGACCCTCACACCCACTCAAGCATTAATAACCCCACTCTCAGAAACCCAAACACCCGCACTCACATATGGACATGCATGCACACACACACACACAGACACGCATACACATTCATTCATTCATTTAACAAATAGTGAGTGTTTATTCTGTACCAGTGACTATGCTAAGTACATGGCCCCTGCCTTCTTGGAGTTTACCTTCAGACACACAACACACATACACACAGATATACACAGGCACACACACATATACACACAGACCCATATGTAGAAACACAGAGACACGCAGACACATGCATGCACACACACAGACACACACGCACACACATAAGCACACAGGTCACATATAAACATGCCTAATTAGATACTCATGGTTTCCCTCCAGTCCCACATTCACATGCACACACTTCGTGCATATTTACAACCAAAATGCAACACCAGCCAGAGGGAAGAGGATGAACCAATCAATTATCTAGTTGTGCTCTCATTCTGAAAACACGGCTGTCCTTTAACTCAGAGGTTGTCAGTCCAAGACTGTTGTTCTTACCAAGAGCTTGATATGTCTTTAGTCCATCTATTTGATAGTTCTATATTTAACACTTTTAATTGCTAATTTTCCAATCTAGGTTTAAAATACTGCAGTAAGGCCAGGCATGATGATTCATGCCTGTAATCCCAACACTTTGGGAGGCCAAGGGGAGAGGATCCCTTGAGCCCAGGAGTTCAAGACCAGCCAGGGCAACATAGTGAGACCTTGTCTGTACAAAAAATTAAAAAATTTAGCCAAGGGTGGTGGCACACACCTGTGGTCTCAGCTACTTGGGAGGCTGAGGTGGGAGGACTGCTTGGGCCCAGAAAGTGGAGGCTACAGTGAGCTGTGTTCATACTGCTGCACTCCAGCCTGGGCAGCAGAGACCCTGCCTCACAAAAATAAAATAAAATGATATAATATAAAACATTGCTGTGATATGGCACCTGGTAATGGAAATATAGCTCAGAGAGCAATTATCCTCGATGGTACAATGCAGCATAATGGAAGGACATTGGCCCCATGAAATTATCCAGGCAGAGCTCTCCCAGGTTCTCCAACTGCTATGTAACAATGGCAGCAAAAACAAAAAT
This sequence comes from Homo sapiens, assembly GCF_000001405.40. Classification (NCBI taxonomy): domain Eukaryota; kingdom Metazoa; phylum Chordata; class Mammalia; order Primates; family Hominidae; genus Homo; species Homo sapiens. Next base: position 39,296,920 of record NC_000020.11, on the reverse strand, counting down.
AATGATAGCTAACATTTACTGAGCACTCTCTGTATGCAAGGCAGTGTGTTTAATGCTTCGCATGGAACATTTACATTTCATTCTCGCAACAATCCCATGAAGAGAGTACTGTTATTGTGCCCATTTTGCAGATGATGAAATTGAAGCTTGGCAAGGTTAGCCAGCATGTCCAGTGACACCAGCTAACTGGTAGTGGAGTCAGTATTTAAATCCAGGCAAACTGACCATGATTATTCTTTGTATGCAGCTATTGCTGCAAAATGAATCAGTCCAATGTCATTATGGCCCTTGTGTCTTCTGGGCACCGACTTGGATCAGCCAGGCAGCTCTTGCTTAAGGTCTCTCACAGGCAAGGACTAAGATGAGGCAAATGAGGCACTCACCTTGGGCACACATTTTAAAGGGATGCCAAAAAAACTCAGTCATTGAGATAAATAATATTTCAACTGATACTTTTTAAAAATCAAAACTAATGCAAAACATCTGTGAACAAAACATCAAAATTTTAAAGACAGGGTCAGCATTACTGGTGTTTCCTTTTGCCCCAGGCTCCTCTATGGCTGGCTCAGCACTGTTGCTCCTTCTCACTGTTCCTGCCCCAGTCCCTGCCCTCTCTCAGGGAGCTAGAAACAGCTGAAGGTCTACTCACTCATGGCAGGTGCCCAGACTGGGAAGACTCAAATGGCTGGGCTCTGGGACAGCTGGGGTTCCTTGGGCATCTCTATATCTACATGATCTCCCCAAAAGGTCCCTTTAGATGGCAGCTTCAGGGCAGCCGGATTTCTTACATAGAGGTCCAAGGCATCAAGGGTTGTGTCTTGAGAGAGGGCCAGGTGGAAGCTGTATATCTTTTTCTTTCTTTCTTTTTTTTTTTTTTTTTTTTTTTTTTTTTTTTTTTTTTTTGAGATGGAGTCTCACTCTGTTGCCCAGGCTGGAGTGCAGTGGTATAATCTTGGCTCACTGCAACCTCCACCTCCCAGATTCAAGTGATTCTCCTGCCTCAGCCTCCCGAGTAGCTGGGATTACAGGTGTGCACCACCATGCTCGGCTAATTTTTTGTATTTTTAGTAGAGATGGGGTTTCATAATATTGGTCAGGCTGGTCTCGAACTCCTGACTTCGTGATCTGCCTGCCCCAGCCTCCTAAAGTACTGGGATTACAAGTGTGAGCCACCATGCCCACCCAAAGCTGTATATCTTTTATGACCCAGGCTTGGAAGCCCAGAGCATCAATTCCGTAGGATGCTGTTCATTATAAGTGAATGACTAAAGCCAGTCCACATTCAAGGGGAGGGATAAAGACTCCACCTCCGGATTTGACACATGTTCTACAGCCACCACATTCTCAAACCACTGCCCTGGGAATAGGCCAACCCTCTTTCTCTATGCTGGAACCCATAGTGAGCCAGCTGCCCCTCTGCTGACATCCAGTAGGGTGTCCACTTAGGTCACATATTGTTTAAGTGTGAGTACATCTCTGTCAAATCCTGGGTGCACCAATGGGAGTTTGCCACCCATGTGAATATCTGGCCAGGAGAACAACATCCACATGTCAGAGTGTGGCATTAACCTTTCAGGGCTGTACTCCCAAGTACTGCCGTGCTTTCGTCCTTATCACCAGGTCAATTTGGGAGGTGCCAGCAATTTTTTTCAGCCTAATTACCCATCAGCTATTGTTGATCTAACCAGAGTCAGAAACTTTTCTTTCTTTTTTTTTTGTCATTGTGAATGCTGGTGGAGAGGAAGGTCTCCTCTCCTTGAGAGGTAGTAGGGAGTGTCTTTGAATTTAGATGAGTATCATTGGAATTCCCTTGGTATCACCTCCAGCAAAGACCTACTGCTAACATGGCTCTTTAATCTTTCTTGAGCATCTTATTTTGTCTATCCATAAAATGGGTGCAGTAATGCCAGTTGTATAGTTTTACAGTGTAAAGATGAAATAAGCCAAGCCTGAAATAAGGTGTAAACAGTACAATATGTAACAGATTCTCCATAATTGTTAGGACTTCTTTTCTTCAATCACCTTGATCCTATTTCTTCCCATCCCTGCCTTGTCCAAAGTTTGTGTGTCTAGCACAAGGATCTCAGCAGCAGAACTGTAAAATTATTTCAGACATGGAAATGACACTATCATATTAAAAGTGCTTTTATCAGAATCTAAAAAAGGAAAATAAGCCACAAGCAAAGAGGGTTTATCCCAGGAAATTGGCTGTAATGGTGATGAAAGGACTGAGAAACCAAACAGAGAGGAAACCCAGAGATTAACAATAGCAGGAAGCTGCTACCACCCAGAGACAGAGGGAGGAGGTGGGGTTACTAGGAGCCAGGGGCCATGCTCATGCATAGAAAGTGTCCCATAACAACAGGAGCCATCAAAGAAGCATAGCTGCTACCACCTTAAGATGCAGAGGGGGAGAAGTACCCTGGCCTCTCTCTTCCTCCAACCCTCTAATTTCCCATCAGCACCTCCTATTGGCTAAGCCCAGCCAGAAACCCGTAAATGTGGGAGTCTGGAAAAGGCAGCTGCAGGTGTCAGCCTCCCTATGACACAGAAAGGAGCAAGGAAGGATAAGGGATGAATCAGAGCAAACAGGTGAGGCACAGTACAGCAGCCATGAAGTTCAGTGATGGGTAACGGTGATGATACATACATGAATTTTAACTAAAATTACTATGTAATAACCAAGTCCATGATGTCATTTAATCCTCACTATTGCCTGTGGAGCAGCAGGTTTTGTTATCCCCACAGCAGATGAAGAAACTGGTGATCAGAGAGGTTAAGTTCTTTATTTAAGCTCACAAAACTAATAGGAATGAAGCCAAGATACCATTCCAGGAAATCTATCCCAAGATCCCATGCTCAGAATCATTCTACTCAGAACCAAATCATGCACTTTGGAGTCAGACAAACTGGCTTGACTTCCAGATCTCTCATTCTCTACCCTGCATGTTCTTGTGTTCTCAGGTTCCTCATCTGCAAAACACAGATAACAGTGGCTTCATCTACATTCTTCATTGTAAAGAATGAATGAGATCAACTGCATTTAGTAAGCACTCAGAAGTGTTTTTATTTTCATACTGCTGCTCCTCTGTGAAAATTCAAGATACTGTTCAAAGAAGAGAAAGGATTCAAGATTGCAGGGAACCTGTGAGGAAGAGTTAAAAATCAAAGATGGCTGCAAGGAAAACCTGCCCTGAGACTGATGCTTGGTGTGTCTGTGGCACATACTGTCAGGCACCTCCCACATCCCCTTGGCCGCAAAGATCCTACAGCTGCAGTGGACCATTCTCATCCATTAAGAAGGTTCCTCCTCAAGCACCTGTATCTTTCTACATATAGCTACGCACTTCCTGAATAACATGCTCAGCCAATGTGTGTGATAGCCCAGGAATACAAGAGATGCCAGAGGGTTAAGATAAAGAGGAATGTGTCTCAATCAATGAGAGGCAGGAGCTAGTGGAAAATGCCTCAGCTTCTTTGTCCCTTGGTGAGCATTTATGATATATGTCAAACATATGTTCAGAGGGTCCCCAGCAGAACTGAGCCCCAGTTGCCCAAAGTGCTACCCGGTCAATGACACACTCACTGATGACACACTCCACCTTCCCCATCCCCTCATTCCCTGTACTTCCCAGGATCATCTCCCAAACAAACCACCTGCCCCCAAATCTTACCTCAGTGTCTGCTTTTGGGAGAACCTAAACCAAGATATTGCCCCTTTGTACTTTTCCCCACTTCCCAGCCACCACTCTCTCCCTGGGATAAGCAGGAGTGAGAAACAACTCTACCCAGTCAGTACTTCATCCTGTCTTTGGTAGAGAAACAATGGCAGTCTGTTCTGGGCCCTTTCTGGCCAATCATACAAATGTCCAGGCCCAACAGGCTACAAATCTGCCCTTCCCCAGTGGATGCTCTCAAGGACACTGCATCTTGGGGCTAGCTCTGTATTGGGTCAGATACTCACTACAGCTCTTCCCCAAGCAAAAGGAAAAAATTGCAGATACACACTCAAAACTCAGTGGGATCCCCTGTAGAGTCAGGCTTCCATCCTTGCAAATTATTTTTTGCTAATCAATATGTTTAATAAATAATATTCCAGTTGATTTCATTACTGGCAATACACAAATCAATAGAAGGTTATTGCATGATAACTTCCCATTGATATTGTAATTCTCCTGATTTAATAAATGTTGCTTTTCTGAGGATTGCTGTTTGCATTAGAAATTGAAGGAAGAAAGACAAAAAAAAAATAATTCCATTGCAAAACCAAGGCTGCAGCTTAATAAGAAAGTGGCATAGAAGTAAGTGGGGGCTCTTCAGCTTCTGTCTACCTTGGCCTGAGTCACAGCCCAGCCCTGCCTGATTCTTTGTTAGCCTCTTTGGTTGGACTCCAGAACAGAATGAAGGAAAAGTCTTGGCTAGAAGGCTTTCCAAACACCGCTTTGCAAGGGTGTAACCTTTATTTTCTTTTGCAAATCCTGGCCAGGAACTCCTTTATGAATGAAAACCCCAAACAGGATGAAGATAAATGGCGTCAAATGATAACCTTGGAGGTTCAAATCTGCTCTCAAATCCTGATGTGCCGAAGCCACAGGGAGCCTTGGCTATTGTCTAGTGCAGAGTTTCAATTATTAGGCCATGAGTAATAGCATCAGAATCACTGAGAAAATTTATTATAATGCAGATTCCTGTAGCCCCAATCCCAGAAATGATGGATCAGTATGGCTCATATAGGGCCTGGGAAAATGCATATTTTAAAAAAAATTATTGAAGTATAAAACATTATTAAACTTTAAAAGACAATCATGACTCTTATGCAAATATAAAATGAAAATATGCTGAAGATATTTAACCTATTAACTATGGAATCAGTAAGATGTTATGATGGGTTCAAAAGATAACTCAAAGTATCACACTTTTATAGTTGATTCAGTTCATGCTGAAATGAATTTACAAATAGATATACAACTGGCTTTGGGAGTACTGAAGAGGGATTATCCCTCTATCACCAGACAAAATGTGCACATCTATGGGCAGCTATCATTTACACTGCTTTCAGTTAACTACAACTTACAAAGGTATAAAAAAGCTCAAAGATATTAAAGGTCACTGAGCCCTTATAGAATCTGTTAAATCTAGCCTAAAGCTGCCTCCTCCTTACATATTTTAAGGTCAGCCTAAAGTTTTCTCAGTACATTGCGAACTATAATCTAAATGGAATTGTAAACAGACTGTAGCCTGCTCTTCTGCCAATCACTGAGTTTTGGCCAATCAAATGTGGTAAATTGTTTAAACCGTGTTCAAATGAGGGAAACACTGAGCTGTAACGAATCCGGCTGTTTCTGACTTCACTCCTATTTTCTGTATGTCACTTTCCTTTTCCTGTCCATAAATCTTCTTCCACCATGTGGCTGTGCTGGACTCTCTGAGCCTACTCTGGCTTGGGAGGCTGCCCAATTCATGAATCATTCTTTGCTCAATTAAACTCTTATTTAACTTGGTTGAAGTTTTCTTTTAACAAATCAGATTGCCCAGAAGGGTACCACAATGCATTTCTGACTCTCCGTACTTAGAATCAGGTCAAACTCCACAAGTAAAGGACACAGTCCTCGACAAGACTGCCTTCATTTAAGACACCAGCCACAAGCTTGAAAGTCCCCAGTCTACCCACACTTCTGACCAACTAGCTACAAACTCAGAGGTTCCTTCAGATTCAATAATTCACTGGAACAGCCTACAGAACTCAGGAAAGTGCTATACTTATGATTACAGCTTTATTACATAGGATTAAATCAGGACCAGCCAAGAGAAGAGACCAGACCCACAGTGTGAAGTATGGGACGGCTACAGACACAAGGTTTCCACATCCTCAGGATGTGCTACCTTCTTAGCACATAGATGTGCATCCCCAACCAGGAAAGTTCACCTGAGCGCCAATGTCCAGAATTTTTACTGGGATTTCACTATGGATTGAATGAATCATTGACCATGTGACTGAACTCAATCTCTAACCTGCCTCCACTCCCCAGAGGTCAAACTGACATCACTTCACTAAAAGCTCCAACCTCTTAATCACATGGTTGGTCTTTCTGGTGTGGCCAGCTCCCATCCTGAAACCATCTAGGGACCACCATTAGTCACCTCATTAGCATGAAGCCAGGTGTGTCTGAGATGCAAGCCATGAATAACAAACACATTCTTAACAGTCCAAAAATTCCAAGGGATTAGAGGCTCCCTCTCCAAAACAAGGAGCAAAGGCCAGCCAAATTCTTTATTACACAACAGGTGTTTTAGACACCTTGATTTCTATTAAAAATGCCCAGTTATGTTTTGGTCCATTTCAAATAATTTAATGTTTTCTCTATAATAAATACAGAAAACTGTACAAATCACAAATGAATAGTTTGAAGAATCTTCAAAAGTGAACACCACCATGTAACCAATACCCAGGTCAAGAAATGGAGTGTGATTAGCACCCCAGAAAAAAAATCCCTTCTGTCACTACTCCCCCAAGGGTAACCACTATTCTGACTGCTAACACCATAGATGCCTCTTGTCAGTTTTGCTAACTCCCTATAAATGTAATCATTCAGTAAATTTGTGTCTGGGCATCTTTTACTCAACATCCTCTCTGTGGGTGTAGTTATAACTTGTTCATTCGTATTGCTATATAGTTTCACATTGTGTGGAAGACGCACACTCTTCAAGTATAAAGTCAAGTTGGGGAATTGGATTTGGTCCAGCACCAGCTCTGTCCCCATTTTACAGAAGCCGAAACCACATTACCAAGCAGGCAATGTGATTGTTCAAGACAGAAACCTCATTTGGGCAGAGGCTGCTGTTATCTCAAGGACTATCAAAGCCCTCACAGTCAGGGGTCAAATCAGGGCAGCTTGGGATGGAACTGCCCATCCCAATTAGTAAGACAAAGGCTAGTAGTCAGAGGGGAGGGCAGCTGAGCAAAGATGGCAAGATGTGGGGGAAGAACAAAGGAGAAAAGCAAAGGATGGAAGATAGGAGAGAGAAAGAGCAAAGGGAAAGGAGGGGGAAGGAAAAGCAATAGAGTGAAAAAGAGAGACATAGAGAGACTTAAAGTGAGAAGGTGGGGCTGGGAAAAAGGGAAAGAGCAGAAGGGAGGGACAGGCTCAGATCAGAGATGAGGGCTCCTGACATCCCCAACACTCCACTCTGTGAGTGTGGGAGCTACCAGCCCCCTGGAACTCAACTCATTTCCCTGACTCCCCCATGGGGTCTGTCCTCTCTGCATCCATCCAGTAACTGGGGTCTGTCCTCTCTGCAACCATCCAGTAACTAGGTCACACCCACACCTGAGGGGGATCCTGGAGGTGATGTTCTTCTGCCTAGTCCACTGGGGAGCCAATACTGTGCAGAAGCTCAGTGCTGCCATCTGGGGTCTAATTGCCTCTCTGAAGGTAAAATGTGCTCTCTCTGCCAGAGTAGAAAGCCAGGGACAAAGCACCAGTGCTCACCTCTGACCCCTATGTAAATGTAGATGCCCAAACACTCTCTCAGACATGAGAAGAAGAATCAAACGAAGGAAGACACATCTACTGAGTGGCTACTATACGTTTACTGAGTGTCAGACACTGTGTTAGGGACTTCCCCTGAAAATTGAGCTTAAGATAGGTTGAGATGCTTGCTGGAGTAGAATAAGAATAAGGAGAGCTTGACTCGAGAGTTGTGTGAATCCAGGGCCCATTCGTATGCATGTGTGTGTATGAGGGTGCATAATTTTAGTATAGCATAGCATGCCTGGGTCTGGCTGGCTAAACCTCAATTCAGACTTCAATACTAACTAGCCAAGTGAACTTGGGAGAATCTATTGATCTCCCTGGATCTCAGGTTCTTTATCTATAATAGGAAGATAATAATAGTTCTTACCTCATGGAGTCGTTGTAAGGAAGACATGATAACATACAGGTAAAGTGCTTAAGAATGTTCTTGGCACACAGCAAGTCCTTACTTCGAGTTATCATTATTGCTATCTCCATTTTTATTATTATCTTAATTGCCATCAATATCTTTGGTACTACTACACAATATCAGCCTAGATAAATCTGGGGAGTCCCTCAGCACCCATCAGTCAGTGTGTAAAGCCATTCCTTGATACTCCCCAAAGCCCAGGCCAAGTGGAAACCAAACCCCAAGCAAAGGAGGCCCTGGGTAGGGGAGGCACCTGTGTGCAGCCCCACTTATTTCACTTGTTCTGTCTCTACTTCTCTTGAGCTTCACTACATAAATTGACCAAGGTAGCCACCCCAGGTCCAAGCTTCCTCTTGTCCCTTTAGTTCAGTTCAGCTTCTATAGCTAGCTGGTTCAATAATTATTCTCCAATTCATAATTGCTAAGAGAAGATCTAGATGACCCAATTTATCCCTTCCAGCTATGCTGGACAAGTCAATGTATTAGTTCGTTTTCACACTGCTGATACAGACATACCAGAGTCTGGGAAGAAAAAGAGACTTAATTGGACTTACGATTTCACATGGCTGAGGAGGCTTCAGAATCATGGTGGGAGGTGAAAGGCACTTCTTACATGGTGGCGGCAAGAGAAAAAATGAGGAAGAAGCAAAAGCGGAAACCCCTGATAAACCCATCAGGTCTCACGAGACTTATTCACTATCATGAGAATAGCACAGGAAAGACTGGCCCCCATGACTCAATTACCTCCCCCGGGCCCCTCCCACAACACGTGGGAATTCTGGGAGATACAATTGAAGTTGAGATTTTGGCAGAGACGCAGCCAAACCATGTTATTCTGCCCCTGGCCCCTCCAAATCTCATGTCCTCACATTTCAAAACCAATCATGCCTTCCCAACAATCCCCCAAAGTCTTAATTCATTTCAATATTAACCCAAAAGTCCACAGTCCAAAGTCTCATCTGAGACAAGTCCCTTCCACCTATGAGCCTGTAAAATCAAAAGCAAGCTAGTTACTTCCTAGCTACAAAGGGGAGGTACAGGTATTGAGTAAATACAGCCATTCCAAATGGGAGAAATTGGCCAAAACAAAGGGGTTACAGGGCCCATGCAAGTCTGAAATTCAGTAGGACAGTCAAATCGCAGAGCTCCAAAATGATCTCCTTTGACTCAAGGTCTCACATCCAGGTCATGCTGATGCAAGAGGAGGGTTCCCATGGTCTTGGGTAGCACTGCCCCTGTGGTTTTGCAGGGTACAGCCTCTCTTCTGGGTGCTTTCACAGGCTGGCATTGAGTGTCTGCAGCTTTTCCAGGTGCACGGTGCAAGCTACCATTCTAGAGTCTGGAACACAGTGGCCCTCTTCTCACAGCTCCACTAGGCAGTGCCCCAACAGGGACTCTGTGTGGGGGCTCCAACCCCACATTTCCCTGCTGCACTGCCCTAGCAGAGGTTCTCCTTGAGGGCCCCACCACTGCAGCAAACTTTTGCCAGGGCATCCAGGCATTTCCACACATCTTCTGAAATCTAGGCAGAGGTTCCCAAACCCCATTTCTTGATTTATTTGCACCCACAGGCTCAACACCATGTGGAAGCTGTCAAGGCTTGGGGCTTCCACCCTCTGAAGCCACAGCCTGAGCTCTACCTTGGCCCCTTTCAGCCATGGCTGGAGTGGCTGGAACACAGGACACCAAGTCCCTAGGCTGCACACAGCGTGGAGACCCTGGGCCCAGCCCACAAAACCACTTTTTCTTCCTGGACCTCCAGGCCTGCGATGGGAGGGGCTGCTGTGAAAGTCTCTGACATGGCCTGGAGACATTTTCCCCATGGTCTTGGGGATTAACATTAGGCTCCTTGCTACTTATGCAAATTTCTGTAGCCGGTTTGAATTTCTCCTCAAAAAATGGGTTTTTCTTTTCTACTACATTGTCAGGCTGCAAATTTTCTGAATTTTTATGCTGTTTCCATTTTAAAATGGAATGCTTTTAACAGTACCCAAGTCAACTTTTGAATGCTTTGCTGCTTAGAAATTTCTTCCGCCAGATACCCTAAATCATCTCTCTCAAGTTCGAAGTTCCACAAATCTCTAGGGCAGGGGCAAAATGCTGCCAGTCTCTTTGCTAAAACATAACAAGAGTCACCTTTGCTCCAGTTCCCAACAAGTTCCTCATCTCCATCTGAGACCCCCTCAGCCTGGACCTTAATGTTCATATCACTATCAGCATTTTTGTCAAAGCCATTCAACAAGTCTCTAGGAGGTTCCAAACTTTCCCACATTTTCCTGTCGTCTTCTGAGCCCTCCAAACTATTCCAACCTCTGCCTGTTACCCAGTTCCAAAGTTGCTTCCCCATTTTTGGGTATCTTTTCAGCAACAGCCCACTCTACTGGTACCAATTTACTGTATTAGCCTGTTTTCAGGCTGCTGATAAAGACATACCTGAGTCTGGGAAGGAAAAGAGGTTTAATTGGACTTAACAGTTCCACATGGCTGGGAAGTCCTCAGAATCATGGCGGGAGGCAGAAGGCTCTTCTTACGTGGTAGCAGCAAGAGATAAAATGAGGAAGAAGCAAAAGCAGAAACCCCTGATAACCCATCAGATCTCGTGAGACCTATTCACTATCATGAGAATGGCATGGGAAAGACCAGCCCCCATGATTCAATTACCTCTCCCTGGGTCCCTCCCACAACATGTGGGAATTCTGGGAGATACAATTCAAATTGAGATTTCAGTGGGGACACAGCCAAACCATATCACATAACTCACCAAGTTGTATATGAACTGCCTTTTAGTTCATGAATCTAGTGTGGGCCCAGTGGAGTCATTCTATGAGAGGAGAATACAGCAGGTATACAGAAAGAAGGAGAGGAGGCCTACTCCTGCAGAGCCCAAATGCACTTCAGTTCTTTTCTCAGTTTTCTACGTAGTCTATCTTTAGGTAGTTGATGCTGTTGGTACCAAGCCTTGATCTCCTCGCCCAGGCTGGTGCACCCATCACCTGGCTTCTGTGCGCGGGGCTAGCCTCCTTGCCTTAAGGTGGTGTCAATTCTATAAAGCTCTTTATACACCAGAGTTCCCTATGGGATCAGGCTGAAGCTCGTCTTCACCTAGAGACCACATCCTCTCTTAGCACCATCCCCTGCCCTGCCCCGCTTCCCTCAGCTCCTTTTCCCAAGAGTGTTTCCTCATTACATCATTTGCCCAAGAAACCCTGCCTCAGGCTCTGCTTCTAGGCAGCCTGAGCTAAGATACCTTATAATTTATCTTCTCACTTCAGCTGCTCTGACTGGATTTCTATCTCCTGCCAATCAGAGCTCTGGGGCACTTCTTTAACTAGTTAACGAACTGTAAGCTTTCTTTCCAAGTCATTATATGAAGGTGTCTCCTATACCATATGAATATGAATGGCTTTTAGTAATTTCTTTCAAGGTTGTACCAACATTTATTTAACTATTTGCCTCTTGTTAAACATATAGGCTCTGCAATTTTCTGTCACATGCAATACTGTGATAAAGACTTTCAAAGTTCAAAAAATATGTATATGTATGTAAATAGTCTCATTTAGCATGTTTGGTCAAGGCAAAATCTAAATCTCCCCTTTGCTCTCTCAAAGGGATGACTCCCCATAACCCCCACCCTCACTCCATGCCCCAACTCTTTCCCAAGTAGAGATGGAAACAAACATCACTGTATGGGGCCTGGGCCTCTGACCTGGTTTTGAGCATTGCGCTAGCATCGGCCAAGGTGTGACTGGTCTCACATGGTTCTTTGGGGGCGTCCCATTGGTACCCGTGACTGAGGTGCACAGCCACAGCCTCTGGTCATAAAGTCCCCAACATGGTAGGATCTTTGTTGTGATCCCAGACACCTCATGTCTGCAAGAGCTCTCAGCACGTGTGTCCCCGCTGCGGCATATAGGATCTCAGGTGCCACAGCAGTGTGGGGGCTGTCCTGGGCATGTCTCCCGAACTCTTCCCTTACCCAATTCTAATTTAACCTCTTTTCAGTGCCACATGCCTCCAGCATCTTGCTAAATTCAGGACTTTACAAAAGGGCCTGGGAAGTTCCCATGCAATGCTAAAATCCTTGAGAAATAAATTCTCCTGTTGAGTTTCCCTAGAAATGTTTGGGTGTTTCTAACCCACACTGGGTTTTCTATGTTCATGCTGGGTTTTTTTGTTCTAAATGGAATCTTCTCTTTGTTTTTCAGAGAAGCCTCATAGCTTACCCTTCATGGTGGAAAGTTCCAGGGGAGGAAATTGATAAAGAAATAAAACCATTAACTGCCCCCACCTTCGAAAGAAGAAATATGTTGGGAAACATTTTTAAAACATTAAATCTTGCTTTTTAATTGTCATTGTCATGATGATTATACTAACCATCACCATTTATTGACTACCTATTAAGTGTCTGCTCTTTACAAATATCTCAAGTCCTCTCCCAGGTTGAAGATTTTTATCCCCATTTTACAGAGGAGAAAAATGAGGTCCCACATGGTCAACCTGCTTGAAGTCAAGTCCGTGAGGGCAGTGCTGGAATCAAATCTAGCCTGTCTAACTCTAGAACTCCTTATCTACTTCTCCACATCTCATGGATTATTAGGACTTATTATTAATGTTTTTATTATGATATTTGAGAGGAAAATGTAGTCTTATCTCATGCACCCAAAGTGAAGGGTGGACCCCCAGGGAACACTTTCCCTGGCCACCAAATTCTGTTGCTTCTGTTCAGGTCACAGGAAGGGTGGACCCCCAGGGAAGGTTTTCCCTGACCACCAAATTCTGTTTCTTCTGTTCAGGTCACAGGAAGGGTGGACCCCCAGGGAAGGTTTTCCCTGGCCACCAAATTCTGTTTCTTCTGTTCAGGTCACAGGAAGGGTGGACCCCCAGGGAAGGCTTTCCCTGGCCACCAAATTCTGTTTCTTCTGTTCAGGTCATAGGACCTTCCTTTTCCCCACCGGGATTTCCTGGAAAGAGTAGGGGGATTACCTGGTCAAAGAGTTCCTTTTACCATTCATCCCAGCCCAGAGTCAGGGTGAACTTTAGTGTGAAATCCACTACTGGGATCAGTCTGACAAAATCCTTCAGAGACAACTATAGGGCAGATCCCTTTGGAAGAAAAGTGGAGGTCTTAAGGGAAGCAATCCTATGGGTTATTGACAGAGTAACAACTGTCATCCAGACTGGGACTTTCGAGAGTCGAAGGGGGAACTATTAGAAGTTGCACTGGGACAACCTGCATAAACTTGGACTGACCCAGGATAACCAGGACATATGACAACCTTGGTCATACAGACAGAGCCAATGAGAAACAAGGATAGAGCTCCCCCTGTAGCACGTTAAGTATCAGCAAAACATCCTACTACGGGACTTTTCCCCTTGCTATTAGCATTATTATTGCCCTTTAAATATGTCATAGTCAAAGATTTGTCTTATTCTTCAGTTTGATTGCCATTGATTCTTGAAGCCCACATCTTCTTCCCCAGGCAAACACATCTTCAGCCAAATGATAGAAGGAAATGGAAAAAAAAGACCCACAATTTATAGGCATTCATTTTACAGGCATCACTTCAGGGATACAGCTGGTCCCAAAGCAGCATTTCTCAAAGGGTGGTCCAGGAACCACCTGCATCAGAATCACCTGGGATCTAGTAAAAAATGCTAATTTCCATGTCCCAAGGAACACTTACCAAATCAGAATCTCTGGGGATGGACCTGGGAGATGTATATTTTTTAACAAGTCCCCTAGAGGTTCTTACGTGTACAGCCAGGCACACAAGAGGCCACCATACCAGGAAATCCAGGTAGCCTGCAGGTGATCATGCCCTGATTCTGCTCCCCGTACATCAGGCTGTGAGATCTCAGGTCTGAGATGCCTTGCCAAGGGCTGTGTCACCTCCTGCTCTCTCAGAATAAGATTCCTGGCAACACCCAGCCAGAGTGTCATGAAGATCCCCTAAATCCCCGGTGGATCTGTCAGCCCTGGTTTAACAGTATGCAGAGGCGGCTGGGTCTCGCAAGCAGTGGGCAGGTTCTTGGCTATGGCATCTGCCAGGAGAAGCTGGTAATAGGCCTGATTTATGACACTCAGCATGGGACCTGGCTGCTGAGCTCAATCACTGTGGCTCCCCACGGTGGGGTTCATGCGCTGTAACGGGCCTGGAAATTGGAGAGGAATTTACCTCCTGCTGCCGAACATTACATAACAATCAAGGGAAACAAGCAGAGGCAGGAGGGGGCCTCCTCAGCTGGCACTGGCAGCCTGGCACAGCAAAGGAGGTAGGACTGGGAGTTGTCTGCTTGGGTTCTCACGCCCTCGACAGCCTGTGCAAGCAGGTTCCAGGGTGGCCCCGTCAGAGCTGGCATCAGAGCCAGCCAAGATACAAGCATCAGCCCAGCAACTTTTAGAAGGGATGGCTGGGGAGACAGGCTCAGAGGAGGAAAAGGGCTGCCCTCTAAACTCCTGTCAGCCAGCCCAGTAGCTCTAATTCTAACAGCACTTACAGAACATGCACCAATTAATACCTTCCTGATTTGCAACTGGGAATAATTCAAATAGGACCTGAGATTGACATCTGCAACATGAGAGGCCATGGAACAAAATGAAGATGGGCAGGGAGAAGAGACCGAGATCAGCACAGGCCCATAGGTCATGGTGGGGAGCTTGGATATTCTTCCAAGTGCCCTGGACAGTTGCTGAAGGACCTTCTTTCATCTAGATCAGCCACCTCCCTAGAATTGCCCATAGGGTTAAGGAACATGTGACAGATGATTATGATAACTGAGTTCTGATGGACTCGCAAGGAACACAAGTTCTTATCTATTTATCAAAGCAGACCCAGGTAGGTGCATATTTTGGCAACTTTGAGATGAACTGACGCACTGTCTAACACTCATCAGCGGGTGATGAAACTTCCATTCTGACAAGGTGGCTGGGCCTCACAGACACTCTCCCACCCTAAATGAACCACAAAGACAAGATTCCAAGTACCACTCTTAGCTGCTGACTTCATGACCCACAAAATGTGCTGGCCTAGAAACCTACTAATTATTTTTCAGTAAAAGAACTTTATCTTCTGATTAAATATTACATAGAGGTCCAATGTATGAAATGCATTTATCACCATTGAAATTAATGATTCCTCTGTTGTCTGTCATCCTGACTAGACGCATACTCCTGTCCGCCTCCTTCACTAGCGTATTTCCAGTACTCAAAGAGTATCTGGCATGCAGTGGACACAGTAGCATTTGTGCAATCTGGAAAAGAATGGGATTAAATCAGATACACTTCTATTAAGGTATTAATATTAAGTGACACCAATTGTGTGCAAGCCAGGCCTTGCAATGAGTGCCCGGAGTATAATAGTAAACAAACTCATCACAGGCTTTCCTCTATTTTGCTCCTAGTGTAAGAGGAAATTAATATTAATAGATGCAAATTTGCAACTGAGGCGTGTGCTAGCAAATAGAGGTAACAGGACTATGAATATACAGAAGGGAAAACTGACCTGGTCAAAAGAAGGTCAGGGAAGGCTTCCTGAAGAAAGTGTTATTTAAGCTAGGACCTAAAGCACAAGTAATACTTAGCCGGATAATTGGGACAGGGAGGATGGAATTGCATTTCTGTCCAAGAGAACGGCATCTGCAAAGCCCTCAGTAGAAGGAATATGACCTCCTGATCCTGTGTTTCAATCATGGCATCTCTACCTCAGTCTGTTTTTACATATTGGACTTTCAGGGTCACATTCCTTTAGAAAAGAAGTGCTTGACAACTAAAATACAAATACTGGAAGTTGAGCTGACCAAATGACCTCAGAGGGCCCTATGAGCTCTTAAAATCTCTCTACATACAGACTCAAGAGAGCTTGGCAATGGCCTGTATGCCTAGGTCAAGGCAAGAGGTCAGGGGTCAAAGGTGACTGACCAGACCCACAAGACTGAATGGCGAGCTGTAGCTAATGAAAGAACAGTGTTAATTTGTTTCTTGTTTGCTTTTTTTCCTTACATTCTAGATGCACAGTAACTATTCTGGTTCTTTCTAAATGAGTTCGACGTCTTAAAGTGAATTCCTTTTGCCTTTACAACTTACAAAATGCAATCTGTTAAGCTCATTTCATACATTCATTCATCAAATAGTCACTGAAAATATATTTTAAGACATGTCCTCAGTTAGACATGCGATATGGAGGTAAATAAGACAGTGTCTCTGCCTTCATGAAGATCAAAATTGTACATACTTAACAGAGACCTAACGTGGCAATATTTAAGATTACATGTCTGCTACTGACCAAGTAATGTGCTGGACACTTCGACATACATTATCTCCTGCAACTTCCAACCCTGTTTCAGATTTGAAAATTGAGTTTCAGAGAGGTTAAGCATTATCCAAGGTCACACAGCAAGTAATTGGGAGAACCAGCATCCAAATCCAAGTCCATGTAACTCCAGAGCCTGTGTTCATGATCACCACAGGCTGATGCTTCAAATAAGGAGACAAATGAAGAAATCACAAAGAATTAAAAGAAATCATAGGTAAATGTTTACTGAATCTTGTTTTGAGAGGGACTGTCAAAGTATAACAGAAAAGGAAAAAAAATCCAAAAGGGGATAGCAATGACTACATAAAATTTCAAAACTTCTACTTATCAAAAATACCATATAAAACTTTGAAAGGTAATGAGAATGTGGCAAAAAAAAAAAAAAAACAAAAAACTGCAACATGTCTAATACACAAAACTGTAATAGCCCCACTATTAAAAGTTGTCATAAACTGGTACATAAAAAACAGATTTTGTCCAACAGAAATATGAAAAAATGATACAATTTTCAAAAGAGGAGAAATTGAAAATGGCCAATAGGCACACCCAAAATTATTATTAAAGTATTAGTAATAATAAAAAACAAATAATTTAAGAAATAGTGATTATCCCTTTTATACTGTGAAATTGCCAAGGGTTTAAAAAAATCAAAATAATTCTAGTGTTGATTGATGAATGTGCTGTGAAATCAACCTGAACATACACTGTATCAGTAAGTATCGAGTGAGCATTTGACAACATGAGTTAAGAACTTTAAAAAAGATTATAACCTTTAACTCAATCATTTTACTTTAGAAATTTATCAGAGAGGCAGACAAAGAAGCATACAGCAAGATGTTCACCATGGCATTATTTATAGTGTGGAGAAACTATAAATCAAGTTAAAGTCCAACAATTGATGCACAGTGAAATCAATTTTGGTGTATCCAGATGGTAATACGCAGCGAGTGAGAATCATATTTTTGAAGACTACTTAGTACCATGCTCCATCTGTTTATTTATCTATCTAGAAAGAAATATACCAAACGTACTATTGCAATGGCAAACTGTGGTTGTGGGATTAAATATGATTTTTATTTTCTTTATAATGCTTTTCTCCATTTTTTAATTTTCTGCAATTTATCTGCATCACATTTGCAATAACGTATATACATATATAAGTATTTCTTTTACTTTGTAAATAAGCATGTACCAAACTCAGCTCTGCTTTTTCTTTGCTCAAACCACTTCACCCCTTTCACTCCCTTTTGCAGTTGACAAAACCTCAGAGTCGCCTCCAACTGTTTGTTGTTTAATCTCTCTCCCCTACTATTTCTACAACTTCATTACTTCAACTTTGGGTTCTTGTTGCCTTGTGGCTAGACCATGGCAATATCCTATTAACTGATGCCCCCATTTCTAGCTTCCAACCCTGCCCTACTCCTGAACTCTCCTCAAATTCAGTTTACATTCTGCTGCCAGATTGATCCCCTCTAACAAAGATAGTAATAGTATCCTGTTACTGCCCTGCTCTAAAACAGGCAGTAGCTCTCTAGTTCCTAAGGATAAAATCCCAAAGTCCTTTACCTGGAGTGTGAAAGTAGGAGCTATGGAAGGAGGGGGAGATTTAGATTACAGCTGTCACAGTCTTGACTTTTTACATAAAGGTCTGAGGCTAAACTATAACCACCCGTAATTTTTTTTAAAAAGTATATTAAAGTACTTTGTTCCTGGACCTAATGTTCCCTTCCATCTGTATCAGCCACCAATGCTCCACCCAAACTACTTTTCTCCAAGCTTTTCATATGACCCCACCCAGCACATAGTAGGAGCTGAGTTGAGGGTACGGGTAGTACAGATGTTGTCAGACCTGGACACAAGCTAGCACCCCATGACCCTGGCCACACAGAGTCTCTCTTCCACTATAACTTTGTGATTCTTTCTTATTTAAAGGATGTGAAGGGGCTATGACCTGAAAAAAAAAAAAAAGAAATCAATGGCTCTCTGCTAATAAAGGTTCTTATGCGGTAAATGTGCTCTTGGGAAGCCAGATCCTGCCCTTCTCCACGGTTTTGGCCTGATGCCCTGGAGTGATTTACTCTGCGGTAACATGATGGAGCCTCCACCATGGAACGGAATTAAATAAAAATGCAATAAAAGAGGACAAAATCAATCTGCTTACAGTTTTGTTTAATAAAAATTCATGAAGGATGGGCAGGCAGGCCCATAAGCAATGTACCATCTCTGCCCAGGGGCTGGCTGGAGACATTCACTCAGGCTTCAGGCATGGGGCGGGGGCTCAGCTGAAAACCAGCTGAGTAAATCCCTTACTCTGCAAACTGCTGCAGGCTAGGGTCCTTCTGCCAGGCCAGAGAGCCAGTCCCATCTCATTGTAAGAAGGGAAAACCAGGTAAGGGTATGTTAATAGAAGAATTCTTGAAAGCCAAAGAAAGAAAAGAGACTTTTTAATGGGATTTATCTCCCTAGAAACCAAAAAGTTCCATGTGCTCTGGAACAATCTAAACCACCTCTCAGGCCTGATGATGTATTTCTTACAGTAGAAACTATTTCTGCCCTCAAGCCATTTATTTAAGTCTTGTGGTTCTAGGCAAAAGCTTCCCCATCTTTGGATGAAAGTACCCAAAGTCTTCCAATGATGTATAAAAGGGGTCAGCACACTCCTGCATGCAGGCCATATCTGACCTACCACCTGTTTTTAAATAAACCTTCGATGGCACACAGTCATGCATATTTATTTACATATCATCATGACTGCTTTTGTGCTACAGTGACAGAGTTGATTAGTTGTGACAGAGCCCTGCAAAGCCTAAATATTTACTATCTATCTTGCCCTTCATGAAAAAGGTTTACAGACCTTGGATCTATACCTTGAGGATTCTCACTCACCCACCACACTAACTCATTTGTCCATTTAACAAAAGCTTCCTAAATTCTTACATGCCAGGTGCTACCCTGAGACATCAGAGAGAGCAGAGAAGAATAAGATTTGAGTCCTTGCCTTCTAAAGGACTGTGTTGGTTTTCTATTTTTGCATAGCAAATTACCACAAGCTTAGTGGGTTAAAACAATGCCATTGATTATTTCACAGTTGTATAGGTCAAAATCCAGGTGGGCTCAGCTGGGATCTCTGCTCAGTGTCTCACAGACAGAAATTACAGTGCCGGCCAGGGTAAACTCTGACGCGCAAGCTCAGGGGAAGAATTTGATTCCAGCTTCAGCTTCGTTGTTGGAAAAATCCAGCTCCTTGCAGTTCTGGATCTGGATTCCAGGGTTTCTTGCTGACTGCCAGTCAGGGGCCACTCTGCCCATAGGGGACTCCACATTCCTGCTCACAGGCCCCTCCAGCTTAAAACCGACAATGGCACATTGACTCCTTCTCCTACTTTGAGTCTTTCTGGCTTCCCCTTATGCCAACTGCTGGAGAAGTTTCTCTACCTTTAAGGGCGCATGCGATTTCATTGACTCCACCTGGATATCCCAGGATAATCTCCCTATTTTAAGGTCAACTTGCCATAAAACATAACATAATCATGAGAATGATATTTCCTTGTATTTATCACAGGTTCTGGATATTAGAATGGGACCTTTCCAAAGTTCTGCCTACCATGGGGAGTAAGTAGTAGGTAGGCTAACTATTAACAGATGTAACAAACAGACCCCCCACATTTCAGTAGCCTAAAAGCAAGACTGATTTTATAATTATCACATAACTGTCCAGGGCAGAGGTTCCAAGTGGCTGAGATTCTGTCCTACGAGGTCCTTCAGGACCCCAGGCTGATAGTGACAATGTCATCTTCAACGAATGGCCTCCAAGCCTACTTTTTGCCATCTCAATCAGCCAAAAAGGGAAAAAACACAGAGGGGAATATATGAGAGGGGGTATATGGGAGATGGCACAAAGCATTTCTGCTCATATTCTATGGTAAATAAATAAGTCACACAATCACATCTAACTTCAAGGGAAAATAAAAAATAAAGTGTAGCTGAGTAACCATGTACCCAGCACATCTATTAAAATGAAGGAAAGAGACAATAGATTTTAATGGTCAGTAGCTGTCTCCTGTCCAGGTAAGAGCAAAGGAATGAATAGCTATGAATTGACATCTGATTACAGCTTTGGCCACTGAGGCCGTATGTGTTAATATGTTCTAATTTTCTACATAATATTTATTGCATTTTAAAATATCTAAGTAGGTTCTGCTTAAGAAATTAATTTTAAAAAGAAAATACATACTAAAATAGCTAGATACAAAAAAGTAGTGGATACCAAAAGAGAAGTACGAATGAGACATAAAATTATGAAAAGTAAAAGTAAACTTACTTGTACTTGAATAAATCAGGGAAATCATATTTATTAAGGGCTGTGTGTTTACTCTCCTATGGGCTCACTTAATGGCAGAGTCAGAATTTTACCCAGGTCTGACTGGCCTTATAGTCTAAGCTCTATACTCATAGGAACCTCCCAAATGAAAGGATTCAGGGAGAAGTTGGCATAATGCTCTAGAATATTGTTAAGTAGCAGAGGGACATGGTCCTTGCTGGGCAATAAAAAGATAAGTTTGGCAGGCAGCATGTTTTGGATGAATGGCATAGAAGCTGCCAATGGGAGGAAGCCCTCAGTGGGGCAAGTGTGTGAGCCAGGGAGGGGTTCAGTCCACAGGAGAGGAAAGGACACGGTGGGGAAATTCTGGAACTTACCGATCAGATTTTTAGAAGAAAATAGGGACAAGAAAGAAACACATTAATTTTCGAGTCTGGGTGAAACTTTTTAGCAGAAAGAGTGAGGCAGGAAGCTACTGCTAGTGAGAAGGAAGATATTGGGTTTAGTTGGAGGCAGGTCAGATTTTAGATACTCGCCGGGACTACATTTGAAAATGTCTCTAGGCAACTGATTATGCTGGAGGGTAGCTCCATAGAGCTCTCAGTTCCAAAGGGTCCTTCTTAGAAGCAAGAATTGGAATTTGGGAGCTATGTGCAGAGACGAAAGGGACAGCTTAGGTGAACAAGACAGATGGGAGAGATCAAAGAACATAGAAGAGCACCCTTGGGACATGTCAATAAAAGAGAAGAGAAGATGGAGACAGAGAGTGGGGAAGAGGCAGAAGAGTGGCATCTCACAGCAAGAGAGGTCATAGGACCCAGGGAAGATGGTACCCAGGTTCACCTGATTTTGGGAGCCAGAAAATAGTTACGACATCAAAGAAGAAAATTTCTGGAGAAGGGCAAGGATGTGAGATATGGACCAAATGTTAGAGATCACTGAGAAACATGAAAGTAAATACAAGACACTCAGAATTGTCTGACTTAGAAAGTACACATTTCTAACTTCACTACACCTAGCTAGAGCCCCATCCACGAACTGCCTAAGAACTTCCTTCTCCTGGAAGTTCTACTTCTTCATCTTTTAGTATCCGTCTTCTTTACATTTCTCAACTCTATTGCCAGTCTACAAAAGAGAACTTGAGCTGGGGCTTTATCCAACTTTGGGCCAGAAAAGATGAGAGTTGATGCACTGTTGGTATGGAGACAACAGAAATAAGTGTGAACCTCCAAGGGTGTTGGATGGAGGCACTTAGTCCAGCTGCCCTTCAGGCTTCCTCCAGGGAGAGTGATGAGTTTTAGTGACCTCCCATGCTGTGTGGGTATACGGGGTGTATATGGGGTGAGGGGTAGGAGATAGGGAACGAGAACCCAGACCATTGTCTGGGGCTGTAGGATAGCTAGTCCCTCCAGAGTGACCTGCCACAATTGTGGTACCTGGGACATAGACAGGGCCAACAAAGCAGGTCTAGGGGCCCCTGGAGCTGGACTTGGGTGGGCTCCCTCTCCCTCTACTTTGTCCAAAACTTGTGGTAGCAAATGTTGGAGTGGAGAACTGGTTCAGAGACAGGGAGAGACTTAACTTTGCTATAAAAAGTTCCCAGTCTGGGGGACAAAAGGGGAACAGAGGAGGAGACTCAAGTACCCCCTACCTACAAGAAGTCACCTTCTGGGAGAGAGAAGAATGTAGAAGAGGACAGGGTCCCATTAAAGCCCCAGGAACAATTAAGGCAGTGTTCCATGAAACCAACAGAAGACAAAACCTAGGACACCTGCCAAGGAGAAGGGAGGAGCCACTGGCCACCAAGAACAGGTGTGTAAGGGAGACAGCAAGTGCTCTCAGTGGAGAGCGGTGCTCCTGCAGGCCAAAATCTAGAGGTGGTGAAGTCCAAGGTAGCCTATGTTGGGAGGATGGGAATGAGGCCAGCTGGCCTTGGGAGAGTGGTCTGAGAGGGTCCCCAGGGAGAGAGGGAGGAAAGGAGAAGGAAGTAAAAGGCTAACTGTGTGGCACTGACTGGGGCAGGCTGAGGGCAACAGCCTTCTCTTCCTCCTCAGCCATACTCGGTGGTTGGTTTGACTTTTGCATCAAAATCCAGCTGATTTGTCTGTGGCAGGAGGACAGTGCTCTAGAGGAACCCGCACATTTAGGGGCTGTCAATCATTTGCTTTATTTTCTCCTGTGGTGGCTCAGGGTGGGACATCTCCTCCAGCCCATGGCATGCTGTCTTCATGACTTGACTCTGATTATCCTCTTTCTCCCCAGGCTTTGGCCTTCACCACCTGTTTTATGTAAGTGACTGCTGAGGCCTGAGGCCTGGCAAGGGTCCACACAGTAGGGGGACTCACCATGGTTGCTAGCTCAGCATTCCAGGAGCCACCCCCCACCGTCAGAGGACAGGTATGGTCGGCTCTTCCCCTGTCAAATGCACCCAGGCCTATCATACACTTTGCCTGGGCCTTGCATATGTGGGTGAAGGGTAAATGAGATGAAAACCCAGCCTACGCACCCCTCACCGGCAGCGCTGCATCCTCGCAGAAGAAAAGGCACCTTTGTCTAATCGGTCGAAGGTGCCAGGCGGACTCACTGCAGCCCTGGCTCCTCCCCTTCCCAAGCCCGAGCAGGAAGAAAGAATTTGTCAGGGCACCCCACTCCCCAGAGGTTCCCCAGCTGGGTCCTCCTCTCTTCCCTCTGTGCTCCCACAGGCTTAGCTGGTCCTTGTCAGAGGACAGCTGCGTTTTGGTCTCTTGGAGCAATGCTTCTCCCACCTTAGCGTGCCTCAGAGTGATATGGGGAACTTGCGAAAACACACATTCCTGGGGCCCAACCCCAGAATGTCTGATTCAATGGGCCTTAGGGTAGGCCCATTTGCTTTTTTTAACATGTTCCCAGATGATACCGATGGTGCTGGTCCAGGGATCCCAGGTAGAGAACGCTATCTTAGTTACACTCCCTGGCACAGCGAGAGGTTGAATCCTCCTCAGGCGCAGCCTCAGGGCTCTGCGCAGACTCAGTGTTCAATCAACACATATCGATTTTACCAAATGGAAGCAGTGAAGGGTGGATTGTTGATTGACTCTGGGATCCCATGAACAACTGGCTCCTTTACGTCCAGGCCTATTAAGTTAATAGGAAACTCAAGGGCGCAGGCAGCGTAGATGTGGAGGGGAGGCAAGGCTTGACATCTACAGCACTGAACTCCAGAGAATCTCCTTTCAAACTGCCAGAAATCATAAACATGATAATAGCAGCAACCACTTATTAATCCCCTGCCCTGTGCCAGGCCCTGTGCTGAGCTCTTCTTTGTGCAACCAACACAACAGGGCTACCAAGTCGGGACTGTGTGAATCCCTATTTTACACATAAAGACTCCAACAGACAAGCAGATCTCAACCCAATGCCTCATGAAGCACCAGGCATCAGGCCATATTCATTTGTCTTCAGAGCCTGCAAGCTTCATCATCACACTGAGCACACTGAGCCCTCTCCAGAGAGACAGAGAAACTTGGAGGTCGGAAGTAGCTACGCTTTAGAGAATGGCAGTATCTGCCTAGGAAGAGAATTGAGTCAGTGGAATAAACAGTCTGATTCCTAAACTGTGGTGTAGCACTGACCAGGTGCATGAACTTGGGCCTCCTTCAGCACCTTTGCCCTCTGAACTGTGAAATGGGAATAATAATTCCTAACTGTTGGGATGTTGTTGGATTAAATGAGAACATAAACCGAAATGCCTGATACAGTACCTGACCCTTAGGAGTGGTCCAATAAGGACCCCCTTAAAGCAGGCTCCTTTCTCTTCCTGTAAATATTTTGGAGTGACAACTCAGAGCCAAATTTAGCAATTTTTCCTGACAACCTTGGGGCTGGGGAGGAGGAGAGGATGGAGAGGCAGATACGGCAACCTACCATGCTGCAGGGCAAACAAGTTGCTGCAGTCCAAACAAGTCCTAGATCAGCAGAAGCAGGCAAGAACCTGGCTTTATAAGAACTCACAGGCCCCACAATCACATGCCAAATCCACTCAGAGGACCCAGTGTCAGGAACCGTGTCAGTGGAAAGGGGTGGGGTGGCTGTCCCTGAAATCCCTATTCAGGGAGTGGCCATGTCTCCTTTGCACACCCAAGGACAGAAGCTGTACCTAGAAGAGGCCACACTAAGCTCAGCAACTCAATTTGCTAAGGACCTCACCCTCCAGAATCCTGTAGCCTGGGTCTCCTTAGACCACCCAGAGGAAAAGGACTTGGGAGGCCCCATGTAGCCTAACAGGCAAGCCAACACAGTAGAGGCTGGTGGGAGACGCTGCTAGGTCTAGAATCACAGTCTAGCACTCACTAGCAATAACCTTCACTTCTGTGAAGGAACAGCAAAAATGGTACCTAACTTCAAGATTGCTGTAGGATGCACATTGAGCCTTTAGCAGAAGTGCTTATCACAGAGCAAGCTCTTATAAAATTAGCTCCTATTATCCTTGTTATCCTTGTTGTTATTGTTGTGTCCACACCTGTGAGGACATAGATAAGATTAAAAAATAACTGAGTCTTAGTTTTCTCACTTATACAATGAATATGTTAATAGAACATATCCCCATAACATTGTCACAACATTTAAATAATGTATGTCAAGCACCTAGCACACAGTAAGCACTCAATAAATGTTAAACATGATTTCTAGCTGGAGGCACAGATGACACCACAGTTAGGATGATCAGCTGTTCTGATTTGCCAGGGACTTTCCAGTTTTAGCCCTGAAAAGTTCCATGTCCTGGAAACCCCTCAGTCCCAGGCAAACCAGAACAGTTGGTCACCCTGCAACAGCCCAGCTGGCTGGGGCCTTCCCTGCTCCCCCAGGCAGTGCAGGGAACATTTCTGGCCCACATCAACTTGCCCCTGGAAGCTAAGCCAGGCACTGGGCTGCCCTCAGGGTATACGTGGCCCCAGGATTCCAGAGCCAGTGTTCTCAGGACGAAGTGTTCCAGCAAGGCTCAGAGAAGCTCAGAGACAGAATCCACGCCCACATCCAGGATCCTGGAATGAGAGCTCCTCGACAGGACGCAGACAGGCAGAGCCCAGGGAAAATGGAAATTGTCTCTGAGGGTCCTGCTGGACTCAGAGAAGGGAGAGAACCGTGTTCCCCCACGATGAATAATGCAGGGAGAGGAAGCAAGGGGCAGAGTAGTTGCCATTGGGCCCCCAGTTCCTCACCAGCCAGGCTGCTGCTGAGCAGGAAGCCTCCCGGCTGAGCCTGGGAAGCAGTTATCACTGGTGGGTGATTAAGTTACTAATCCTTCAGAGAGAAGACATTTAGAGGCCCATATTAAAGCAGTGCGAAGCAAAATCACATTCCGTTTCAATTTAGTTTAGCAATTCCCATGATTTAGTTAAATGAAAAGCAATTGTTCCAATTAATAGTATTGAATGTTATTCATCAAAAGTGTCAAAACAGCTCTGTGGCTGCATTAGTAACCCATTCTCTTGTCAGAGATATGGATAATTCCCCAGGACAGAATGGGGAAATGGTAGGGTTCGGGGGTTTTGGTGAAAGGTCAAAGTCAGAGGGAGTATTTACATGCACATGTGTAGGCTCATGTACATGCAACCTGTGTGCATGGATAGGTGCATATGTGAGCACATGTATCTTATATGCATACAGATCCAAACTGTACCCAAGTGTATATATTTGTATGAAGTTAAAGTGCATATGCCAATGTGCCTGAGTAGCTGTGCACAGGTGTGTGTGTGTGTGTGTGCACCTGTGTGTTCCTGGTGCACATATACAAGTATGTATATGTGCACATGTATGTATATGTGCAAATATGTGTAAGTGCCTTGTGTGCCTATACGTACATGTGTGCATATGTGAATTTATGTCCATGCACATGCACGTATTTAGATAGTTATACATTCGGGTATGGTGGTATGTGTACACAAATTATCCTGAAGACATGTTGCTATCCAAGGGGATGCAATGTGAGCATACACAGGTATGCATATTTTGGGGTGCCTTCATACATATTGTAAATATATCTGTATGTATCAGGGCAAGAGGTGTAGGGAGTTTGCTGCCTCGATGGATTAAGAGCTGAGCCATCAATTTCCATCCTTATGTCATAGTGAGTGATTTGGCTTGTCACTGGGACATTGCCATTCAAATTTAGCTCTTATGATCCAGAAACTTTTTCTGTCATGTGAACTGCTGCATTCTCAGGACCCAAAAGAGAGCCTGGCACAGAGGAAGTTTCAATGACATATACTGATAGAATAGATTAATGGATGGATGGAAAATAGATGGATTGATAAATGGATGAATGGGGAAGGATGGGCAGATGGATGGAAAAGGATGGAGGGATACATGGCAGGGTAGATAAATGAGTAGCTGGGTAGGTGGGTGGCTGGGTGGGTGAGTTGATGGAAGGATGGATGGATGAGGGGCTAGATGGATGGAGGGGATGGATGGATGGGAGAATGGCTGAATAGAATAAATGGTTTGCCATAGGTCACTGGGTCTATCAGGCCTCCCAGTAGTGGGTGCATCCCAGTCTTTTTCCCTCAGGGTAAATCCTAAGCTTCTCTGGCTTTCAGACAGCTCAGCTGAACCTCAGACAGCTTCATCCGGGGCAGGCAGCAGGCTCAGAGGGCTCACAAGCTGCCAGAATCAACCAAGGCAAAATACTGCAGAGTCAAGAGCAGGAAGGGCAGGGACTGCTTTGGAGTAGCTGACAAATCTCAGCTTTGCTAGGCTAACAGGAAGCTGGCCTGGCCAGGCAGGCCCAGGAGGATACAAACCAAAAAGGCCCCTTCAGGGGCTTGTATACCCCAAGCCAGGGTTCCTGCATCTGGCTTTTGTGCTGGGGCTGCAGCTGCCAGCTCCTGACCCTATCCCCAGGCCTGTCCTTCTCTGTCACTGTTCTTCCTGCTCCTTGCATCTTCCACAGCAGGGGGAAGCCACGTGCCCATCCCCATCCAGACGCAGATGCGGCTCATCACAGTTCCATCACCCCAGACTAGGATGATACAGGGAATCTACGGATAGCTTCCCATCACTGCTGTCCTTGCTTCCCAGACTCCCCTGGGTGTTGGTTCTCTCTGGAGCTGACCAGACCCTGGAGGGGGCCCCAAGACCCCAAGCGGGTCAGTTTTTGTGGCTGTCAGTCCTCCCACCATCCTTTTGAGCATTGACAGGGTTTTGCCTGGCCCACCTGCTGTCGGGGCCTGCCCCCTAGTGGCTGACTCTGCCCCATACACTGCCCTACCCCAGGGCACCAGCTCTGAGCCTGGTGGCCCCCTCAGCCAGCCTCAGCCAAGAAAGGAGCGCTGAGTCTTTGCAAAAGCTCCACCATGGCCCCATTTCTCCCTTTTCAGCCATGGACACGGTGGGGCCAGATCTCTCCACACGCACACAGTACTGGCTTCCCTGAGTCTGCATTGCCCCCAGTCTGTCTGCAAGTGTCCATCCATCCGGATGGTGATTAAGCACGAACAGGAAGAGTTAGGATGTGATCCCTGAACCCAGGAGGCTCATAAAGACAATAGCTGGGACAATAGCAAGAGGCACTGGGCGTCCTGTCTATTTTGGGGAGGCCCCAAGCATGGCTGGCCAAAACCAAGGGCATCCTGAGGCTCATTAATCTGTGTGGGAGTTATGAAGACAGGATAGAGGGTCCAGGAGGCCTTCCGCCAGTCGTTTCCTCCCAGCCCACCGGCTCTGCTCCATACTCCACACGCGGAGCCCCTGGCCCCAGCCTCCAGAGACCCAGCCTTGCCAGCTCTCTGCGGTAGACCCAGCTCCCTTCCTCTCCTTTCAAAGACTTGTACTGAGAGATTAGAGGCCCTGGCCTTTCTGGGATCCACTCTTTGTTTTCTCCCTGAGGGAGGCAAAGGAAGAAGTAAAACACTATCAGCCTCATCCAGGCTGAGGCAATGGAGAAACTGCCTTGAAATATCCTTCTGGTGCTCTGTTCCCACGGCCTGGCCTCCTTGGAGCCCAGGAGTAGCAAAAGGTTAATTGCTAGGGTGTTGGGCCCAAGCAGTCGGCTGGAGGAGCCAGAAAGCCAACTGTTAAATATGCAGTTGTTACATATGCCTCTCTCCTTTCCCTTCTCCCTCTATCCTTCTCTCCCAATCACTAAACGGTTGCTAGCTTGAAATCAGACATGATGTAAGCAAATGCCTCTCTCTCTTCCCTTCTCCCTCTATCCTTCTCTCCCAATTGCTAAACAGTTGCTAGCTTGAAATCAGACATAGTGTAAGTATTTACACCACAGAAACTGGCAAACACTGTAAAACAAACCAGTACCATCAAGGCAGTCGTGAAGCCCCACTTTCCTGGTCCCAGGATGAAAGTCAGACACCCAATTGACTTGGTTGGAAACCATCACTTGTGACAGTTTTAGGGCCACAGAGGCTGGAGTACACACCAGCATATTGTTCCCAGCACCCTAACCTTATTCCACCTGCCCTTGCAGTCTCTGACCCTGGATGGTACTAGGACATGAGATCAGTCTGAAGAGTCAGGAGACCTGGATTCTACCGCAGATGCTGCCCCTGTCACTTTACCTCACTGATTCTTTATTTTTCAACAGGAAAATGGAGCAGTAATAACCCACTGTAGGACTCAAACTTCATTGGGTTGTTGTGAGAATTGAATAGACTATTGCACGTGAAGCACTTAGCACATTGAGAGTATTGTGGGACCTGGTTGATAGTAACTATTCGATAAAAGTCAGCTGTTGTCACCATTATTGTTATTAACATTACTTTCCTCATGAGTGTTTTAAGGCTAAAATAAAATAATAGCTATAAAAACATCTGCATGATTTTTTGTCTTTAAAATGTTTCCAGTAATGTAAACCAAAAGTGGCCTGGATGTCTCCTTCAACTTTTCCTATGCCCAGGTTCATCTAAGCACAATGCTTGGCCAATGAATGGCAGGTGACCAACCATACAGCTTAGACATTTTAGGAACTATGACATTTCTAACACGATAAAGGAGTCCTGGTCCTTTGCTTGTTCACCTAGGGTATATATCTTATTGTAAATTGTTGCGAACCTAATTTTTGGAGCTGAGGTGTGGTATCTACTCAAATCCTCAGAGAAACGATGGCTTTACCAGCACCTTCTCTGGAGTCATGTCAAAAGCGAACCACAAGGTCAGAAAAGCTGAGTCATGTTTTCCCCAGGAAAGACCACCTCTGACCCTTGGGTGAATGGAGCATCTCATCATTGCTCTTCAACCATGCAGAAACACCTCATGCAAGTTCAGAGGCACCAAAGACTATCACCAGCTCTGTCCTTGTCTCATATCTGCTCCAGCAGACCCTGTGTTTGGGGGACCCAGCAGGGTAGAGGGTGGTGAGCTAAGGAGAAGAGATTAAATAATGCAAGAGATTCTCCTGGGTTCAAACCCATGTTTGTGCAGCCGTGAGCAAATGCTTTCATTTCGTTGAGCCTCAGTTTTCTTATCTGTAATATAAGGATAATTATTCTGACCTCAAAATGCTATAGAGTAAGTCCATGTGGCAATGTAGATGAGAAATCCTGGTACACAATTACTACTCAGAAGCTGCTTGTTTTCAGTCTACCTTATCACTATGCAGAGTTTTTTGTGTAAGGGCCCAAAAATAATGGTACTAGCTACAGTTATTTACTGCTTATTGCCCCAGCAGAGGCCTGGTCCCAAGGCGGCAAAAGTTCACCTCTCAGCTACTCATTTAGGCCTATTGCTGTGGTACACATAGGACCTTTATTTTAGGGATCATTCATAAATCCAGCTTTCCAGCAGGGTAACAGATAGGTAACATTAGCTAACAGTAGCTGATCCACACAAGAACAAGATGCTTTGAACAAGAAGACGAAGACTCCAAAACCTCAAATCTTTGGACAAGACCAAAATCATAAAAAGCTTTACATCATCAGTACTTGAGGAGAAAGAGACCAATTGAAGCCCCAATTCCTCCCAGATTTATGTATCTGTTTGAACATGTGTGCATGTAGGCCTGTGACCTGTGTGTATACACATGTATGTGCATGGGCACAGTTATAAATGCAAGTTTGCACCTGTGGCTTCTTATGAAAGTACATGTTCTGTGTACTTCCTGGGCATGTGTATATACAAGGGAACAGGTACATGTACATGTGTGTACACATGCATGTGCATTTTTATGTGTAGACCTGAGTGTTTGTGTATCTGTGCTGGTGCATGCAAGTGTGGGGTTACATTTACAAATGAGTGAAATGGTAGCTGCGTGTTCCTATGTGTGCCTCTCTGGCTGCAGACAATGTACAGATGGCTGCAGGCGAATGAATGTGTCAGTGTGTACATATGCACGTGGGTGCATTTTTAAGAACAGATAGTACAAATAAACAGCATAAACAAGATGGTTGGGAGGAGGTGGGGTTTTAAATACTTAGGAAGACAAACAACCCCATAAGGACTTTGGAAGCACTCATTATGTACAAATAATGTATATGCTAATTACAAATTACTCTTTTCTGCTCATTAAAGCAGAACTGCTGCACTTTATTAGTTCAGTTCTGGTTACTCTACACACTTGAAAGTAATAAAAATGACTCTGGGGTCAGGAAGACACATGCATAGGGCAAAGGGAGCCACTCAGGCAATGTGAATGGTCACTCAGGCCAGGGGCCAGGGCATTGAGGACTCCTCCCTGTCCCTCCCACTGCCATGTTCAGTCGGTCACCAAATTCAGTCAAACCTACCTCCTTTCCTTCATCTCCAGTAACACTGAGCTGATTCAGGCCCCATACCTCTTCCCTGACACCTCCTGGACAGCTGCACACACTGCCTCCCACTAGTCTCCCTAGCTTAAGTCTCCCCGCTTCCAGTTTATCCCCCAAGATGCTACTGGCAAATCCACTCACTTAAAATCGCCCTCTGCTTTCCCATCACCACTGGATAAAGCTCCAACCCCATAGCTTGTCCAACCATGACCCGGCTCCTAAACACCTCTGTGGCCTCATCTCCCTGCACTTCACAACCGACAACATTCAGTGACTCCCAGACAGTTTCCTGAGTCCCTCCTTCCTGTGGTTGAGACTTCTGGGTCTGGGCACACATTTTTCCCCAATCCCTAAAGTCCTCTCTTTACTATTCCTGCTCCACTGGCTGGATTGCAAGGTGGGCTCCTATTTCATATGGCAAAACTCTGCTCTGGGAAACCATCCCCTAGTGTGTCTACCATATCACTAATTCCTCCACTTGCCTTACTCTGTCCTTTGCATCCAAGCATTTTGTTTCCTTATTGCCTATCTTCCTCCCCCACTAGACTGCAAGCAGGGGTCTTGCTTTATTGACTGCTAATTGCATGCCCAGCACCTACAACAGTTGCTAGCATACAACAGACATTCAACAAATATGTGCTGAATGAAAAATTAATTAAAATCTGTATTATACTGCTCTTCATATCATCACTGTAACTGTTATAATCTGCTTCACCCCTTGCAATTAGGGTTTTAAAATTATTACTAAACACTGGCTTGAGCTCCCCTGCACCTCTTCACCCTAGGACCTCGGCTCTTGGATAACTCCCAGTTCTTCTGTTAGTCATCCCTGCGCTTTCCACAGGCCTGAGCAGCTAGAACTCAGGTGCGCCACCTAGAGGCTGCAAGGTAAAACAACTCAGAAACAGAAGGCACCAGAAGCAGGCTTTTCTGTGGGATGCAGGGAGCAGTCACTGGGGTTATTTCCATCTGAGGATGAGTCAGAAGAGGTTCCCAGTCTCAGCTCAGGTGATATGTGCAGCACTAGTTTTTGTCACACATTCTAAGTCCTGATCACAAGTGCAGGCTCCTCCCACCTCAACCCTTCCTACTGTGTTCTCCCTTTGTGTGCCCCTCCTGCTCAGCAGACTTCTGCCCTACCCATTTAATTCAATCAAAGTAGTCCTCATAACCTGGAAAGTCAAAAATTTTGTTCCTTCTCTGATGCTCTATTTCTCGTATGAAACACAATTAAACACAAATTAAAACAATGATGTACCACTTCTCACTCTTCATATTTAAGTATTTGTGAGTTGCGGTGAAAATGTAAGAAAATGAAAATTCTGATAACTCTTGATGGAAGTATAAATTGATGAAAACCGTTGTAAAAAAAATGGCAAAATCTGGTAAAGATACACTGTGAGCTGAACATTTATGTTCCCCCAAAGTCATATGTTGAAATCCTCATCCCCCAAGGTGATGGTAAGAGAATGTGGAGACTTTGGAAAGTGATTAGGTCATGGAGGTGGAACCTCAGAAATGGGATTAGTGCTCTTATAAAAGAAACCCAAGACAGACCCCTTACCACTTCCACCATGTGCAGTTGGAGTGGAAAGAAGACTGTCTATGAGAAAGTGGACCCTCACCACACCCTAAATCTGCCAGTTCCTTGATCTTGGACTTCCTAGATGCCAGAACTGTAAGAAACTTCTGCTGTTTATAAGCCACCTTTTTGTAGTATTTTGTTATAGCAGCCTGAACAGACTAAGACAGATGCTTATAGCATAATGCTCAACTATTCTCATTTTAGATCTGATACGGTTTAGATCGTGACCCACCAAGTCTCATGTGGAATTGTAGTCCCCAGTATTGGAGGTGGGCCCTGGTGGGAGACAGTTTCTCATGAATGGTTTATCACCATCCCCTTGGTGCTGTTCTCCTGATAGTGAGTTACCATGAGATCTGGTTGTTTAAAAGTGTGTAGCACCTTCCCCCTCTCTCTCTTGCTCGTGCTCCCACCATGTGAGACACCTTGCTTCCCCTCTGCCTTCTGCCATGATTGTAAGTTTCTTGAGGACTTTCCAGAAGCTGAGCAGCTGCCAGCACCATGCTTCCCGTACAGCCTGCAGAATCATGAGCCAATTAAACCTCTTTTCTTTATAAATTACCCAGTCTCAGGTATTTCTTTACAGCAATGTGAGAACAGACTATACAAGATCTAACCCTGAAAAGGAGAGAAACACATAAATATTTAAGGATCCTTGAATAAGTATGTTTATTGCAGCACTTTTTTCACAACATGGAACAACTTTGTTTAAATTCTCCATGTGTATCTTTGAGTCTCAGATTACTTTCTGAGTCATCTAAGACATTTCTTTGCCAAGGCATAGCATGCTTGCTTGTTTCTTAACCTTCTTTTTAATTGACACACAGTAACTGTGTATATTAATGGGATACAGAGTGATATTTGGATACACTATACAATATGTGGTGATTAGCAAATTCATCACCTCCAACACTTGTCATTTCTTTGTGTTGAGAACATTAAAAGCCCTCTCTTCTAGCTATTTAAAAATATACAATAAATTATTGTTAACTATAGTCACCCTACAGAGCTATGGAACAATAGAACTTATTCCTCCTATCTAGCTATATTTTTGCATCCATTAACCAACTTCCTTTTTCTTCCCTCCCCACTACCCTTCCCAACCTCCAGTAACTACAATTCTACTCTTTGCTTCTATGAGTCCAACATTTTTAGCTCCTACATATGAGTGAGAACATGTGGTATTTATCTTTCTGTGTCTGACTTATTTCATTCATCTACATTTCCAGGAATGGCAGAATTTCATTCTTTTTTTATGGCTGAATAGTATTCCATTGTGGATATGTACCACCTTTTCTTTGTTCACTCATCTGTTGATGGACACTTAGGTTGGCTCCATATCTTGGCTATTGTGAATAATGCTGCAATAAACATGGGAGTGCAGATTTCTCTTCAAGCGTTTATTATAACAGAGAAAGGCTGGATGCAACCAGGGATAGGGAAACTGATAAGGAAAGTATAGATTATAACTACAGTTTAGCATAGCAGCTCAAATGAATGAATCAGAGCTCTACGTATCAACATCGATAAATCTCAAAGGTATAATATTAATTTTTTTCAGAATTATACATGCAGTATAACTTATATGAATTTTAAATATTTAAATCATGCAAATTGTAGATATATATTTACATATGAATTTTTAAAACATAGAAAAGATATACACCAGCTTGTCAGTAGTTATCTTTGGGATAGAAAGATGTGTAAGAAAAGAATGGGGCTCTTTAACTGTATTTGTAACATTTTATTTTTCAATTAGTTAATCCAAATATGGCAAAATACTAATGTTTGTTAAATCTAAGTGGTAGATGAATGAGTGTCTGTTTTACCATTATCTGTAATTTTCTGTATACTTTAAATAGTTCATAACTAATGTATAGAGGACCACAAGACTGGAATCAAGAGACCAATTAGAAACTGGTAGCAAGAATTCAAGAAGGAGATGATGGAAATTGAGACCCAGGGGGCATCAGGAGGAGTGCGAAAGTGGACGGGGTTGAGAGTAGGGGAGATTTAGTAGATAGAATTCATATAACTTGGTGATTGTTTAGATAGAGTGGGTAAAAGAGACAGAAAAGTTGGGCAGGGTGCGGTGGTTCATGCCTGTAATCCTAGCGCTTTGGGAGGCCGAGGCAGGTGGATCACAAGGTGAGGAGTTCAAGACCAGCCTGGCCAACATGGTGAAACCCCATCTCTACTAAAGACACACAAAAAAAAAAATAGCCAGGTGTGATGGCGTGCGCCTGTAATCCCAGCTACTCAGGTGGCTGAGGCAGGACAGTTGCTTGAACCCGGGAGGCAGAGGTTGTAATGAGCCAAGATCGCACCATGCACTCCAGCCTGGGTGACAAGGTGAGACTCCGTCTCAAAAAAATAGACAGAAAAGTTAAAAATGCTATGCAAATTTCAGCCAGAGCAATTGGATGAATGCTTGGTGGTCATTGACTGAG
Organism: Homo sapiens; assembly: GCF_000001405.40. Taxonomy (NCBI): domain Eukaryota; kingdom Metazoa; phylum Chordata; class Mammalia; order Primates; family Hominidae; genus Homo; species Homo sapiens. The sequence continues at coordinate 39,261,575 of NC_000020.11, read as the reverse complement.
ACAGAAAAGGGAAGAGGAAGAGCCGACATCAGGCCAAATATTGATTAAATTAGGGAAATATTTGTTTTGAGATTTTAAGCAAACAAATGGACCTCTGGTTTAGTTATCAGAACAAAAACTTGAGGTTCTTAGAATGTAGTTGACAAATTAAGACAGGGACAGTGTGCAGAGTGGAAAGAAGGAAAAGAATAGAACCCTGGAACATCCCAAAATGTAAGGTCTTGGGCCAAGAGAGAAGAGCCTGCAAATGTGACTAAGAAGTGACCAGAGAGGTAAAAGGAAAACAAGGAGACTGTGGGGACCCAAGAACAAAAGAAGCGAAGGTCAAAAATGAATAAGGAGGTCAGTGCTATCAGGTGCAACTAGGCCCCAAAAGTCCCCACTGGATGTAACAATGCAGAGATCTCTGCTGACCTGAGAGTAGAAATCAAATCGTGGAGGACTAACAGGTGAGAAAGATTCACAGGCAAATGTAGACATTTGCTTTGAAGTCAGACTGCCTAGGATCAAACCTTACACTAGTATGTACCCCGGGCAAGTCACCAAATCTCTCTATACCTTAATTAGGTGTTAACTCATCTAGTATAAATTTTTCATAGGATTATTGTGAAGATTAAATAAGTTAAGCCAAGTACAATGTACTTTCAGCTACTCAAGAGACTGAGGTGAGAGGATTGCTTGAGGCCAGGAGTTCAAGGTTGTGGTATGCTACAATGAAGCCGGGAATAGCCCACTGCCCTCCAGCCTGGGCAACATAATGAAACCCTATCTCGAAAAAAAATAATTAATACTAGGCGAGTTAGCACATTCACTATATATTGTCACTGTATCCATTGACAAGAGTCAACAAATACATACCACTATTATTATGAAATATGGTTGAGATGGGGGAGAAGATAGGATAGTAGCTAGAAGAAGCCTTGAGCCAAATGATGATAGTTGGGTGAGAGAAGCTGATCATGTTTAGAAGCTGATGGAAAACCAGTAGGGAAACATGTTGAAGATTCAGGAGAAAGAGAAGAGATTGTCTATAGAGAGAGTTACCTGGGGAGGCTGCAGGGTTGGGGTCCAGAGCACAAGTGAGGAATGTCACCTAATGGTGGAGACCATAAACCTCTTCCATTGTGGTGGGAAAGATGACAGACAGCATGGATACAGGCAGAGATATACTTGAAGGTGGGCAGCCACGGTGAGGAACAGAAAGTTCAGAGTATCCATGCCACTGATGGGTTCTGTTTTTTCATTGTCCCAGTATATAAGGTTGTCTTTTTTTTTTGTAAAAGGGAGATATTGGAAATCCAAGGACACTAGATACCACAAGACAGCCACTTTGGAGAATGAGAAACAGACCCCAAAAGAAAGGTAGATCTCTGGGTAGCACTGGGATCCCAGGCCAGTCTGGAAACCAGGGGAATTTACAAGACATCAGACACAGGCACCTAAGTAAGCACTGGTTTCCTGGGTCAACCCAGAGTTTTCTGCCACCTGATAAGTGAGAAAATACCAGAGCAGGCAAAACTCAGAGGACCGGTTAGGCACCAGTTGGCCTTGAGGGAGCCTGCCAGCGGGTGGCTGGGTTCAGACACACAGTTGATGTTGAGTGACAGGAGGAATGTGCATTCTGGGCAGATGAGCAGGAGCTGAAACTGAGGCACCAGGCCAGTGCAGTCCTAGCAAGATTGACTTGATTTTGAGTCCCATAGCAATGATCTGGAGCTGCTCATTAGTCTATTCTGTCACAAGGCAGGACTGACCAAGAGTCCTTATGTACATGGCTTAGAACCTACCAGGGAGCTGGTTAAACACACAAATGTCCCCTCCCCATGCTATGAGATTCCAAAACAGTAGGTTGAAGGTAGGAAATCTCCATTCTGACTCACAACAAAGTTTGGAAATCACTACCCCATATACTGGGACTGAGCTTATCCTGCAGGTGGTTATGAAGACGCTTCAGCTGTTTAGGAGCCAGGGCCTGGCCAGGCTTGGCATATGGCCCAAAGCCCCTGAGGCATGAGGAAGCTGGTAAACCCACAGCATCTTCCAAGACATTAAGGGGTTAAGAAAAGTGCTGGGAACCTGCATACTTTTATTACATTATAGGGATGTTATTGCATTATAAATAATGCCACAGGATGCATTATTTATACATTTAATATCAGGCTTGCTTATAAGTCAGATCTCTTCACTTTTAGATAAATACTCATCTGCAGCCCACCTCCAGCAGCCATGCACAGACAGGAAAGTGGAGAGGCACCACGCTCCTGCTCTCTCAGACAGCGGAGGGAGGGCGGACACATGACAGAGACAGCAAAAACCCTGTGATGGGAAGCACATAATGTCTTTATGAAAACTAACAGATGGCTCTTTCGAAAGCCCTTTCAGTTCTCCTCTATTCTGATAAGAGCGGTTAAGCAAGATATACTGGAGGGAGCTTTATGGGTTTGTACTTATTGTACAAACTATATTGTACTCCTAAGAGCCTAGAGAGCAGGAGACAGGGAGGCCAAGTGCATGCAGAGGGTGTGGGGAGAGAGAGGATGATGCCTGGCTCCTCTGCCCAGCTCTGCTGCTGGCATGGGTCTGCACACTAAACTGGACTATTACTAGTTGCAAAATAGAAGCAATGATAGCTGCTCTTTCTCATTCATTCAAATATTTGTTCATTCAGAATATTTACCATGACAGCTTTCCAAGTGCCAACTCCTGGGCCAGGGGCTAAAGGAGATCCAGAGATGAAGAATACCAACCCTCTCAAGGGACTCTGCATCTGCATAAAGGCAGACCTATCCAGATTCATCTGTGACCCTTGATATAGAGCAATCCACAGCAAAAGCCAAGACAGCAAGTTGTAGAGTTCGGAGGAAAGTGCGGCTACCCCAGCCGTAAAACTACTATTATTATTATTTTCATTATTATTATTATTTAACTAAACGCAATCACTATAATTTATGTGTCAATCAGTCTCTGAGTACATACGGACTGAGTATCTTTGTGTGCCATCCCCTGTTCCAAGTACCAGGGTTACAGTGGAGGCCAAGACAGACTGGATCTTGACGTACTCAAAACTTCCTGTAGAAAATACAGGAAACAAGTCAACCAATAGAATAACTTCAGAGACTGAAAGTACTAGCAACAAAATCAGTCAGGACAGAGGGGAGTGGAGTTGGGGTGGGAAGACTTCTCTAAGGAGGTAACATTTGAGCTAAAACCTGAAAGAGGTCACGTGAAGATGAGAAACAAGGTGGCAGGGGTGAAGGGGTATGCTGAGGCCTTGAAGGGTGAGTAGAATTTGTAAAGGCAGAATTGAAGAAAATGAGTTTTCCCGATGGAAGGATACAGATGAACACAGACACCAGTGGTAGAATAAGGTCAGGTACAGAAAAGTCACAGTTAAACTAGGAAGGAATTTACCAGGAAGATGGGGGATATCAGGTTGGCTGGGGCCCATAGGTAAAGAGATCCAGAGGACGTCCCAAGAGGTCTATACCTCACCTCATAGGAAAGGGGAGAGGGGAGGGGGAAGAGGGGAGATGCTGTGGCCTGCAGAGCACAGGCAGAGGTGGGCTTTCAGCAAATCTAAAAGCTGGGAGTAGAGTGGATGACAGAGCCGGGGAAAAGAGTGGAGGATGGAAATTCACCACAGAGCTGCCCCAGCCATCCAAGAGAAGCACACTGCAGGGTGCTTGATTCTGTCCTTTTTAGGACTAAATCATCACGTCTAAGTGCCATGCTCTCTCCCTCATTTCCATCCATTTAGAAACCCAGAAGTTCTTTAAGTATTTGGGATAGAGGGCACTAGCTTGGCAAGGTTGTTTCGTTTTCTGCCACACACCTTGAAAATTTAAAAGTCCACAATTCAGAACCCATACACAGCCGGGTGTGGTGGGTCTTGCCGGTAATCCTAGCACTTTGGGCGGCAGAGGCAGGTGGCTCACCTGAGGTCAGAAGTTCCAGACCAGCCTGACTAACATGGTGAAACCCCGTCTCTACTAAAAATACAAAAAAATTAGCTGGGCGTGGTGGTACATGCCTGCAATCTCAGCTGCTCCAGAGGCTGAGGCAGGAGAATTGCTTGAACCTGGGAGGGGGAAGTTGCAGTGAGCTGAGACCATGCCATTGCACTCCAGCCTGGGCAACAAGAACAAAACTCTGCCTCAAAAAAAAAAAAAAAAAAATACAAAAATGCAAAAATTAGCTGGGCATGGTGGCGGGTGCCTGTAATCCCAGTGAGCCAAGACTGTGCCATTGCACTCCAGCCTGGGCAACAAGAAAAAAACTCTGTCTCAAAAAAAAAAAAATACAAAAATGCAAAAATTAGCTGGGCATGGTGGTAGGTGCCTGTAATCCCAGATACTCAGGAGGCTGAGGCAAGAGAATTGCTTGAACCTGGGAGGCAGAGTTTGCAGGGAGCTAAGATCACACCACTGCACTCCAGCCTGGGTGACAAGAACAAAAGTCCGTCTCAAAAAAATAAAAATAAAAACCACACACACGCAGTGATATCAACTGGTGAAAACATGTCTACAGTTTACTTAATAATATTGTACCAATGTCAGTTTCCTGGTTTCGATCATTATACTGTGATTATAAAAGATGCTATCAGGGGAAGCTGGAAGAATGGGAATTTTCTGTATTACTTTTGCAACTATGACATGAGTATAAAATTAGCTCAAAATAAACTTAAAAAAAAAAGACAATAATTTAGTGTCTTTGCTATCTGGTCTTACAAGCGACAGCTTCTACTAAGGAAAAAGTAAAAAGTCCAATGGGTGCATAGAATGAAAGATATCTATCTGTTAACATATCCCACCCCACCCAGCCACATGCTCAGACCTCCCCACCTCCACTCAGGTTTCTTTCAACAGCCTGGATGATCTTTTGTACTCACCAACCTGGTCTCTTTGCCTAGTCCCACTCCCTGCTCAATACCCATCAGTGGCTCCACATTCCACTGAGGCTAAATGAATGGATTTCTCAACAAATCATTAATGCTTCTCATGATCTGGCCTCTGCCAACCTCATCTCATACATTGCTTCTTGCTCTCTTTCCTCCAATTACACTGTCCTACTTTTGTCTCTTCAATCGCGCTCAGCTTTTTCCTTGCACAGCCTAAATCATTTGCCTCGTGCATGAAACCTCTGCCCCATCTGTCACCTTGCCCAGTTAAGCCTCATGCCTCCTCCAAGGCTCGGCTCAGCTCAGCCTCACCCGCTGGCCTCCCTGGCAAGAAGAAATCTTTCTATTTTATGTTCTCATGACAACTGCCTTTCCTTGCCACTTTCGCAGGTGCAATTTTCCATGCATTAACTTGCAGTAATCTTTCGTTACCCTTTTCCTTCCTAGTCTGAAGTTGCATGAGAATGGGGCCTATGTTAGAGAGGTTCCAGTTTTGCATCTATCTTTGCTTTAAATTTTTAGTTTAGGCTCTTCATTGAATCCCCAGCATCTAGCACAGTCCCTAACATGGGACACGTGTATAGAGAATGGTTTTGGGGGTAAGGAAGAGAGTTAGAAAGAAAGGACTAAGGGAGAGAGAAAGGGAGGTAAGAAGGAAAGGAAAGAGGGAGGGAGGCCAGGAAGGATGTAGTCAGTCATGGAAAGAGAGCAGAAATAAAAAGCACAAACCCAGGGAAGAGAAACAGGAGGCATCCTAGGCCTGAAGATTGCAGATATACCCAGAAGCACATCTTAAATGGGCAACGGCGAAAAGTATGTGAAGGAAGGAACAGCTGTGGGGCAACTGTGTGCCCAGGGCCTAGAATGGAAGAGAAGACTTTGGGAATTATAGACAGTTCCTGCCCTTTTGAGAGGACCATTTCGAGATGGAATCAATGTGACCTGCGCTCCAGTGAGGCCTGGGGAATGAGAGCTTTCAGTGTAGACAGGAGCCAGTTGCCTCCAGTGCTCCACTGCAGAACTCCATGGATGTTCTCTTCTGACCCCAGAGAGCTTCAGATGCCGGGAAGTTGGTCTTGAATCCTGCATGGGATGAATTCCATTCCCCCAAAATTCATACGTTGAAGTCCCCAGTGCCCAATACTGCAGAATGTTACTGTATTCTGAAATAGGGCCTTTACACAGGTAATTAAAATTGAGGCTGGGCATGGTGGCTCACACCTGTGATCCCAGCACTTTGAGAGACCAAGGCAGGCAGATGGCTTGTGCTCAGGAGTTCGAGACCAGCCTGGGGCCTGGGCAACATGGTGAAACCCCATCTCTACAAAAAAATACAAAAATAATTAGCTGGGCATGCTGGCAGCTACTCAGGAGACTGAGGTGGGAGGATGGCTTTAGCCTGGGAGCCAGAGGTTGCAGGGAGCTGAGATCATGCCACTGCATTCCAGCCTGGATGACAGAGCCAGACCCTGTCTCAAAAAAGAAAATATATATAAACTTAAATAAAGTCACTGGGGTGGGGGGGCCTGGTTCAATATGATCGGTTTTCTTATAAGAAGAGGAAAATAGGGCATAGACATACACAGAAGGAAGACCATGTGAAGACACAGTGAAGAGACAGCCATCCGCAAACCAATGGGAGAGGCCTTAGAAGAAACCAACCCTGCCAACACCTTTAACTCAGACTTGTAGCCTCCAGAATTGTGAGAAAATAAATGTCTGTTGTTAAAGTCACTCTGTTTGTGCAACTTTTTTACAACAGCCTGAGCAAACTAATGCAAATCCCACTCCATTGACCAAGTGCTCATATTGAGACTATTCTAGAGGAAGGGACCTGAGAGAGACAAAGGAACGGTTATTGGAGAAGGTGTCCATGCACATGAGCCTGTCACTCCTCTGGAATCTGAAAAGGGGACAAGAACAACAACAACAACAAAAAAGGAGATGATGTGGTATGCAGGATACGAGAACATGCTTTGGAATCAGAACTGGCTTTGAGTCCCAGCTCTGCACTTACTTGCTGTATGACTTTAGACAAGATACCTAATCTCCCCAGAACTCAGGGTCCTCCTCTGTAAAATGAGGTCAACGATAAAACCCACAGAGGACTATGGTGAGAATTCAAAGAGGGGAATTAACAGAAATCCTTTAGCCCAGCACTGATTGCATTAGCTGGTGGCGGTGTTACCATCACTGTGGATGTTGTGAGTTTTTTTTTCTGGTGCTAAAACAGTTTATTATATATCACGAGAAGAAGAAGGAGGGAGGAGAGAGAAAGAGAGAGAGAGAAAGAGAGAGAAATCTAGTTTATATTTTTGTAGAAAAATCAGCCCCCGCCTTGTAGGACCCCCACTACTGCTCACTTGGCCACAGCTCTGTGCCCCTGGGGACTCACTTGGCTCCTTTGAGTCTTGCTGTCCTTGTATGCACACTAAGAGAAGGAATCAGGCCAGGTGTGGTGGCTCACGATTGTAATCCCAGCACTTTGGGAGGCTGAGGAGGGCGGGTCACCTGAGGTCAGGAGTTCAAGACCAGCCTGGCCAACATGGTGAAACCCCGTCTCTACAAAAATACAAAAATTAGCCAGGCATGATGGTGTGTGCCTGTAATCCCAGCTACTTGGGAGGCTGAGGTGGGAGAATCGCTTGAACCTGGGAGGTGAAGGTTGCAGTGAGCCAAGACTGTGCCATTGCACTCCAGCCTAGGGGACAGAGCGAGACTCCGTCTCAAAAAGAAAAAAAAAAAAAAAGAGAAGGAATCACCACTGTGTTCAACCCCCAAGCTCCCCACCTGCAATTTGAGTCCTGATCTAGTTGGGAGAGAATGAAACCGCATCCCTCGCTGACCTACTGGCAAGGTGAGCCAAGACCTTCCCTCTAAGCAACTACACGTTCTCTCCCCCAATTGCCCCAGTCCCAGATCAGAGCCTTCCCTCAGCAAATCATGGTAATAAATATGGTCTGAAGTGACTCCAGCTCTTACAGCCTTAATAAATGGGTTGCCATAGTGGCAAATTCAGGCACGGAGAGCATCTTTTCAATAAAGGCTGAGAGGGTTATTAATAACGTTAATGTAGTGCCTCGTGGAGTCACAGCCTCGCAGAGAGGGCCTCTCGCCCTCCTCCCCCAGCCCATCTCTCCCAGGACTGGAGAGCAAAGTGCCTGGTTGTGATCGCTATGGGGTTGTGACCTGTGAGAGTCAGAAATCCCACAGCTGGAGTGAGGCGGCTGGGGACAGGGGCAGTGAGGCCTTTGGCAAGAGTTCACAAGGGGAGTGTGCTTCCCCATCTGGCCAGCAAATGACCTTCCCAGCAACCGTTCTTTATGGGCTATGGAGGGTACAGTAGCATAGCATGGAGGGTGAGAGGACACTCTTTCAAGATGGGTAGACCTGGGCTCAAATCCCAGCTGACTTCTCATCCACGCCCTCCCTGGAGGCATTGCTTAAAATTGAAAAGCCCCTGGCACTTCCTGTCAGCTTACCCTGGTTACTTATTTCTCATAGCACATGTGGTCATCAGGGCAACTCACCAAATATTTCTAGCTCTTCACCTTCTAAACCCATGGCAAAGTTAGAACTCTTTCTGTTGGGTAAAGCCAAAAAATTCTGAGCAGAAATGGCACATGTCACTTCTAGGCCAGGCACCTAATTGCCCATATGAGACTCTTTCCAGAATCTTGCTTTGCCTTGCAAATATTCAAGGTAGTGGGTGCCCCACTGGCCTGGTTCCCTGAGGGACCAATAGGCTGTGCTCTTGGGCCCACCCAGAGGGGCATAAAGCATCAACAAGAAATAAACCCTGGTTGAAACCAGAGGTCACAAAATTTCTGGCTTTGAGAGCCACACAATTCCTGCTGCAGCAACTTAACTCTCCCATAGCATGAAAATAGGCACAGAAGCATATGGGCATGGCTGTGTTCCACTAAAACTTGATTTACAGAAACAGGCAGTGGGCAGGATTTGACCCACGGGTCAGAGTTTGCCGACTCTTGCTTTAAGCCATGCCTGTCCTGACTGACAGGCCCTTATTCCCTTCTAACGTTCTATATTGTTGATTCATTTCATTCATTCATTGTCCACTCTCCTCAAGTACAATGTAAGCACGTTGAGGTCAGGGGTTTCCCTTAGCCCCAACTGTACAAAAGCATCTGGAAGAGAGTGGATGCTCAATAAATCTTCTTAAATAAATGCTAAATCATTTGCTGTGGGACCATAAGTCAGTCATTTAACCTCCTTGAGCCCAGGTTTATTCAACCGTAAAAAGGAGAATAAGAGGATAGACCTCTCCAGGTCAATGAGGATGCTCTGTGGATGATGCATGTTAAGTGCGTGACGTATAATGTGTTCCGTGGCAGCTGATATTTTTTGCCATGTCTGGAGCAACAGCCCTGCTGAGTCCAGCTCTGCAACAGACTCTTTGCCTATCCGCCTCAGTGTTCTCCTCTGTGAAATGGGAGCACAGCTGCCCAGAGTCAATGTTAATTAAGGTGGATGTGAAGCTGTATGGCTGTAAGATTACTCCCTGGGGCTGTATTTTAAATCAGGAATTGGCAACCACCCACCCACGGGCCAAATCTGCTGGCTGCCTGCTTTTGTAAATAAAGTTTTACTGGCACACAGCTACACTCCTTTGCTTAGATACTGTCTAAGGCTGCTTTTACAACAAGACTTGAATAGCGGCAACAGAGACTGCAGGGTCCTCAAAGCCTAAAATATTTACTGTCTGGCCATTTGTAGAAAACATTGCCAACCTCTGCTCCAAACGACTAAGGAATCAAGAAGGACAAGGTTAAGTGGTCGCTCTCACCCACGCTTATGTTTATACAGCTGGTTTACAGGATCCGTGTGCAGAGGCTGACAGTTTTGTCCGTCCAATTTTATTCTGTAAAACTCAGCCCAGTGCTATCACCTCAAGAAAGCTTCTTATGTTTGGTGCTACTGCACAATAAACTATCCTGCCCATCTATGTCCCATCAACAACGGTACTGCAAGGCCATCTCTGTCTCTCATCCATCCATTTATTTAGTCCTTTGGCAAAAACATGTTCTGAGGCCAGGTGCAGTGGCTCACACCTGTAATCCCAGCACTTTGGGAGTCCAAGGCGAGTGGATCACGAGGTCAGGAGTTCGAGACCAGCCTGGACAACATGGTGAAACCCCATCTCTACTAAAAATATAAAAATTAGCTGGGCGTGGTGGTGTGTGCCTATAATCCCAGCTACTCGGGAGGCTGAGGCATGAGAATCGCTTGAACCCGGGAGGCGAACGTTGCAGTGAGCTGAGATCACGCCACTGCACTCCAACCTGGGCGATAGAGCAAGACTCAAAGTCTCAAATAAAAAAAAAAAAAGTGTTCTGAGCAGCTAGTCTGCTCCAATGAGCAAGATTAATTCCCTACCCTAGTGGAAATCTAGTCTAATAGACAAAAGCAGCACAGGATTTAAAACCAAGGATCATACTATGAAGAACAGGATGCCCTGGGAGCAGTAATTGGACTGTTGTTTCATGCTTATTTGACATATTTCTGAAAATGTCAACAGGGAGAGATCAAGGACAAACCCTAATGACACCTCAATAAAAGATTCCCTCGTGGCTGATACCAACTATGGGTTCACTGATTTATTGATCATTCAAGAAAAAAAAAAAAGCAGGATGGATAGCAAGTAACATTCATTGAGCCTCTATCATGCGCCAGACCTTGAGCCAAGAAATTTCCCTTGATCATCTCAGCCAGGGGAAAAGGCAAGAAGAGCAGGACTTTTGTCCTGCCCCTGCCAAACACAAGAAAGTGGCTCAGAGAGGTTACACATCTCATCTAACTGCAGAGAGAGAAGTCCAGGATTCCAATCCAGAGATTCTCATTTTTCTGTCCACTCTATCATGTTGCCTCCCACTCCACCTAATACCAAAATCAAGTCATTCACGTCTCTCCACCCTCTCCTCAAGGATACTGAGGATGTGGCTCAGTATAACATCCATTCACTCACCCATTCATTCATTATACAAACATGTGAAGTGGTTCCTCGGTGGCAGTGGCAATGACAGATGTGAGTCCTACCTTCACAGGGCTTATGGTATGTGGCACATAGTAGGTGTTCAACAAATACATGTTGAACAGATTACATAATTTCCCAAATGTCCTGCTGGAGTTTAGATTCACTCTGGCCATACCATATGCCTGTCGAGGTGGCACTTCATGGAAGAAGGCCTTTAGAAGCAACTAGCGGTCAAGGAGATGGTCTCCTCCCCATTGCACACCAGCTGTGTGATATCAGACAGGTCACTTCATCTCTCTGAACTTAAACTTTTCATCGCTGTAACTGACACCATATCAACAACCCACACAGGTGGCACAGGAATGGCATGGGATGGTATCACATATACAGTTCCTAGCACTGGGCCTGTCACTTAGAAAGTGCTGAGGTAACAGCCGGTAATAGCAATAATTAATATTTATTCAAATCCCTACTCAGCTCAGTGCCACATAGGGTTCTCGGCACTTGACATACATCAGCTTATCCCCTCCTCACAACCAGCCTGTGAGGAAGGAACCATGATCACTCCAGGTTACAACTGAAGAAACTGGCAAGAGAAAGTGAATGATTTGCCCTAAGTCTCACAGCTACTGAGCGAGAAGTCAGCCAACAGGTGCCCAATAAATCTTAGCATGCTCCCTCACCCCCTTCCCATATCTGCTAAAGAAGAAAAGCCCCTTCAACTGACACATTTGCTGGTTCCAACGGTCTCCACTTCCTTCCCGGCTTTTCTTTAACAGTCCCTCTAGAGCTTTACCACCTGAACTCTGCATCCAACTCACTCACAGCTCTAGGGGTTTCACAGTGGGCTCTCTGGACCCTGAGGTCCTGCCCAGGTGCCTCTCAGGACATGCTAGAGCCACAGAGGAGGTGGTGAAGGCGACCCAGCTGTTCATTTCCATTCCACCCCAAGCAGCCCTACTTTTTCTGTCTTTCATGGGCCATGGCTTAAGAAAACTTTCAGGATACCAACTTTCGTTTCCCAGGGTTTAAGGTCTCCATGATTCTGTAAAGGTCACTGGCCCAGCCTCAGGCATCTTTTCTACAATTCACTCAGTAACTGGAAGGTGACTTGTTAAGATCTAGAGCCCTTGGGAACATTTAGGAAGGCTACCCTTTCCTGGTGACCTCTACCATTAAGGAATTCAGTCCCATTTAACTCTGCCATGAGAGCAAGGAGTGAGCACCCTGTGATAGGAAGGACCATGAGAGAAAGTGTTAATTCTGGGGCCTCCAACACTGTGTGACATTGGACAAGTTGTTTAACCTCACTTTCCCCATTTGTAAACTGCAGGCAATAGCACCAACCTGTAAAACTACTGTTAGTAATAGAAAGAGCATCTAGCACAATGACTGGTGTGTAAAGGAAGTGGTGGTGGTGGCAGTTAAAGCTCCTGCCTGTTAAAATGTTACCTCCAGTGGCACATATAATAGTATTAGAAACAAATAACAATAATAGCTAACATTGAGTGAGTGCTCACTCAGCCACATACTATGCTAAGTAAGCTCTTTGCATGCTACTTTCTTTTTCTCTTCATGGCAACCCTTTGGAGTAGCCACAGTTGTAGTTCTACAGAAAACTGCAGCACAGAGAGGCCAAGTAATTTGTCCAAGATCACACAGCCAATAGGTCACAAAGCTGGTCTGCAAACCCAGGCCTCTCCTACTCCACAACTAAAGGGCTCACCCACCACTTTACACCACCTCATGGGCCTGCACCCCCCCAGAACCCTCTCAGTCCCACCCTACTGGGTACCCAGCCCTCCTTGAGCCCCCAGGACACTTCCTGTCCAGCATGACACCATTTGACCTCCTCCCCTGGCTTCTAGAGCCAGTGCCCGAGAAGTGACCCACTCCTTGCCGAGCCCCCCCAAAGCCCTCAGCCTGACCCCCGCGTAATGAAAGGAATTAATATGGCCGAGCCTCCAGCCCAGCCGAGCAGCTTCCCAGCAGGCTTGGCCAGGCCTCTAATTGATTAGGCCATAAAGCCTGGGCACTAAATTGAAAGGAGCTGCACTAATTCTCTTTTATGTTAAATTTCTGTCTTTCCCCTTTATCGAATCCCCCGTCCAATGTCCCTTTCCCTCCCCATCGTGGGCTTGCTGTGGGCCTGTTTTTTCCGTGCACAGATTAAGTACCTAATCAAAATCTTGTCTCCCCTAATGGCATAAAATTGAAAGATAGATATTGCACTTTACACAGCTGATTAAACACTCGAATGTGGCTAAATGCTTAAAGGGCTTGTTACATTAACTAACTCTGTCATCTGCCCACTGTCTTATAATTGCGTGTGCTCGTGCTGCTTCAGGGAGACACAGCAGGATGGCTTTTCGTCCACCTCCTCTTTGGTGGCCCCCCCAGGCCCCTCTCCCAGGGGCCTCCTCCACATAGCTGAGCCAGAGTGCAGGGAGTCAGCGCCCAGGAGTGGCCCCAGTGCTCTTCTTGGTCTTGGGAGCAGGGACAGGATAGTCAGAGTTCCCCTCCATGCCCAGGCACCAAGTGCCCTCCTCTTCTATTGGCTTCCACCTCAGTGAACCAGGGCAGCAGACTCTTTCCACTCCTCACCTCCTAAAGCCCCTCCAGTGCCTAGTTTCTTGCTTTCAAGAGTATAAACATCCCCCTAGCCCACTCCCAGAGGGAGAGACATTGAGTGCCTGTGGCAGCAGTGACCTGTCTTCTGCCATGCTTCGCCTTTGACCCTTGGCATCCCTCTCCCCTCACTCCCAGGTGCTCAAACTCACCTTTGAAATTAAGGAAGGTTGATAGCTATGACAATGAAATATGGCAGAAGCTGAGCAGGCACTTCAACACCCACCCTGCTCCTGGACACTCCTGACTCTCTCTCTGTGTCTTTATTCAGCACAGGGCACAGCAGGGCCTCAGCCACATGGCTGGCAGGAGACGAGACACGCACAGGTAATTGATCACCTAAGTTCCCACAGCAAGCTAGCACAGGGCTGAGTCTTGAACCTTGACGTCCTGACCACTGCAGCTCAGGACAGGGGGTAAACAGCAGGGGTGTGGAGTGTGCTCACTGCCCAGACCAGTGGGAGACAGCCTTTTCTGCCACATCTTCCAGCCCAGAGAAACGGTGATTTTCACAAAGGAGGAGTACATGGAAATTTCCTAGTGTGACAGTCGAAGAAGAGTGTGGACTCTGGAGCTGGATCAGATGCTGGTTCAACCCCTGCTCCAGCTATTCGTTTTCTCAGTGACTTTGGGCAAATTTCTTAATCCTTCCACACTTCCGTTCCTTCTAGGTAAAATGGAGACTCCAACAAATTTTTAATGAACATAATATGTATGCCCAAGTTCAGAGCTATGCATGGGCATCTCACAGCAAAAACACAGGCCATGCCTCTCTCCATGGAGCTTACAGGATGTGTGTGAATCGTTAAATCATTGAATCAATAAAATAATTACCAATTGTGATAAATGCCGTGTAGACCAAAACTAATAAACAACAGCAACAGCAACCCCAAAGGGCTATTACTGAATAAAAGCTTGTAGTGGCTGCTTTAGACAGGGTGACCAGGGGAACTTTCTCAAGCAGGCAACACCAAGCTGAGACCTCAAGGTTCAGAAAGAGCCAGTTACGTGGACATAAGGATAAAGTGTTTCAGGCAGAGGGACAGAAAGTGCAAAGACCCCGAGACAGGACTGGGGGTTGTCCCAGGCCAGTGTGGCTAGAGAGCAGTGAGCTAGAAAAGAGTAGTTTTCAATCTGGCCTCTGTGTCCTCCCAGTTGTGTGCCCCTGGGCATTTGTCACCAATCAGAGCTTCAGTTTTCCCAACCATAAAATGGGAAACACACAGTACAAGACGACGGTGAAAATCCAGTGAGAAAATGTCTGTCCTGTACCTGCCTCAGCAAAGACTGAGTGCCCAAGGCATTCAGGCCAGAAGCTCAGCCCTGGGAGGGTCTTGAACTCATTCAAACCTGCTCCCATTCAGGAAGGAAGGAAGAGTGCACCTTTCTCCTCTTTCTCTACATCTGTCTCTGTCTTTTGATCTCCACTTTTCTCTGCAGTCAGCTTTATCTCCTCTTCAGAGGGGTTTCTTTCATTGTACGTTTTTTGCCTACTCACCCCCACCTGTCACCCAATAATTCAAATAAATTAGGTTGTCAAGACACCAACTCCAGCCCCAACTGTGCATGAACTTTTAGCTCAAATGCCGTCTACCAACTCCTATTTTATGTCTCCAAATTATATTCTTAAGAGAGAATGTGATTGATCTCCTTATCTGACAACAGCCAAGTGACTTTGTGCAAATTTCTTAATCTTTCCACACTTCCATTTCTTCTAGGTACAGTGGGGACTCCAGCACACATCCAACAAATATTTAATGAACAGTCTGTATGCCAAGTTCTGAGCTATGCATGGGCATCTCACAGCAATGAGAGATGTCTGACAACAGATCAGCAGATGCCCCTTGGTCCAATGGCTACAGCTAAGCAGACAAGGCAGTGGGGCAGGTTCTCTGAGCAGGGCCTGCAGCATGCAAGCAGGCCAGTAAGCAGAGACAGTGTACAGCTTGAGTAAAAGAAGCCACGGACAGGCCTTTGGCTCCAAGAAAAGTCACTCTAGTCCCATAATGCACCAAGCCTCCCAGGGCAATCTGACCTCCTCCTGCCAGCCTGACCAGATGGCCATAAAATACATAGGTCCTCTCCCTTTACATAGTCAACCTCTTTGCAAGAGTAATACCTAGATCAGACCCTGCAGCCTTGGTGGATCTTAACCACCCACTCCCCACATCCTGTGGGAACTGCCTCCCTATGTCTGTAAGAACCACTTCCTTCTATCTGTGAGAACTTCCTTCCTGCATCTGAAGGAACCACCTCCCTTGGTATCTTGGAACCATTTTCTTTCTCCCTCCTCCCTCTGTGAAAACTGCCTCCCTACTCCTTCTGCCTCTGGGAACCACCTCCTTCCTCCCTCTTCCCTCAGGCTGTGAGAACCACCTGCCTTGTCTATGAGAAGTGCCTCTCTCCTCCATCCATCTGTAGAAACCACCTCCCTTGGTCTCTGGGAACCACTTTCTTCCTTCATCCTCCCTCAGTCCATGGGAACCACCTATTTTCTCCTTCCATCTGGGAGAAAAGCTGTCCTCAGTGTATGGAAACTGCCTCCTTCAGTCCACAAGAACCACCATCCTCTGTTTGTGGGATCTGCTGTCCTTCCTCTGGGGGAATCACTCCTTCATCCTCATCCTCCTCCTCCCCTTATATGCTAGAACCTTCTGTCCCTTCGTCCCCCACCCTCATATGTGAGAACCTTCTGTCCCCACCCCCAGCTGCCCCTCCTCACTGCAGCCTCTGCAGAAAGTCTTCATCTCCCCCACAGTCCTCCTTTATACAGCTCAATTGAGGAGATTATGGACTCACTAAGTGCCTCATATTAAAGATTCATGAATGCACAACATATATTTTAATAAGGCAGTTTGTACAATACAGAACTCAATCCTATCCAACGCACATCACTGAGAACTGGGGCCAGAGCCCTGCTGGGAGCTGAGGGCACCATGAAAAAGAACGCAGAGATTCCAGACACCTCGTCTCCAGGGACCCTGGTCTCTACCCACCCCACACAATCTTCCTGACCAAGCCCAAGGTAGCTTGCTCACCCTGAGAGTGGATGGCTCTGTATGAGCAGAAACACACACACTCACACATGTGCATGCATGCACTCACATACACCTGCATGGGTACTGCCATACATGCACGTACATTCACACAAGTATGCACACATACACACACAAAATTGCACGCACTCACACATGCACACTCATGCACATGCACACAGGCACACACTCACAGTCACACACTCCATAAGACAACACTCAGTCTCACACACCAGACTCACAAGAACAGTGACAGTAATCACTACAATGAACTGAACGATTACTGAGTGGCCATCCTTCTAGATGTATTATTTCTTTTGTGGCCATGATAAAGGGTCCTTGTGTCCATTGTTCACTGAGGAAAATGACCCACAAAGTGGTTAGGTTGCTTGCTCAAGGTCACAGAGGCAGTAGTGGTTGAGGCAGGATGTGAAGCCAGGTCCATTCAAACTCCAGAGTCCACACTCTCCACCACTCAGAACACTGCCTTTGCACATAGAGCCACCTCTAATTCTTTCTGGAAGCACAGAAGGAGTCAGGAGAGGGGATAAATAAATCTGCCTGAGACATCTACGAAGTCCCAGTAACACCCTTACACGTGGATACACACTCCTTAACACGTCCTCCTTCATGTACTTAGCTCTACCCACTTGCACAGGCCCAAGAACTCACAGATGCACACCACACACACACACACACACACACACACACACATCCATGCCCATTCATTCAGGCACACAGGTAGGATGACCAACCGTCCACATTTTCCCTGGAATAAGCTTTCAGTGCCAAAACCTGGGCAGTTCTGGCACACTGGGATGAATTGGTCACCCTACATAATACAGCCACTCCTATGTACCACACCCACAGCCCTCCATGTGCTCAGTCACACTCTCAAGGCTCAGGGTCTGGTGAGTTCAGCAGGGTTTGAAGTTGTTAAGGAACTGCACTCTTAGGACCCTCACTTCAGTGTCAAGGTTGCCTTGAGTTCTAGGCACCTACTTGGTTCATCCAGTTTGTCCTTCTTCTCTCCTACCTTGGCCCATCTTACCTTCCCCCAGGAACTGAGGAAGCTTGGGGTAAATCAGGACCACAGGGCCCTGCATTTCAGGCAAGCAGGAACCTTCCACATCCAGATATTTCTCAGCCAGGTCCTGTACCCACACTCCATCTCTCCTCACCCTAGGGTTCACAAACAGTGAGAAGGGAGGGAGCCCTTGCTCTTCAGGACTTCCATGGAGCTTGGCAGATCTGGATTTCAATCCCAGAATAGCCTCTAGTTCGCAGCATGACTAGGGAAAGTTATTTAATCTCCCAGAGCCATCCCCATGCCAGGAAACTGCATCCCAAGCCTCAATACCTTTTCCTCTCACAGCCCATCTCCAACATATCTGGAATCCCACCTTCACTCACCACCTTCCCTACTATCACCCCAGCTCAAGCTCCAATCATCTCTCACCTGAACTAATTGCAGTGGACTTCCAAAAGAGGCCTTCTCTTTGATGTTTGTCATCTACAAACTGTTTCAACCAAGCAGCCAGATAGCCTATTTTTAACACCTTTATTAGGGTATAACTCATATACAGTCAACCACACATATTTAAAGTATGCAATTTGGTATGTGTATACTCATGAAACCATTACCACAACCAAGATAGTGAACATATCCATCATCCCAACAATTTTCCTATGGCCTTTTATAATCCTCCTTTCTCTCCCTCCCCATCCTAGACAATCACTGATTTGCTTCCTGTCACTATAGATTAGTTTGCATTTTCTAAAGTTTTATATAAATGAACTTATACAGTAGGTATTCTGTTTTGTCTGACTTCTTTCACCCAGTATGATTATTTTAAGATTTATCCATGTTACCTGTATCAATAATTCATTACATTTTATTGTTGAGTAGTATTTCATTTTATGACTAGAGTCATAATTTATCCATTCACCTGTAGTCAAACATTTGGACTATTTCCAATTTGAGGCTACTGTGAATAAGGCTACTATGAACATTTGTGTACAAGTCTTTGTGTAGACATATGTTTTCCTTTTTTCTTAGTCAAATATCTAGGAATGGAATAGCTAAGTTATATAGTAGATATATGCTTGACACTTTAAGAAACTGCCAAACTGTTTTTAAAGTGATTGTACCATTTTCATTAACATCTGCAATATATGAGTTTTTTTTCCATCACATCCTCACCAACACTTGGTGTGATCAGTCTTTTTAATTTTCAACATTTTAATTGGTGTATAGTGATCTCACTTTATGGCTGTAATTTCCACTTCCCTAATGGCTCATGATGTTGAACATCTTTTCATGTACCTATTCACCATCTATTTATCTTTTTTGATAAAGTCTCTGTTTACATATTCTGTTCAATTTTTGGGGGGTCTTTGTATTCTTAATATAAAATTTTAAGAGCTCCTTAAATATACTGGATATAAGTCCTTTAGCGGATATTTGTTCTACAAAGCTTTCCTCTCAGCCTGTGGCTTATCTTTGTGTTCTCTCTTGACAGTATCTTTTGAAGACCAAATGTTTTTAATGTTGATGAAAGGCAGTTGGTCCATGTCTTCTTTGACTTATGCTTTTGTTGTCTTATCTAAGAACTCTTTGCCTAATCCAAAGTCACAAAGATTCTCTCCTGTCTCTTCTAGAAGTTTTATAGGTTTATGTTTTATATTTGGATTTATACTTATATGTATATATTCATAGTTTATAGTTTATGTTTTATATTTGGATCCATGATCCATTTTTTTAAATTTTTATATATGGTAGAAGGTACAGATCAAAGTTTAGATATTTTTGCATATGGATATCCAAATGCTTCAAGCACTATTTGTTTAAAAGGCTACCCTGTCCTCATTGAATTGTCTTTTGCACTTTATTGAAAATCAGCTGCCCCTATATATGCGGAATTCTATTCTGTTATATATTTCTGGACTCTCTAATTCTGTTACCTTCATCTATTTGTCTATTTTGATGACAAAACTTACAGTTTGATTAATGTAACTTTACAACAAATCTTGAAATCAGGTAGCATAAGACTTCAAGCTTTTTTCTTCTTTTCACAGTTATTTTGAATATGCCAGGTTCTTAGCATTTCCAAATGAATTTTAGAATTAGTGTGTCCATTTGCTTGGAATTATATTAAATTCATATGCCATTTTGGAGAGAAATGACTTCTTAATACTGATTCAGACCCATGAGCAAGACATAGCACTCTATTTAGGTTGTCTTTTATTTTGCTCAGTGATATTTCGTAGTTTCCAGGGTATAGATTGTTCATGTCTTTTATTAGATTTATCCATAAACATTTTATCATATTATTCTCTAGTATATGGTATTGCTTTTTAATTCCAATATGCAATTATTCATTACTAATATATAGAAATAATTGATTTTCATACATGAATCTTGTCTCTTGCAACCTTACTAAACTCACTTGTTAGTTCTAATAGTTTTGTAGTCTCCATGGGATTCTCTATAGAGACAATCTTGTCATCTGTGAGTAAAGATAGTTTTACTTCCTCCTTCTCAATCCAGATGCCTTTTATTCCTTCTTGCTTAGTTTAACCGGCCAGAACACCCAGTACAACGTTGAATAGAAGTGATGAGAGCAGACATCTTGTGGGAAATAGTCAAGTCTCTTTCATGTTCTGTAAGAGTTTGTGTATGTTTGGTATTATGTCTTCCTTAAATGTTTGATAAAATTTACCAGTGATACCATGGGCCTGAAGTTTTCTTTATGGGAAAGTTTTTAATTGCAAATTCAATTTCTTTAACAGACATAGGTCTATTCAGATTTCATTGATTTTTCTCTTTTTTTGGTTTTCTATTTCATTGATTTCACTCTGAATTTTTTTCTTTTTTTGAGACAGAGTCTCACTCTGTCACCTACGCTGGAATGCAATGGCACGACCTTGGCTCCCTGCAACCTCCACCTCCCAGGTTCAAGCAATTCTCCTGCCTCAGTCTCCCGAGTAGCTGGGATTACAGATGCCTGCCACATGCCTGGCTAATTTTTGTATTTTTAGTAGAGACGGGGTTTCACCATGTTGTCCAGGCTGGTCTCGAACTCCTGACCTCAGGTTATCTTCCTGCCTCGGCCTCCCAAAGTGCTGGGATTACAGGCGTGAGTCACCATGCCTGGCCTTCACTCTGAATTTTATTATTCGCTTTTATCTGTTTACTTTGGGTTAAATTTGATCCTTCTTTTCTAATTTTTAAGGTGGAAACTGAAGTCATTGATGTGAACGTTTTCTTGTTTTGCAACATAGGCATGTAACACTATCAATTTCCCTCTAAGTATTGCTTTAGCTTTATCACATAAATTCCATATTTTTTTTTGTTAAAAATGTTTTACTTCCTGCTTTTACCCATGGCTAATTTAGAAGTGTGGTATTTCATTTCCAAATATTTGAGGATTTTTCAGGTATCTTTTTTCTTATTGATTTCTAATTTAATTGTAGTCAGAGAAAATTCTATTTATGACTTGAATCCTTTCAAATTTATCAAAACTAATAGGTTTGTTTTATGGCCCAGAATATGGCCTATCTTGGTAAATGCTCCATGTGCACTCGGAAAGAGTGTGATTTCTGCTGTTGTTGTTTTATAGATGTCAATTAGTTTAAGTTGGTTGACAGAGTTAATGTGGTAGCATCCCAAAATAGCAATATCTTTAGTCCCTGAGTCACACGTGAAGGAAAGCTTTTCAGGAAAGCCACAGAACAGGAGCACAATCACTGGACTTGGAATAAATGGAAAATGAACGTTTTTTGCATTGCACCATTGAGATCTAGGGTTTTAGCTTTTATTGCTCTAATATAGGACCTCGTTCCTGAAAGGCATTTTTCTAATATTTCCCTTTCTTCAGTGGAAAACAATATGAAACACAAGAGGGGAAGAAAGTGTCTTTTCCCATTGTAATCCTATAAAATTAGCAGTGGCCAGAATTAGACTAAAGACTGGGGTGGTAACTACCAGTCAAAAAATCTTAATCTTAATTTAAACATCTATCTACTCTTCTCACAAAGACTTGTCTCTCATTCTCATTTTTATACAAGATGTATTTTATCAGGAATTTGTTCATGATGACAGGGTGTTGGATCCAACACTTGGCTCAGGAAGGAGTTTGCAAATGGGGCATATGAATACCTTAAATCCTTCAGGGAAGGCTTGTTAAAACATGTGTGCTGTCTGTTTTCACCTTCCTCTCTGAGTTTCTCTCAGAATGGGATTCCACTATGTCCCTATTTATTGGGTGGGTGCGTGGGTGGGTGGGTGGATGGATGGATGGATGGATGAGTTGGGTATAACTAGGTTCCCAATCACAGAATACTTTTACCAAATCAGGACTTCAGCCCTCTGTAATAAGACAGATCAAACTTGTTCCAGTTCCCATTGGTTCATAAGACAAGAGTATTTAATTCCCTGACTGGTTGATCTATATAAATGGGGCCACCAGCAGACTAATGTCCAAAGCTGCAATGGTGAGCTAAGGTTTTTAAAAGTCCTGTCCTCACACTCCAGAATCCTCTCCAACTCATGGTTCCTGCTCAGTGTTCAACTGAGAGAGGCTCCTTGTTAAATCCTTGGGACAGAAACTTGTCTCCTGTAATATGGTGGATTAGGTATTGGAATTAGCCTCCCTGATGAAAGTAACTTTTTAAAAAATGGGTCAAATGTATTTTGTAAATCTTCCTAAAATCATGAAAGAGCTGAAAGGAGTTATCAGTACAAAGTAGAAGTAAAGGCTGAACCCCAGAGAGATATGGAATGCCGAAGAGACTTTTGTCCAGACAGTATTTGCCAAATCTGGACAATTTGAGCTTCAATGTTCACAACCTCATAGAATGTGGGAAAGAGAAGACAACGTCGAAGTCAACTCAAGCTTGAGAGTTTATTAGAAGACCCTCCTCAATCTCACCAAGACCCCAAAGGTCTATGCTCTATATGAAGCTGTGAAGTAAACTCTTCCGCCAACCCCCCACCATCCCCAGAAGATCTGAATTAACAGTTGCTCAGCGCTCAGCACATCAGAAGTGGGGGGGACGTCCTAGAAAAGTAGTAACCAAAAGCCAGCCCTCCAGTGAATATGCAGCTCAAAGTAAATCTCCCAGTGGTCCAAAATAAACACACTTTTAGTGCTCAGTGACCCACATTGGTAGTGCCCCCAGACACCTGTCAGTAATTCTCTGGAGGGATGCACACACAGCTTAAGCTACAAAGAGTGTCCAAAAATAATTTTCCAATAGAATTCCCAGGACAACACTTGGAGTCCCCATATGCTAGTCCAGATGCCCCCACTAACTCCAAATAATCTGAAATGTGTCCCTCCTACACCTTGGCCAGTGTGGAGGCGACAGAGCTAGGCTGGGCCTGGACTCCAGCACATCTTCGATTCATGAAGAAGAGGTTTGATAGAAAGTTATGGTGACAGCAAGATTCAGGGGTAAGATGATTAAAACCACCCAAGACAGCACCATTCTGAATCTCCCTCAAGTATTTCTGAGCACCAATTACTTAAATGCAATTGATTTGATTACAAATCATTCGTATCTATTGATTAGAATAATAAACAAATCTTAGCCTAATTCCAGTTACTATATATACTCAAAGGCAAGAAAACCACATCCGTGAAAATATAACCAATAATTATGTCTTTGCACTAACTTAGAATTTTTTTTTTTTTTTTTTTGAGATGGAGTCTCGCTCTGTTGCCCAGGCTGGAGTGCAGTGGCACTATCTCTGCTCACTGCAAGCTCTGCCCCCCAGATTCATGCCATTCTCCTGCCTCAGCCTCCCAAGTAGCTGGGACTACAGGCGCCCACCACCATGCCTAGCTAATTTTTTTGTATTTTTAGTAGAGACAGGGTTTCACAGTGTTCGCCAGGATGGTCTCAATCTCCTGACCTCGTGATCCACCCACCTTGGCCTCCCAAAGTGCTGGGATTACAGGCGTGAGCCACCGCGCCCGGCCTAACTCAGACTTTGATGCAGATGTGTCGTGTACACATGTGTACTAGAATGTGCACCAGGTTTTACACCATGTACAATACACATCTGTTCTAGCTTAGGGAAACCCTTTAGGTTTGCTTTTAAACAAATCTGAAGACTAAGATTTGGCTACAAGTTATTTCTTTGGGAGGTGCTTTCAGAAAGTAGTGTGAGGGTTTGGAAATTGAGATGAGAACAGAAGAAAGGTAACTTGTTAAGAGGTTAAAGAGCAATGCACCTCCATCCCAAAGGGCTCCTCTGTGAGACTCCTGTGAGCACACCTCAGAGTTGTGCTTTGGAAGGGTGAAAAGCGGGGGTACTTACCCACCAACTCCCATCCCTCATTGGTTGATGGCTGATCCTGGGATTGTTATCCCACCCTTCTGACCAGTTCTACTTGCAAGCTGAGCCACTCCCTTGGGCTATGCATGCACTGAGGCAGAGGGAAACAGCCACTGGCATTTATGGAACTGTCTGCAGGCACCTGCTGGAGTAGGCAGAGGGGATACAGACAGGCTGCCAACCATATCTGCACAAGGCTTATTCACTGAAGTAAATGGTCTACCCGGGAATGTGCTCCAACATTAGTCCACCTGACCCTGACATTAACCAAATGGGGAACCTAATGTGATGTGCACTAGTCACTCACTTATTTGCTCACCCAACCAAAATTTACTGTACAACCCTGTGTTGTCATTCTTGCATTGCTGTAAAGAAAAATCTGACACTTGATACAGAGTAATTTATGAAGAAAAGTGGTTTAATTGGCTCACGGTTCTGCAGGCTGCACAGGAAGCATGGCACCAGCATTTACTTGGCTTCTGGTGAGGCCTCAGGGAGCTTTTACTTATGACAGAAGACAGAAGAGGGGCAGGTGACTCACTTGGTGAAAACAGGGGCAACAGAGATCAAGGGGATGTGCCACACACTTTAAACAACCAGATCAGTTTGCAGGAACAGCACTAAGCCATGAGGGATCTGCCTGCATGACCCAAACACCCCCCACCAGACCTCACCTCTTACACTGAGGATTACATCTCAACATGAAATTTGGAGGGGACAAACATCCAAACTATACCAATCCCCTGTGCCCAGGAACTCTGCAAGGCATGGAGAGTGGAGCTGGGATTGAACATGTGTGGCCTCTGGACTCAGATTTTGTTTTCAATCGAGTGGGTGGGTGTTTCTCAGGCTCCCACACCTTTATTTTATGCCATGAACATTGAGGCTAGATGGTATCGTGGATAAAATCCTGGGCCCTGGAATTGAGGAGTGTGTGTTTCTGAGTCACTTGGGGCAATTCACTGACCTCCCAGAGATTCACTGTGTTTATTTGTAAAATAGAGATGTAATAATAGTTGGGAAGACTAAAGATGGCAATCCATGTAAAGTGCATGACATGACACCTGCCACTCTAGTACTAGATCTGCTGAAGAGGAGGCAGAGGAGGAAGAGCCAGTACCTACCTTTGGGAAGCTCAGAACTAGAAGGATAGGCATAGGAATCATAAAACTGATAATCATAAAACAGAGATATGGAGGGATCCAGGTGCTATTGCTACATTCAAACCACCTCAAAACGTCACAGCAGAAAGCAACTCATGGCATCTGTCCATGAGAAATTCAGGCAGAAGCTCAACAGGGAAGGCTGGGAGGATGACAGTGACTCAATGGCTGGGTTTGGAGTCATTTAGAGCATGGGATGCAAACTACAGTTTGTGAGCCGAATCCAGCCATGCCCATCTGTTTATATATTGTCTATAGCTATTTTTGCCCTATGACAGCAGAGTCAAATAGTTGCAAGAGAAACTGTACGGCCTGCAAAGCCAAAAATATTTGCTATCCAGCCATTTACAAAAATGTTTGCTGACCCTGGTATGGAAGTACTGCATTCACATGATTGGCAGTTGATGCTGACTGTCAGTTTGGACCCCAGCTGGACAGTCAGCTGGAACAGTGCACGTTACTTCTCCATGTGGTCTCTCAAGATGAGTTAATTTGGGCTCACTCTCAGTATGGTGGCTGGTTCCCAGAGTAAGCATCCCAAGAGAGCAAGGTGGAAGCTGCGTGGCATTTCAATGGCACAGCCTCCGAAGCCACACAGCATCAATCTACACTAGTCTGTTAGCCAAAGATTCACTAAGACTCAAGAAGAGATGACACTACCACTCACTGGAAAAAGTGACAAAGTCACATTGTAAAAAAGCATATGGAATGGGAAATATTATTGCTGCCCACTTTGGCAAATACAATATTCCATACACAGGGGCTTTTTAAAAGTGGATTGAAGCAGAAAGGAGGATACTTTTCGGGGATGCTTCCTAGAAGAGTTAGAACTTCAGCTGAGGCTAACCAGGCAGCTGAGCACCAGCCAGGCAAGACTTTACCTTTGGTGATATTCAAAGCTTCTCTATGGTGGTACAGATCCCAGATTCTGCCTGTGGAAGCAAGCCCCAAATACGGACAAGGAGGCGGGTACAGATGGGGGTCTCCAATCCCAGAGGATTCCTGGGCTACTACATGAGACAACAACAAAACAGACCAGGGCAAATGCCAGCAATAGAGATTTAGACTGACATGGGCTGGGAAGAACAGTGACATTGTGCCTGAAATGTTTAGCAAAATTAATGTAATTACAATAGGAATAACAACTAATATTGATTGAGCCCTCAATAGGGGCCAAGCACTGTGTAAATTCTTTTCACGAAGTTTCTTTTCACGCAGTTTCTTTTCATGCTCCCAAAAATCCAGTAATGATTTTTGGTTTTGTTTTTGTTTCCTGTTTTTCCTTTTGTTTTGTTTAATGTTGAACAGATTTTTTAAGACATTTATTTCAAGGCAAACATATCACAGGCCAAGACTCCAACTCCAGCCCTTTCCATACCTGTGGACAGAGGGTCACCTGCTAACAGAAATCCCAGGACCACTCTGACAGTGCGGTGGTATATCTCCTTATGAGGCCATTAGACACAGCTCACAAAGCCAGGCATGGCCAGAAATAAAGAGTGTTGTTTTTCACGCCTGGAGAACTAAAGTGCTTGACTTACAGGCTAAGTTTTCCTTGTGGCAACTCTTCTGAAATACAGCTGCAGCCTATTAGCTGGTAGCACGTGGGGAAAACCAGGCAGAACAAGGAAGTCCGCCTCTCCTTGGCTGCAGAGAACAGAAGTGGGTGGAGTAAAGTGAAGAGTCAGGCGTGGGCTGCTAGCGATGGACCCCCCACCCCTGGCCAGGCCTCCCATGACCCTCAGAACCCTGAATGATTGCCCTGAGCTCTCTGTATACAGCCTTCCTGCAAGTCCCAGCCTCAGGCAGCCAGTCCTGGAATGCAAGGAGCACGTGACTCCACTGCTGTGGGCCTAGACTCTGGGGCTGCCTCACACCATTACTTAACTCCTTCAAGGAGGGAAACACTGTGGGATGGGGAAGGCTGTCATCATGAACTCCTCAAGACTCTCCATGCCTGGGACTGGGTCAGCCATGGTCCATCCTCCATCAAAGCCTGGTGAATGAGCAGATGAAAGATTCCTTCACACCTGTTCTCGTCATGCTGCTCAGTTTATACTCAAAGCTTTAGCATGAAATGTTGGGAAAGCTGTACAGCTGGGTTTCAGTGCTTATTACTGCCTTCCATCCTGAGGTACCTGTGCCATCATCTCATTTCAGTGAAGGAGGGACCTTATGGAATCAAAGGCTTGGTGTTCCCTTCAGTACAGCCACTCAGCCTGTGGCCTGGATGTCAGCAGAGGCCCATCTGCAGCTGGACACCTGCCCACACCTGGCACTTGGAACGCAGAATGCTCCATCCAGTGAGTTAGGCTGGTCATTTGCAGCCAGTCAGAATCAAACCAAACATCTAGAATGCAAACCCCTGAGCCTGTTCGTCCGTATAATTAGTGATGCTTTTCTGAGAACTAAGCCTGAAGTGGATCAGATTCCATCCAAGGTAACTCTGTGGATATCTCATCTGAAGCTCTTCCTGTAAAAGAGATTTCAAGCGTTTCCTCCCACCCCATACCCAGGCTTAGACAATATGCTCCATTCACAGGCCTGGCCCTGTGCGACCTCATCACCCCTTGGCCATTGCTGATTGGACCAGGTGTTGCAGGCTGGGCCAATCATATTCTCCACCCAGAATGGTGGGAACTGAGACACAAAAACTGAAGCATTTGGCTGTAGAACACCATAATCCTTTCCTTTGCAGGAGGTGTCTCCATTTGTGATTATACACATAATTCTGTGATTATTTGATAAATTAATGAATCATTGAATTAATAAATGAACGAGCAGTTGAATAGCAAGGTCAGATGGAGGCTAGGCTAGAATCAACACAGAAAACTGAGAAAGAAGTCCACAAGGCTGAGAATTTGGGAGGCTTGCAAAGCAATCAGATCTCTAGAAAGGGAGATACAGCAGAGATGCAAGAAAAGCCCACGTATGGCTCCTGCATATGATTTTTTTCGAGAGACTCAGATGTCTTCAGTAAATCCTCTTTCTGTCTGGACTTATCTGAGTCACTTTCTATTCTCTGCAGCTGAATGTTTCCTAGGTTTCTACACTCCAGACATCTCTCTGCAAAACGAGATTGAAAGAGACTCAGTCTTCTACCCAGAAGATGCAGTGGCCTCCATGAGTACACCACAGCTGAATCTACACTGACCCAACATCCAGGAGAAGAATGCAAATACAGCTCCCCAGCCAGCAGATTGGCCTTTATTTTATTTTTTTGAGATGGAGTCTCGCTCTGTCGCCCAGGCTAGAGTGCAGTGGCACAATCTCGTCTCATTGCAACCTCTGCCTCCCAGGTTCAAGCGATTCTCCTGCCTCAGCCTCCCAAGTAGCTGGGATTACAGGCGCCCGCCATCATGCCCGGCTAATTTTTGTATTTTTGTAGAGACAGGGTTTCACCATGTTGGCCAGTCTGGTCTTGAACTCCTGACCTCAGGTGATCTGCCCGCCTCGGCCTTCCAAAGTGCCGGGATTACAGGCATGAGCCACCTTGCCCGGCCCAGATTGACCTTTAAAAACATGAATGTTGGAAAGCATCCTGGGGACAGAATGAACGATTTGCATCACCACTGAACTCAGGCCTGAGTGAAAGACAGTCTGGCTTCTGCAGTGTGTCATGGATGTCCCAGTTCTCCAATATGAGAGGGAACTGCACCTTTCTTCCAGGCAAGTCTGAAGGCTGGAGAGAAACGGTGGTACCAGAGGCTACCCCTTGGATCTCATTAGCTAAGTGGACCTGATGACAGGTGTTGCTGGCACTCCTCAGGAGGAATTCAGGTTGCATCCTTCACTGCAGGAACAAGTCATTCACACCAGATCCATCTCCTTGTACCACTCTGCCACTCTCTGACGGGGCCGCCGCCAAGTGAGGTAGGAATATGTTCACATTTGTGTTTGCAAACTGTCACCTTTATAAAACAGGCAGCTTTTTTCTATTACAATTAAAAACACTTATGTCAAGTTTTGCTTTTAATTAAATCCTGTGCCTTCAACTTGCTAAAGAGCAAGAGGGACAAGTGGCCTGTGTGGTGCCAGAGAAAAATAAGAAGTCTTATAGGAGCTTCCAAGAAGACTGAAATTTGCTCTGAGGGCTGCTGTTCCTAGTTGGAGGCAAAACTTAAAATTCTGTAGCCTTCACTCAGGGAGCTAGGTGAAAACATGGGGAATTTGGAGATCACTGTGATTACCAGCCCTGCACTTTTTTCTTGCCAGTAAAACTCCACCCATTCTTCATCAGGTGGAGATGCTTGGACCCCAGGATATCATTCCACTCTAATATGACTCAAAGAGATCTGCTAAAGGAAAGTTTTCTCTGACCTTATGAAAAAGAGGCACTTGAAGAGAAACTGTCTGCTCCCACACTGGCTCCTGCTTCCTGCCCCTGACCATGGTGTAAGGATGTGATGATTGAAGCTATGACAGCTATTTTGTGACCATGAGGGCAACGCCAAGAGAATCACAGGGAGGCCAGCCCAGAGATGTGACATTGTTGAGCTGCTGAACCAGGACCAGCATCTTCATACCTCTAGACATATTGTTATGTGAGAAGAACACATCCTTGCTTATTTAAGACAACTTTGTTACATTTCCTGTTACTTGTAGCTACAAAAAAAAATTTTTCTTTTTTTTTTTTTTTTAGACGGAGTCTTGCTCTGTTGCCAGGCTGGAGTGTAGTGGCGTGATTTCTGCTCACTGCAACCAACCACGCCCGGCTAATTTTCGTATTTTAGTAGAGACAGGGTTTCACCATGTTGGCTAGGATGGTCTCGATTTCCTGACCTCATGATCTGCTCACTTCAGCCTCCCAAAGTGCTGGGATTACAGGCATGAGCCACCACTCCCGGCTGCTACAAACATTCTTAATTGATATAAGGCATGAATCAAGCAGCTGAGTCCACAGAAGGGAAAAGGAAAAGTAGCATTACCTCTGAACCTACTTCCAACTACACTAAGAACTACTTCCAACTAAACCCCTTGCCTGATCCCCATGCTCCGTTCCATGTCAGTCTTCTCTAGTCTTCTCTCATTCTGTATTCCAGCCACAGCAGCAGTCTTTCCGTTTCTCCAGGGCATCATACTAGCCCTTGCCTCAGGGCCTTCACACAAGCTGTGCCCTCCATCTGAAATGCTCATCCCCTGCTCTTTGCCTGTCTGTCTTCTTCACATACTGTCATCATTCAGGTCTCAGATCAAATGCTACCTCCTCCCAGAAGCTTTCCCTGATAATCCATTTTAAAGCAGCCCTAATTTTCTGCCTGGGACATATTTCTCTCTGGACTATATTTATGTGTTGACTTCTTCACTTTCAGTCTTTCCAATCAACCCTGTGATCTAACAATAGCAGCTCTGTGAATTCATTTGCCATTATTTTCCCCATGTTTAGCACATGCCTGATACATTTTAGTCCCTCACATGCTTGAATAAAGGAAGGAAATACTATTTACTGTGATAGTCACTCTTCATTTGTTAGCACACTGCATTCTCTCCATCTGCCCAGGAGGTGAGAATGCTTGTCCCCATTTCACGGATGGCAAAACCAAGGTCCAAAGAGTTTTAATAATGTATCCAAGATATCATAGCCAGTAACTGATGGGTCATGATCCAAACACTGGTCTTCTCGTCCTGTGTACTCTCCTCTGCATCAGAATTGCTTCTGGCTGAGCTTTGTCAACTTTATCAGGGGATGATGGGGCAGCATTTCCGAACGTGGTCTTGAGGAATCCTGGGCCTATTAGCAGCTTCACAGACAGAAAATAGGGTGCAAATCCTCCATGAGCTGCTGAATTCAAGCATCAAGTCCAGCAGTACGAATC
Organism: Homo sapiens; assembly: GCF_000001405.40. Classification (NCBI taxonomy): domain Eukaryota; kingdom Metazoa; phylum Chordata; class Mammalia; order Primates; family Hominidae; genus Homo; species Homo sapiens. The sequence goes on along the minus strand of NC_000020.11, from coordinate 39,230,696 downwards.
GCTTGAACCCAGGAGGTGGAGGTTGCAGTGAGCTGAGATCCCGCCACTGCACTCCAGCCTGGGCAACAGAGAGAGACTTTGTCTCAATAAATAAATAAATAACAAAAAAGAAGCAAACACATTTTATTTGGTGATGAAGAATCTTTCCAAAATTCCCCAATCTACCTGACAATTTACTACAGATGAACACTCTGGTGGGGTCTTCCTTTAAAGAATGAGGTTTGTATAAGGCCTCTGTAGCTGCTCTACCCTGGGCCCCAGGGATCTCTGACATGCCCAGTAGATGGTGAGGCAGAATAAATCAGAAAAAAGTGCTAACATTTGGACTTGATACATGCCAATGCCAGAATATCTCACCACGGTGATTCTGCAATGCAAAGCTGCCATGAGCTGTTGCACAGGTTTTGCACTGCACAAATCTAGGGGCTGCCTATGTATTATGTAAATGGAGCCCTCAGTGGTATACAGGGCAAACCTACCCAACCACACATTGCATCTCTGACCATTAAGACCTCTGATTAGTTTGTTGGTGTTTGGTTTTTGTTTAATACAGATTTCTGGGCCCCACACCCAGGTCTTAAGCTGGGAATTTTTACTCATATGATACCCCTGGTGTGTATGATGCAGGTCATCTGCAGACCACCGAGAAACTCTCCTAGAAATGGTTATGACTGGATTTTACAGTAACTCCAAGACAGGAGCTGGTATCCCTAATCTTCATTCCCTTCTCCGAAACAGAAAGAATGAAAAACAATCGTAGGAATTCAGAGCCCTAGTGAGCCGACTCTCTCAATGTGTTTCTGTTATGTCCTGGCAAAAAGAAGCAGCTAAATTCTGGATCCCGAAAATAAGAAGTCAAAAGTTGCCTAAGTATGAAAGAAATTCTGTTGTCTAGAGCAAGGGGATGGTCTTCATTTCAGGGGAAACCCTAGAGTTGGCAAAACCCCTTCAAAATGATTCAGTGGGAAGGTGACTGCTAAGCAGAGGCCCACGCACCCCACTGCACAGAGATGGCTGCTGTCTACAGTCACCAGGATTAACTGCTTGCTGCCTCAACTGCTCAATATGCTTCAGTTCAATCTGCTGGAGGATTTTTTTTCTCCCTCCCAGATATATATCTTTGACTTCCTAATGGAGGCCAAGTGGAACTAGGATTTGTTTCACAGTCATTTTGCTTAATGCATCCTTATCCATATGAGGGGAGAAAGTGTGTTATCATGTTTATCCATACAAGGAAGGATGAACTCAAAGGGTGTCTAAATTTTCTAGTCATCTGAGTCATATGTCCCTAACATACACAACATGTTTCCCCCTTCCGCTGCATCTCTGTTTATGACACTTCCCTGGAGGAGCATCCTCAGAACCCTCTCTGCTTCTTTAAATCTTTTTTCATCTTTTCCAGGCGCCACACAATTGATATTTCACAATAAGATATTCCCAGATTTATCCCAGTGAGAGTTAACTGCTCTTTCCTTAGCTCTCCAATTACACAGTGCCCCTCAGTCTTATCCCAATCTGCCTTGGTGTGTGGCTGGCCAGCTGTGTACATGCCTGTCTCTTTTGCTAGAGCATAAACTCTGTCTGGGTAGGGCTTGTGCCCAGGTGGGCACTGAGGAAATGTGTGCTGAAGACAAGCATGCCACATATGACTAAATGCAACTTTTAGTGATGTGGCAATATGATAGGGTCTCATTAGTTCATATTAATTTGAGGAGATCTCAATTAATGAGAAACTGGGGTAATTTAAAAGAGCAATAGCAGCCGGACGCAGTGGCTCATGCCTGTAATCCCAACACTTTGGGAAGCCAAGGCGGGAGGATCACAAGGGTCAGGAGACCAAGACCACTCTGGCTAATACGGTGAAACTCCATCTCTACTAAAAATACGAAAACAAAATTAGCCAGGCATGGTGGCAGGTTCCTGTAGTCCCAGCTACTCGGGAGGCTGAGGAGGGAGAATGGTGCGAACCCGGGAGGCAGAGCTTGCAGTGAGCCAAGATCGTGCCACTTCACTCCAGCCTGGGCAACAGAGTGAGACTCTGTCTCAAAAAAATAAATAAATAAATAAAAAGAAAAAGAAAAAGAGCAATAGCTTATTTAACTTAGAAAGTCAGATAGAAACTCAAATTAGCCCAAGAGTATTGCTGAAGAAAGACCTTACCTTCTGAATCAGTAAGGATGAATAAGTAAGAACATATTAATTATAGCTTATCAGTTAGGCAACAGCAGGTTCTCTGGGCTGCTTCACTTAGGCAGTCAGGCCTATGGATTAAGAGCTAGCATGTAAAGTTGGCTCGACCTGGGCTTTAGTTTTCACTAAACCACATACCAGCTGCAGGGCTTTGGGCCAGCCACTTAACTCTCTAACCCTCAGTTTTCTCATCTGTAAAATGGAAATAATAATTTCTTCCTCCTAGGATTATTATGAAAAGAAATTATGTCTGTAATGCATGTCCCACTGTACTGGGCACATTGTAAGTGCTCAATAAAGGTCACTTGCCATTATCATTATTATTTAATCTGTGAGAGGAAGAGATTTTCTAAATTTAAGAACAATTTTGACCCTACTCTGTACCTGTCCTGAAAGGTTGGGGGTAGGGGGAGGGGGGAAACAACAACAACAACAAAATAAAACCTCATCAGACTGTCAAGCCTCAGGACCCGGATGTCAAGGACTTACTATGACCTGCTCAGCCAGTGGGGCAGGCTTGCAAAGTGACAGCTGGCAAAACAGTCCCCGTACACATTTGTCCCATTTTCCAATCACTAATACTCTCCAGAAATCAAGGAGATTAGCCCCTTTTTCCAATGCCCTCATGAGTGAAAACCAAGAGAATTAGAGTTGGCTTCACCCAAACACAAGCTCCCAATATGCAGAAACTCCAGCAAGCTAGGCTCAATTTCATAGAGACCCAAGTCCCCCCTCTCCTCCCCAGCCAGCACATTTTAAAGACACAAAACCAATCAATAGGGAGCATTCAGAGAGTTGCTGCCAGTGGCTAGAAGAGAATAGATACCAAGAAAGTCATAACGATGATAAATCCGGGCTCCGCTCCTCTCTGACTAATGTAGGCACTAAAACACACCATGAATATCCTGCTTTGAAACGTGTCACGCTTCTGAGGGACCAATCAATCTCTGGCTCTCGGTGGACCACATTAAAATAAATTTGTCACTGTGAGTTTATGAAATATTGATGGTGTTTTTTAGTCACGGTGTTAGGAGGTGGAAAGGTGTATCTGAAGAGGGAGGCAGGGAGTGGGAGAGCTGCTTTAATGAATTATCTCCAGGCTAAGAAAGGAAACATATGCAGAGACTGGAGGAAGATGAAGCATGGAAGAAAATACATTGGCGTGGAGAGCAAAAAGCTTCCAGAATGAGAAAGTCCAGAGCAGTGATGTCTGAGCTGTGTTCCAAAACACACAACTAAATGGCTACTCTTGGGAGGGACTTGGGCAAGAATGGGGGTTTTCCTGGTAAAATCTGGGAAACTGTATACTCAATCCAAGTCTTGGAGAGACAGGTGCACAGTAACATGTTAAAAGTTCTGAGAAGTCCTGCAGTGCAAAAGCTCATTTAACTTTGTTTAACCTAATATTTCCCAAACTTATTTAACATGGCAAAACAAACACCTTACTGAACACTAAAGTTCTATGTAAACCAGTTTGGAGATACTGGCCTACATCCTTGCAACGCAAAGTGTGGTCCATGAACAATCGGCATCATATCACTTGAGAGCTTGTTAGCAGGCTCCGTCCCAAACTGACTGGATCAGAATCTGCATTTTAACAAGATCCCAGGTGATTTATGCACAGTGAAGTATGAAAAGTGCTAGTTTAAGTGACTCACCAGAGAAAGAAGACTATACAGGACAAGCTAAGATATGCCTGGTAATGAAGGGCTTCTGTTTGTAATCCTGACCATGGCCTGCACAGCAGGACCCAGGGGACTCTATGCCCTCATCCAGCATTGGGGCTGTTTACCAGCTGAGCATTCACTCGCACTGGCAGAAACTCAGAAGGCATTTTTAAAATCAGGTATGCAGTGACCTCTCTTGAAACAAGTGGAAATTATAGACACCCAGTGGTCTTTTCGTATTTGCAAAACCAAGAAACAGAAATACCTCCACCCGCGCTAGAAAAGCTGAATTCAGGTCATCAGCCTGCCCAAACCTCACCAGAAGCCTCAGGCTTGTCACTTGGCCTCTAAAGACATGTACCCCAGTGAGAGTTAATACTCTATTCTCAGCTCTTGATTTTATCACAATCTGCCTTGGCACATGGCTGACCAACTCTGTACATGCCCGCCTCTTTTGCTAGAGCATAAACTCCTTCTGGGTAGGGTCTGTGCCCAGGTGGCCACTGAGGAAATGTGTGCTGAAGGCAAGCATACCACATATGACTTACTGCTGGTATCTGCATGTGGAAACTGAGGTGAAGAAAGCCCAGGGATCTCAGCCAGACTACTACTTCTGCATAACAGGTGGGCGCTCAGACTCTGCAGGGGATGGACACATCCCAGCTCCACTGCTTACTTAGCTCTGTGACTTGGCAAGTGACCTCACCTCTCTAAGCCCCAAGCCCCAGCTGTCTTGTTCACCTTTGTATTCCAGTGCCCAGCACATGTCTGGCACATAGAATCACTGAAAACATGCTTGATGCATGAATGAATATACTGTTGAATCTGTGCAGTGGGGACATGACTATTTCCCACCTTTTAGCGTTATTGAGAGAATTCATGGAATTGGGTCAGGAAGGTGCACATCGCAGACACTCAAAACGAGTCTCTGCCTTATTTATGTATTGGACAGTCCCATGTGGATGACAGAGGGAATTTTTAAGTTTTTGCTTGTGCTTTGGCAGCGTGAAGAGAATCTGATGCTGGGCTTTGTTAATTAGTGATCAGTTCTCTGGTAGATCAAGGAGGCAGAACAGGATTCTGCTCCCTCTGGTGGCTTCTGAACTTCTTTGTTCCTCAGAATTGCCCTCTCCTTTCCCAGAAGGGAACTGGTGGGCAGGAACCATGCCACACCCTGCAGAACAACTCCCAAGGCCTCTTGACCTTGGTCCACGGACCCTCAATAATGACCCTGACCCTGGAGGTCCGTTTTGGTCCACTGACCCTCAAGAATCTCCACTGACCCTGGAGAGTCAGCTGGGGAGAGTATCTGGTACTTTTCCTTCAGCAGCAAAAAAAGTGTCAAGAAAGCAGCTACTGGCACCCATGGAGGTGGCTTTCTTCCTTCTTACAGACCACAGGGCCAGGACAGGACCAAGGCTCAACACACTGCTGGACTCCTCTGCTCCCTCCGCAGGTGTCTGAGCACACCCAGCTTCAATCCATTCTTCCCTTAAACCCTCAGCTAATTACTCTGAGTCTCAGTATTCTCCTCCATATAATGGGAAGAAATGAGGTCTACCTAATAACGTTGTGATGAAGATTAAATGAAATAATGCCTGTCATTGATTATTGATTTTGATCAATGGATGTTGGGCTCAAATGAACCAAGCACTCAAGAAGTGGTATTAATCATGCAATTGGGTATTGTCATTTTAAGGATTCTTTCTGACATCAATACATGGCAAAGAAGACATGCAACAAAGTTTACCAAAGGAAAGAAGGAAGGATCCAATACATCAACATAAAACAGAATATACTGTTTGAGAAATAGAAATAAAAACAGTATTAAAAACTAGGAATTATTCAGTGTGTACTACATAACCGGCAAAAATGCTAAAACCACTTAAATATGCTATTTCATGTAATCCTTAAAAATAATCTCATTAGATAGGCATTATTGTGATTCCAATTTTAGAAATGAAGAAACTGAGACACAGAAAGGTTAAGTAACTCACCTAAAGCCACACAGCTAGTAAGTGGAGGGGCTGGGATTCAAACTCACGTCTTTCTGACATAATAAAGTAAGCCCTGGGCCACAAAGTTATATCACTCAGTTCTTTAGAACAGCTAAAACTGCATCCAATCACTGTCTCTTGTACCAATCTAAAATCAGTGCCCAGAAGACTCAAATTTTACTGGAAAACAAAAGGGAAGCCAAGTGTCCTGAGACTGCTAAATTCCACCAACCACCAGACAGCTCTCTACAACAAAGAGTTAATTGGCAGCTGTGAGACTTGAGGCAGGTGAGTAAATCTTTCTAAATCTCTCTTTTTTTAATGGCGTACAGAGTCATGGTAAAAATTTGGGTAAACTGTCTAGTAAACCAGCCATGTTCCTGCATGTATTTCCAACGCCAGGAGCAATGGTGAGTTCCTGGGATACAAGGACCAGCAGAGCAATCTCCTTTGCCTGGCAACTTCACAGACCAGAAGGAGGAGGATACTATTGTGACAGCACAGAGGATGGAGCAAACAACTGTATAATGATGGAGAGGAGAGTGCCATCAGGGAAGGCTACATCTAAGAGGGCTCTTAAAGGGTGAATAGGAGTTTTCCAGGTGGATAAAAGAGCAAGAAGCACTTTCAGGGAAGACTGTAGATATGAAAGTGTTTTATAAATGGTAAAATGTGATTGCATTTGCCTCAATAACTGGGCAACACCATGTCACGAACAGACCAGTTTAGCCTATGCATCCAGGTTTAGAAACCCTTCGTTGTCATCCATTGTGACCTTCAGCCCCACTATAAGATTCATTTCCATAGTCCCACTACTGAAGTGATAGGATTTCTGACACACTCCAGCTGTGTCACCAGGGAGGAAGGTTATGCTGGTTAGTTAAGCAGTAGACAGTCTCCAGCAGTTAAGTGACAAAATCAGCTCAACCAAGTGACTGTCATTATATTAACACTCCAAGTAAATGACTAACTGACTGCTTGACTTTTCAACCAAGCATGCTGCAACATCTTTACAGATTGCAGATCTATTTAGCCACCTCTGTGCCTGAAACCCTTAGAAGGCTCTTTCTGAGAAGTTTCTACATGAGCCATAAATGTGTGCAAAAGCAAAGGAGAATCAAAGCGGTCCCTTGATGATCAGCTGCACATGTGCCTAATACCCCAACATGGAGCTTTGGTCAGGTCAGAAGAGAAGTCCAAGAGACCCAAGGCATGGAGACTGAGCCCCTGCCAGCTGGTAGCTGGGGCCTAAAGTACCTGGAAGAAGTAACTGGCTGGTACCTGGAAAAAGTCAGTCCAGGAAAATGTGTGAGAAAAATGGCAATATCTGTAGACTACAAAGGACCTGTGTTCTACCAACTAACTCCTGGTAGTAGATTGTATTATTCTTCAAAATATTCACTATCTTTTGCAGGGAAAAATTCTATGTCTTCCATCCCACTTAGGGTGGATTTGGCTATGTGACCTGGGCTGACTCTTCTTAGGAGAGGGTTACATAGCCACTGAGATTTGGGCAGTGTTTGTTACCACAGTGGAACTTAGGCTGAGCTGATATATCCACCCCGGCTCCTGGAATTAATTTTTGCAAAGAATGACTGTGAGCATTTTTAACATACAGGGATGCCACCCCTAGTAAAGAGGCAAGGTCCAAAGAATTTCCAGGAAATGTTCATCAACTTCTCTACACTCAGAGCAGTGGTCCTCAATCAAGGTCTATTTTGCCCCCATGAACATATGACAACATCTAGGGATATTTTCAGTGGTCATGACCAGGAGGCTGTTACTGGAATCTAGTGGGTAAAGACCAGGGATGCTGCCAAACATTCTACAATACACAGGACAGCTCTCTACAACAAAGAGTTATCCAGCTCCAAATGTCAATAGTGCTGAGGCTGAGAATCTCTGCCTCAGAGAGAAACCAGGAAAGGGGTAGAAAGAAGTGGGCTATATATCGTATTTAACAGCAAGAGCATGTAACATCTACATGCCATTATTGAATTTACAAAGTGTTTGCTCATACATTCTTTCACTTCATGTTTATGATACTCCTGAAGGATTCATATTTTTATCCTATCTCATCAATGGGGTAACAGAAAGCCAAGCAAAAATCTTACCTAAGGGCATATTTGTAAGTGGAGGGTCAGAATTCTAGCCCTGTCTTGCTACCCTACTTCCCTACCATGTTTCATTAAACCAGAGCTGTTTACAATGTCATTTCCTCCAGGATGTTAATCAATACTCTGTCTCTCATTCAGGGGCAGTGTCTCAAAGACAGATTTGGTTAATTTCTAAATCTTTCTAATCCCTTTGAACATGGGGTTCAGCAAAACAGACATACTGCTTGGTTCATTTGTTTTGATAAGGATAGCTTTGTTGTAATTATTTATGGCAATATCAAGTGCAAACTAATCAATTACCCTGGTACATCTTGTCAAAGTAACAATGCCTTGGAGAAGTCTCTAAACTACTGACCTCTTAAATCTTTGCTGAGAAGTGGAACAAAACCACGGCAGGGATTCTTGGTGGAAAATCAACTATTGCCCAACCAATTAGCCAACCCACAATGCTGAATGCTCTCTACTGGAGCATTCCAGTGATGCATGAGTTTTCTTGCTGCATGGTTCTAATCAACAAAGGCTGGTAAAGAGAAAGGCATATCAACAGTGGGAAAACTGTCATCCAAAAATACCAGTGCAAGTCAGACAATTTCCAAAGCAAGTTGTGCAGTTCCTATTGAGGTCCCATAGCTCATTTGTAGAGAGAACAAAACTAGAGACCATTCACATTAGTCATCTGTACCCTACCCATTGCCAGGGCTCAGACAAACCTTCCAAATCCATCCAAAGACTTCTCACTACTAATCCTGACAGGTAACTATAGCCTAAAGGCTAGAGAGAAGATAACAATGATAGACATGAATCAATAAGTATTCTTATATTGGCATATGGCTAAATATAATTCTTCATCAATATAATTATCTATTACATTTTACAGTGATTATTGTGATTATTACTGCACTTGGAAGCTGCTTTTATGGCAATGTATTAATCTGGTAGAAATTAAAGAACTGAGTGAGAAGTACACGAAATATGTGTGATCCCAGGAATAGATGTGAACGTAAACTTTTTAAGCTACCTATTTATGACCTTAATTTCTGACAATAATTTTGACACAAAGTAATAAAAAGGGACAAGGTAGAGTAGACAGAGCCCATTGGATGTGGAAAACTGATAAGACGTTGGGGTCTTCCATCAATTTCTTGTAACAGTACTTAGCCTCTTGCAGAGATGAATCCACTAATTTGCATAGTAGATGAAGAGCCTGCTCTGTAGCAGATGCTCTTGACATCCTGCCTAATATCCCCTTGGCCCACCTGGGTTACCTGCAGTGGCAGATGGAAACATTTCCAGGACACTGGCACTTCCCACCTCTAATGCCTCTTCCTACGTCTTTCTTCTCTGCCTAAGGGCTTTATCTATCACTCCTTGAGTGTGTTGACCTGCTGCAAGCACAAATGTCCCCAGAAGCAATCTCCAAATGATGGGGTAGAGGAATCAGTGGATAGATGTCCCAGCCTCCCCCCTCCAGTGGGAAGACTTTACAGTGTATACCACACACTATTTCAGTGGGTCCCCAGCAGAATTGACCCCAAGTGGCCCACAGCTATAATCTTACACTCACCAGCATGCCACTTGTTTGGCTTGTTTGGCTTTTCTCCTCCCCTGTTCTTCTTTCCCTACTTCTCCATTTTCTGGGATCATCCTCCAGATAAACAAATGAGCTTGCATCCAACTCCTCCTCTCAGAAGGATGTGAACTAAGACCCTACCCTCCTATAAAATAAAAACAGAACTCTAATCCTCCTTGAGGTTCAAGGATATTTTTTTAAATGTATGATAGACTAGGGTGAACTGGAATAAAGCCAGGGGGCAGGGAGGAATCATGATCTGGAGAACAAACGCTGAGAAGGAAGAGACACAAAAATAAAGAGGCCAACACAGCCTTGAATGCCTAAGGGATGAAGGGAGTCTGCCTCCATGTAGATGGATGAGGCTAATTCCAGCCTTCCACTTGACCTAAACTTCCCCTTCCAGCCCAATTGGTTGGGCAATAGATGATTTTCCACCAAGGATCCCCACCATGGTTTTGTTCCACTTCTCAGCAAAGATTTAAGAGGTCAGTGGTTTAGAGACTCTCCAAGGCAAGTGGAAGCAGCAGCTGCTACCCAGTGTTTATTACTTCTCTTTAGTTTCCTCTAAGAAAACTGCCTCTCTTCATTGTGCATATCTTTGGTGGGAGGGTTATTAGAGGTGACCACTTCAACTTTGGGACACCAAAGAGAAATGATCCTCCTCCTTCTAGCCCAGTACAGTCAGGAGTAGGGGCAGGCTTGTGGAGGAAGGTTAGAAGGCTTACACTCTCCATGGGGACTTCTAATCTAGGGAGAAAAAGGAAGAGGTGGAAAGAAATGGCTAGAGTCCATTCATTGCTGCATAGCACAGGGGCCCCAACCAGATCCTTCTTTCCATAAAACAATTGCTGGGAGTCCCGATTCATATATCTACAGAGCTCTTAGCTAGCCTGGTCCATGATGCCTAACAATTCTGAGATCCCGAACATCCTGCCAACAGATTTCCTTTCACCTAAATGCAGTGAAGTTTCTTTCTGTTTTTATAACCCGGAATCTTAATTGTTATTTGCATATTTGCAATATGAGCATTTGGGGTGGGAAGCTGTGTGGGGGCGGGGAGGGATAAGGAAGTAGGGAGAGCGGAAGGGAGGTAGGAAGTAGGAAGGGAGGGAGACCACTGAAAAAGTTTTAAAATCTAAGAATAAGAACTGGAAAATATTTTTGGAGCCTGGACGGTTTTGCAATGAGACATTCATCAAATGAGCATAAATCAGAAGGAGGAAGTGTTCTTTGTCCTTGTCACCTCTTGGAACCATTATTGCCTGGATAGTTAAAGGAGATGCACCTTGAAACCACTAGGAACACACAGCTGCAACAGAGCCTTCAAATTACAAAGTCCCAGTGCAACTAACCACAGCATACAGCATCCAGCATCCCATAACAAAGGAAAGTCCTTTTACTCACTCCACAAGAGGGATGACAGCATCAGAGCTGGGTACACGAATCCAGTGTTAGGGTCCACACCTGAAACAGCTACACTTGGAGGTGGCATTGCTGGTAGCACTCTCAGGGAGATAAAACAAGATGCTGTAATGTCAGGGTGTGGCGTAGTCATCCCAGGTTTATCTGGAAAAGGAGAGAATGACAACAGGACTGATTTATGAACACATGGAAGCTTCTCTAGAAATCCCCCAAGCCATTTGGAAAGCAGAAGCATGGAAGAGACTGACCTTTCCACAATCAAGTAGGTGGGATTTGGAGCTTCCCAGCTCTTTACTGCAACTGCATCCAGTGGACTAACCAAGGCAGAGTATTTGGGTCAATGTCAAAGGCAGAGTTCTTGAGTAAAATGCCTGGCCCCCCTGAACTTCAGTTTCCTATTCTATAAATTATATCACCATCTATCTCATTAGGCTCTTGTAGGGCTTCAGGGAGATGACATATATGTATTTAATAATACATATTGTTGTTGATATATATTGTTGTATATTGTATATGTTGTTAGAGCCTCATCTCAAATATGCACTGAACTAAATCTTAGATTAATGATTTACATGAAAGAAGGAAACAGAAGCTCAGACAGACGGGGCTGAGAATGTGATGCATGCCACCCCAAGATCACCAGGCTGAGCCAGATGACTTTATGAGCTGGACAGCAAACCATCTTTCATAGCTGCTCCATTTTCCTCCTTCCCAAAGCTGCAGTCTCATTCAAAGAGGATTCCCTCTCCCAATAAAGGAGGCCTGTTCTGCTATTGAGGTTAGGGTAAGGAGCTCTGTGCCAAACCCACCAAAAACTCAGCTCAGCCTCTGGGAGAAAACTGAAATCAATATTGATCTAATCACAGAATTCACTAAGAATAGAAGCGAAGAAATAAATTTCAAAAAATATTGATAAACCTAACTATAAAAATTAAAAATTCAACAACATACTGAGAAAAAAAAAATTCCAACATGTATGATGAAGAGTTAATATCCTTAAGGTTACGGGTTAGATCACTCTTAAAAGCAGTAAGAAAACAAACGCTGAGTTAGGGAAACATGATCCACGGACAGACAGAGAAAGTTCATGTAAGAGGAATGATAACCAGGAGCAGTGGCATGCACCTATAATCCCAGCTACTTGGGAAGCTGAGGTGGGAGGATCACTTGGGCCCAGGAGTTCAAGGCTGCAGTACGCTATGATTACACCTGTGAATAGCTACTGCACTCCAGCCTGGACAACACAGCCAGACCCTGTCTCAAAAAAGGAGGAGAAGAACCATAAATTACAAAGATTTAAAAGGTTCATCCTACTAATAATCAAATAAATGCTAATTAAGACAGCAATGTGATTTCATTTGTAATCTATTAAATTTGCAAAGATTAAAGAAACTCAATGTTGGTGACAGTTGAGCAATCTAGGCACTCATCGATTGCAAGTGGGAGTATAAATTAGTACAAATTCCTAAAGGGTAATTTGGCAATCTGTATCAAGGATGCTGAAAAATTATTCATGCCTACTTAACAATTTTATCCTAAGGAAATAATTAGAAATGTGAACAAATATTTATTCACAAATGTGTTCATCATAATATGACTTACGGTGGCAAACAAATGGATCAACCTGACTAGGAAACAACAAAGAAATTAGTAAATAGCATATGGTTCACCCATATTGTGGAATATTATGAAGTCAATAAAGAACATATTTTGGGATACATTAAAAAACAGGTTACAGAACAATATATAATATGACCCCACTGTGTAAGAAATGAAATTATATTTACACATATTGTGTATGTATAGAAAAAGGACTGATGTTTTCTACTCCAAAATGTTTGTTGTGGTTACCCTTAAGAAGTGGGATTATAAAATTAATAGAACTTACACCTGCATGATGTTAGCGGCAAGAAATAAGGAGGACTGATACATGGACCCAGTCAGATGGAAACTCAGAACCTTCAAAATGCAGGATTTTTTCTTAATGAGACTCTGACCTCATGAGACTGTAACATTTGGGTTACATAAATTTAAAAATGGATAAAGGGATATGAAAGTAAATATGAGGGAAATTTTTAATTAATACAGAAAATACTGCACAGCTATATACCAATGGTCTTGATTTAAAAAAAAACCTGTAATTTCCTAGAAAAATCACAATGTTATAATGACCAAAATTAATTAAATAATATTAGGAAATCTGAATACACTGATTCTGATGGAAGCTCTGGCCTATAAAGTAGGAGGCAGAAATAAGTGGTTAACTACTGAAAATAAAGAATCAAAACAGGTATCATTTGCAAATGTTATTACTGTAAATTTAGAAAACATAATACAAGAATTTGATAAACTAATGAATTTATTATATCTCATTAGATGACAAGATACAAAATAAATGTATATAAATCTATACTTTCCCAGACTTTCACTGACTTTTATAAGTGAAAAATATTCAATCCATAGTAGCAAAGTCATTGAAAATTACTCAATTACTCAGTGCTCAAAGAGCAGTTACCCTTAGTATCAGGGTGCCATGTTGTTTTTCCTAATTCTAAGCTCTGTATTTTAAGAACTTTAGAAGTAACATCATCATCTGAAACATATTGAAGAAAACCAAGGTTTTGTCCTCATTTCCTATTTGATTAAACTCAAGCTTTTGTTTTTTCCCTTGTTTTGAAATTCCCTATTAATGAAACTCGGACACTTGGAAATCAGCCATTGCTTTCCTTAGACCTTATGTAAATATCTGAGTGGTGGTTCTCCAGGACATAAAAATTGGTCACCCAGGCTCTCCCATCTTTGAAACTTCAGCAGTCTATTGCAATGTCAAAGCAATAACAACACTGTCACAGCTCATTCTTCTACCTGTGGCTAGAAATTGTCTTTTGGCATTTTTTTGTGAGGTACCTTCTGAATTCAAAGACATTAAAACATGTGAGACAGGGAAGCATGCATCTTGGAATTAAGGAAGGGGGTTATCCTAGAAATTTAACAAACATGATCAACTTATGTAAGATCCTATGAGTAGAAGAAAGGGAAATCAAATCTGGTTGCACCTACCAAACCAGTGACGGGGATATTTTGTGATAAAGATTCTGGTGATAATATTAATGATGTTGGTAACAGGGAAGAAAATTGATGGGGAGGAGTAGAGGTGAGTAAAGAAATGGTCATGGATAAGTAGCATTGGGATGGGTGTGGGGATAAGAATAGGAACAGAAATGAGTGACAGTAGCCATTGGGATGGCCATGGGAATGGGAGATAAGAATAGGAACAGGAATGGATGACAGTAGGCATTAGGATGGGAGTGGGAATGGGAGTGGGGATAAGAATAGGAATGGGAATAGGTGACAGTGGGCATTAGGATGAGTGTGGGAATGAGAGTGGGGATAAGAATAGGAATGGGTAACCGTGGGCATGAGGATGGGTGTGGGGATGGAATCGGGGATAAGGATAGGAATGGCAATGGGTGGGCATTGGGTTGGGAGTCGGGATGATGAAGAGGAAGGGAAAGCTGAGCACACAACATACACATCATTACTATTAGGGTAAAGTATCTTCGTGGATGTGTGAAAGGAAGGAAAATCTCTCCATATTCCTCTCTTCTCCCACTTAAGGTATCACGGATGTGTCTAAAGGAAACGTTAAGCTTCTGATGTTTCTCCCTAATCCTCGGAGCAACGTTCTCAAATCAGACTCCTCTCATCCCAGATGACCCAAGAATGCTTGCTATTTCATCTCTTTCTAAGAGAACTTCTGATCCAATTCCAATCTGGTAAATAGGTTAGTCTTGTGACTTGCTGTGTCCTTGGCCTCAGTTACACCCACCAGTGGTGAACATATAAGTGAGTGAATATCATATTAGGTCACTTTCAGAGACATTAAGTAGAAGGAAAGCTGAAAAGCCTTGTATAGACTTTAGATGCAGGTTATGGGGAAGAAGGACATGGAGGAACCTTCATTTGACACATGTATTCCAGCCCTGTTCTCTGCGTTTTGCATACACGTTCTCATTTAATTCATCCAACAACCCCCTATGATAACATACAAATATTCCCACTTTACAGATAAGAAAATTGAGACTCATAGCCTCTCTTACTCAGCTGTTTACCCATGGAGGCAGGAACCAAGACAGTTCTGCACAGCCGTCTATCCCCAGGATCTAACCCCTGGCTGCCACATAGTAGGTACTCAGTGACTAATCATAAAATTAGATATTGCAACCTAAGGATGCCAACTGCCAAATGGCAGAGCCAGGACTCCCACCCAAGTCTGGCCCTTTCCTGTGCTATTTTTCCAGTACATAGTTGAGGATTTTAGATTTCCTTGGGTTTTCAAAGGAAATTCTTATGAAACTAAAACTTTCCCTGTGTTGCCTTTCCCCTCTGGAAGCATCTTGGGATGTTTTGAGGGGAAAGGCAAATAGGGAAAATGAAATTGAAGAGCAGGAGCCACTCCAGACATGACGGAGGTCCCCACAAATATTCCCCGTGGGCCTCATTACACATTTGAGCAAACATTACCTTCACTCACAGCTAAATTTCCTGTTTGCTTGGCTGATCAATTCCTCATCAAATTTTAATGCGGGGTTCAAACCATCTGTGGTGTTTTAATTAGGCCTAAGATTGCAAAGTGTCTGAGGCAGGGCTGAGCCTCATCCAAATCCTGCTTCCCATTGCAGTGTTGCCAGGAGGGGTGGGGGGCTGAGCAGAGCTGGGCTGGGCCAGAGCCAGACACTCGGCAGACCCTGTTCCTAGGTGCACTGTGCTCTCTAGTGGTGGCAATCTGCAGAGAAATGGGCTGTGCAGCCCCAGGGGCTTGGAGCCCTCTCCTGATTCCTTCCAATCCCTGAGAGTGTATAAGCTGCCTTGCCTGCTTTCCTGCTGCCTCTCTTCCTTTCCTACAAAACAGAGCATCCTGGTGGCCTTATGGAACTGACAAACACTAATCAACACAACTAGTGTGCCTGGTGCTATGCTAGGAGGCGACAGAAGAAAAAGACACAAGACCTGCCTTCAGTAGCTCATAATGGAGAAGACAGTTGTACATACAATTTGACATGATGGATGGTGTGGCTGGGACATATATGTGACACTGGTGATGGGTGCCAGGAAGACAGACCCAGTGCTCAGGTCATTAGAGGGTCTGGTGGGCCTCCAGAACATCAGAAACCAAAGTGGTTCTTTTCAGAGCCAGAGGGTGAACCAGGTAGTCAGGACATAAGGATATTGACAGACATTGATCAAAATAGATCAATGGATAGATCTCAATGTCCAACAACCTTCCCCCCTTCACACCCACTTCTCCACGTTGACCCTTCCTCAGCTCAGATCTTCAGGAAGGCTGCCCCAAAGCTTTGCTGCTGCCCCTGACAAGATATATCAGGATGTCCAAAACTAACCACCTAGAAACTGTGTCCTTTGGAAGGCCTCCCTCCTTGTCCAGACTGGGCTACTTGCAGTTATAGTTCATTTGCACTTTAGGATAGTCAGTGTCCACTACTATATTCAAGGCTCTGAGAAGTCCTGAAGAAAAGGAAGCTGGATCATTTTGCTTAACACTGTGTCCTACAGGCTCCTTTGTATACAGAACACTAGCTAACACCTTCCTCTATCTCTAATGCTTTCTGATCTATGCCCTCCACAAGAAGACCTATGCCTGGTCTGGACTAGCCACAGTTTTCCTAAGGACGACAGTATGAGGTGAGTCACAAAGTGCCCAACATTATCACCAATAGTATGTCTAAGTAATTTTTAATTTAATGTCCAGATGCTGTCAGTCCTGAGAGCAAAATGCAACTTGATAAAGGACAGCTCTGATGGGGACCACATAAAAAAGGCTGCCCAAGTTCAACAGAATAGTGAGAAGAAACGGAGACCTATTTGAAAGATCAAAGATTGATGCTCTTATTAGATTTGGGGAGGAAAACAGTGAAATTCATGTTTGATTGAAATTACTAATGTTTCTAATGTATTTACTGATAGTAGAATGTAATTAGCTGAATTCAGTGGCTTCCAAACTTGGCTGAGTGTCAAAATCACCTGGGGCATTTTTTAATTGTGCCAGTTCCTGGGCTCTATCCCTCAATACTCTGATTCCATAGAGCGGAGGTACTGCTGATGCTGCCAGTTGCAAGAACACATTTGAAAATGATTGCTACAGTTCACTATTTCCCTCAACTCTGTTCTGTGAAACACCAGCTCCACAGGATAATAACACATCTTACCCAAAACAGTTCCATGTTAATAGTGTTGAGCTCACAGTGTGTGCCAGACACTTTGCTAAGATGGGGGTAGAGATGAGAGAGAGAGAGTCATCTCGCTTGATCCTCATACTCATCCCCAGTAAGATTATCTTCTAACTTTCTGGACAAGGAAACTAAAGTATAGAGATGGATGGCTTGCCCACGGTCACACAGTAAATAGTACCATCCCTTGACAGGCCAACGATGATGTCCCACTGCTAGCTGATTGGACGGTGGTGTCATTCACTGAGATGAAAACAGGAAATGAAGCTGTTATGGGAATAAACGGAAGAAGTTGGTGTGTTTGGTTTCAGACACTCTGAGTTTGAGGTGACTATGAGATATCCAGGTAGAAATGTCCACCAGGAATTAAATACATGGGCTAAAGACCACAGAGAAGATTTGGACCGAAGTTAAAGAGCTGAGAGTTGAGGATGTTTAGATGGTAGTTGAGACCATCCTGGGCCTCCATTTCCTCTTTCCAAAATGGAACATATCAGTTATCATCAATATGCCTTACATTGGTTCCTCACTAAGTTCAATATAGAATTACCATATGATCCAATAATTCCACTGCTAGTTATATACCCCCAAAGAATTGAAAACAGGTGTCCAAACAAAAATTTTTACACAAATGTTCATAACAGCACTATTTACAATAGCCAAAAGGTAAAAACAACACAAATGTTCAAAAACTGGTGAATGGGTAAACAAAATATGGTCTGTTCATACAATGAAATATTATTCAACCATAAAAAGGAATGAAGTACCTATGCATGCTACAACATGTATCAGTGGATGATAAACGTTGATGAACCTTTGAAACATTATGCTAAGTGATGGCTGGGCACAGTGGCACACACTTGTAATCCAAGAGCTTTGGGAGGCCAAGAAGGGAGAATCATTTGAGGCAAGGAGTTCAAGAACAGCCTGGGCAACATAGTGACACCCATCTCTACAAATTTTTTTTAATTAACCAGGTATGGTAGTTCACACCTGTAGTTCCAGCTACTTGGGAGGCTGAGGTGGGAGGTTCTCGTGAGCCCAGGAGTTTCAGGCGGCAGGCAGTGAGCCACATCATACCACTGCACTCCAGGCTGGGCAACAGAGTGAGACTAGCAAAATTAGATGTCACCCTTGACATAAAATATAGTCTGCTTCTGATGTAGAAAAAAGAAACTACATTATTTCTGGTTCATATAAAAACCATATGTGTGCATGAAATGTGGGGACAGGAATAAATAGATTCATACAACCTTCAATCAATAAATTTGCCCTCTCAGAGCTTATGTTCCAGTGGACAGCCCACTTAAAGAAAGTGAACACCTGCCACCCAATCGATTCCTCTTCATGTCTTCCCTCCTCATAAATAGCTCCTGTAAAGACGAGGTTGCTCAAGCCAGAAACAAGAGCATCATCACTTGTCAACTCCCTCCCTCTCACCTCCACCCCCAATCCATCAGCAAGTTCTGTCAATTCCATCTCAAAAATCTATTTCAAATCTATTCACCTCTTTCCTTCTCTGTTGCCACCACTCTCCATCAAGTCACTTTCATCTCTTGCCTGCAGTGCAACAGCCTCCTCTGGGGTCTCCTTGCTTCACTTTTGTGTTCTACCATCCATTCTCTATGCACAGTAGCCAGAGGAGACTATTTTTTCCAAAAAAAGAAAGAAATTCTGATTGTGTTACTGACTCTGCTTAGAAACAGTCAATGACTTCTTTTTGCACTTAGAATCCCAAATCTAGCTTTCTTTTTCTTTCTAATGGATAGGCATGGGCCCTTTGAGGACCCAACCTAAGAACAAATTTACTGCAAAGAGGTAATATTGCCCACTTTCTGCTTCTTATTCTAACTGGAGCCATAAGCCAGAGAACAGAGTTTTCATACTTACAGTGGTCATGTGCATAAATTCAAGGCCACACCAA
Source organism: Homo sapiens (assembly GCF_000001405.40). Lineage (NCBI taxonomy): Eukaryota > Metazoa > Chordata > Mammalia > Primates > Hominidae > Homo > Homo sapiens. The sequence goes on along the minus strand of NC_000020.11, from coordinate 39,211,558 downwards.
GTCCTGGGTGTGTGTAGTCACCTGCTCGGGCTACCATAACAAAATACCTCAGACTGGGTGGCTTAAGCAACAGGAATTCATTTCCTTATAATTCTGGAGGCTTGCAGTTTGAGATTAAGGTGTCAGCAGGATTGGTTTCTTCTGAGGCCTCTCCCCTTAGTCTGTAGATGGCTGCCTTCTCCCTGTGTCTTCCAGTGGGTCACCCCTCTGTATTTATCTGTGTCCAAATTTCCTCTTCTTGAAAGAACACCAGTAAGATTAGATCAGGGCCCACCCTAAGACCTCGTTGTAGCTGAATCACCTCTTTAATGGCCCTATATTCAAATACGGTCACATTCCAAGGTACTGAGAGCTAGAGCTTCAAAGCATGAATTTGAGGGAACACAGTTTAGCCCGTAACAGTCTGAAGTATAATCATAGTGGTCACTTAAACAATTAATTCAACTTCTCTGAGGTTAGGATGTCCTTGAAGAGATACTACCTGCTTCTCTAAGCGGTAAGGATCAGAGACAATGCATGTAAAACACCCAGCTGGGAGCCCAGCACGGAGTCAGCACTTGATTCTCATGGATTTTCATCCAAGACCATTGTGCATGGAAGTTTCCTTAAGGCAAGCCAGAATCAGACCACACGACCAGCTTCAAAGGGTTAAGGCAGCAAACATACTTATCGACTGGAGCTTCTTGGCAGGCCCAGGGAAGCGTGACTGATTGGAAGCCTGTTTAGAGGAGGAGCCCGCTTTGTGGGCCCGAAATAAATTAGAACCTGTCAATAGTTCAGATCCTGGAGCATGGACAAAGTCTGCAGTCTCAATAGGCAATTAACACTTTACAGGGGCCATTACCCAGCGGCCTCCCCGCATTTTACTGCACATTTTCTGCCATCAGCTCTGGTATTGAAGCTTCTAAATAAAAACATAAAAATGAGCTACAACAGACCAGCACTTTGCCTGGCTGGAGTTACGGTGCCCACATGCAACAAAGAGATCATATTTCCTCTCTCCTTCCTAACTGGACTCTAACTCCCCTGCATTCCCAGTCCTGCATAAACATGCATGCATGCACACACACAGAAATGAGCACATGCACATGCAGGCCATCTTCTGAGTGTGCCACAGGAGGCACCAGAGCATGGATACTGGGAGGAAGAGGTGGTCTGGAGTCAGACTGTCGGAGTTCAAAGCCTGACTCCGGCACATTAACTGTGTGGGCTTGCACAAATTGTTATGCCTCATCTTCTTCATCTGTACAATGGGAGTAAGAATAGAGCCTACATCACAAGACTTCCATAAAGACTAGGTGTTTTTAGCACAATACCTGGCACATAATAGACCTCAATAATGTTAAAGGGATCAGTACTGTTGTTGCCACTATCATCAATGGGAGGAGCACGTCTAGCATCAACACCGAGCACATCTAACTGCACGGATCATTGTAATGCCCCAAGCCACTCTGCCTCTGCTCCTTTCCTTTGGTTTCTGCCACTGTCAGTGCCTCGAATGAGCAAGGCATATGCTCACCCTGCTGAACAGAGCCTCTCACACACTTCCTCTAGCTGCCACTGCCAATTCTCTCCTAGGAAGCCAACTCATGAAGTTCCACCCCAAAGTTGATTGCCTTTGGATCACCAGGAGTTAAATCCACAGGTGCAAATTCAAAGCAATAACCAGGAACTCTGTGAGGTTCCAGTCTCTGGGAACCTCATTGCAAACTCAAGGTCTCAGAGAAGACTGTGGGGCTACTGGATTGGCCAGAAGCAGGATATACAGGATAAAATTGCCTTTCAGGAGGATATGCAGGATAAAATGCCCCAGTGAGGACACTGGCAGTACCATCAGGAGCACCTTGGGCTCAGGAGCATGCAAGGCCACTCCTGACCTGAAGTCTGCAGCAACAATTGCTGTCACTTGATGCCAAGGATATCATGGAGCTAGAGCTAGAGGACATTACCATCCAGTCCAGAGCTGGTGCACTGTGCCCATGGAGCCCCAAGAAGGTGGGATGGGGGTGTAGCATCTGCAAGGTAGAGCAGGACTGCTACCAAAGTTGAGAAGGGGGGTGGGAATAGTGAGGAGGGGATGCAGGGACACTGCCCCACATCAACTTCAGCAGTTCCATTCTAACCTGTTTGATATTCTGGACTTCTTCATAGATCTTCATGTATAGAAAGGGATCTGTAGTCAAAGCAAAGCTCTAAAACCAGTGGTCTATCCCAAGGCCTCCATTCTACCAATGGGAAACCTGAAGCTGTCTTGGGTTGAGTTCTCCCAGAAGCAAAGCCTGAGCTGAAGATTTGAGCGTAGGAAGGTTTGTCAAAGAAGTGCTCTAAGAAGAAACCAGTCAGGGAATGAAGGAAGCAACATAGAAAAAGGAAAGAAGCTGAACAAAGGTGCAATTTCGGAGAAGTTTCAGCCCCAGCCTCATCCTCCATGGAGTTCTGGAGTGAGTTGCACCTTAGACTGTGTCCAGCTTTGGACACAGGAGCTAGGCCTTTGTACTCCCACACCAGTCATGACAATGGTGGGAACAAAGTCCCAGGCACTTCAGGCTGTGATGGAGGAACCTATCCCCACCCCTATGGGCTTCTGCACCCAAGGGCAACCCTCTGAAGAGGGTCACAGGAGTGAGCAGTCAGCAGCAAAGCCCACAAAAGCTGGGGGATGGGCACACAGAGTCGGCAAAAGGGATCCATCAGAATCCAGTGACAATATTGAACTTTATCCAAGCCCTGTGATCTTGGAAAATGTGGAAGTTAAAAAATCTCCCACCCTTTGGTGTCCCAGAAAATAGATTATTGCAATGGTGCACCCTGCCCCACATGTCTTAGGTAAGACTCACAGGTGCCCTCTCCTTGTTTACCTATGACAAGGCCAAAGGCTCTCCAAATTCACGCTCTTTGACTCATACATTATTAGCTGAACAAAGTCTCTCCTTACTTAAAAATCCAGGCTTGGTCCAGGTGCAGTGGCTCATGCCTGTAATCCCAGCACTTTGAAAGGCCAAGGCGGGTGGATTGCCCGAGGTCAGGAGTTCAAGACCAGTCTGGCCAACATGATGAAACCCTGTCTCTACTAAAAATACCAAAAAAATTAGCTGGGCGTGGTGCCGTGCGCCTGTAATCCCAGCTACTTGGGAGGCTGAGGCAGGGGAATTGCTTGAACCAGGGAGGTGGAGGTTGCAGTGAGCCAAGATCGTGCCTCTGCACTCCAGCCTGGGAAACAGAGCAAGACTCTGTCTCAGGAAAAAAAACAAAAAAAAATCCAGGCTTGTTTCTTATTTGTCACTGGACAGCACACAAGAGTATCCTCTACTAAGGCCCCACAAACAGTGGTGGGGCCAAGGCTGAGGCCTCTCCTTCCAGATTCATCACCTCCCCAAGAACTGGAACTTTCTCTGCTCTCACCTTTATGCCTTTATATATGTCATTCCTCCTTTTCAAGGTCCTTATTACTCCTCTTCCAAAATCCTACCCATTCTTCCAAGCTCACCTCTTCCCTATGGCTTCCCTAGCATAACTTATACTTATTGAATGAATGTCACTCTACTTATTCACATGTATGTGAAAGGGACTCTAGGCTGTGTCCAAGATCCCAGGGACAACCTCGTGGGCATCAACAGGGCGTGCAATGAGAGATCATCCCATAAAGACACAGTCAATTCAGATACAAGGGGTTGCTTGGTAAGGTAGAAATTAAATTAAATTCTCTCGGGAAAGCAGCTGAGGACTCTTCTCTGCCAAAGTAGACCAGCAAAGCACTCTGCAGCTCTCTGCTTTCTCACTTCTTGGGAGTTACTTGGGTGTCCCTTGTAGTTATGCAAGTTAAGTCCAAGGAGACACTTAACCCTGAATAAAGAGGATTCTCCTCACCCGACAAAATGTACTTTCCCAAAGCTCCCAGGAGTGCAGAAACATCTTTGTAAGGGAGAAATGAATCAATCTACCAAGGAGCTAAAAACCTTGTAGGAAGGGGATTGAAATCCTGAACTGAACCTAGGAAGTAGATTCAACACTAGAACAACTTTGAGTTGACCGAGATGGTCTGCCTAATAGAAAAAAAAATGTAAGGACAACAAGATTTTAAAAGAAGATTCACCAGAAAGAAGAGAAAGCCTGGGTTCATGGCCCAAGTTAACACTTGTCTTGAAGTTTTGCAATTCTGGAACATGAAACCAAGGCTGGAAACACTTCCAAACCCAGCTACCTTGGCATAGCTTCAGGAACAGCGATAGAGCATGTGATTATGAAATAGGTTAACTGGCATACTTTCCCCACTCCATATGCCTGCTCCGACCTTCTGAGTGTCAAAAACAAAAATGACTGCTGCTTCATTTCCACCCTCTTATCTTACCTGAAAATACCTTTTGTGGTCTACCCTAATAAGAAGCATGCAGAAAAGGAAATTCTGAAAATGTCAGTCCAGCCTAGCCAGTTGACACATTACAATACCAGCACAGATAACTCACAATGAAACATAGCCAGAACTCTGATCAAACCATGCCTGAAGCATGCTACCTCTGAACTAATCAGTTACATAAGCCAAGAAACTTCCTTCGATATTTAAGCTAATGTAAATTGACTTTTCTCTTATTTGCAAATCAAAGTATTATGACTGTTACAGCCAGAAACCAATATCAGAATCTAGTACTGGGCCAGGAAAAAGAATGAGGAATGTAAGTAATCTCACGTAAGGAGAGGAGCACCGAATAAGAAAGACTGAGCTAACTTTTACTGTTCTAAGATGGAGCAAAGGAAGCTTGTCCTGGGAGCATCTTAAACGCACCTTGTAGTCTCTGGCACTAACTGTTCAATCCACACAGCTCCCTTCGAACTCTGGAAAAATAAGCAAATGTATCCGATCCACTCCTGGGATACTTAACCAGTCAGCCCCACATGGCATTTCTCATAACTCTGTCCTCTGTTAAGTTTATTGTTGTTTAACAGTTCACATGAGGCCCTCGTTATTCTCATCACTGAATGTAACTCAGGGGGCTTCTACTGGGTCTTTTAAAGAATAGGCCTTGGTAAATACTTTGATATATTAAAGAGTGTGGTTAAAAGCACGGTCTTTGAAGGAAGATAAATCCGCATTCAAATCCTGGCTCTACCACCTCTGGATGTAATATATTGAGCCAAGTTACTTAATTCATCTAAATCTCAGTTTCCTCATCTGTAAGGTACAATAATGACTCCTATCCCACAGCGTTACCAACAGGATTAATAAGATAATGCATAACAACTTAAATAGTACTGGCACTTTAAATAGTCTCTCAATAAATGTAACTATTCTTTTCACTACTATTTTAAATATTCTTTTGTTTTCTTGTATAGAAAAAATACAACGTCATTACAAATTATTAGGAAAATACACAAAAGTGAAAATTCTGAGCTGTGTTAAAAAGCATGATGTCAGACCAAGCACGGTGGCTCATGCCTGTAATCCTAGGACTTTGGGAGGCTGAGGCGGATGGATCACCTGAGGTCAGGAGTTCGAGACTAGCCTGGCCAACAGGGTGAAACCTCGTCTCTACTAAAAAAAAATACAAAAATTTGCCAGGTGTGGTGGTTGGCATCTGTAATCCCAGCTACTTGGGAGACTGAGGCAGGAGAATCACTTCAAGGAGCGATTGAGGCAGACCTAGGAGTGACCTAGGAGGCAGAGGCAGAGGTTACAGTGAGCCAAGATCGTGCCCTTGCACTCCAACCTGAGCAATACAGCAAAAACTCCGTCCAAAAAAAAAAGAAAAGCATAATGCTGAGCTATAATATATCAACCTTTTGGGAAGATTTTTAACACATTGAGTGAGGCAAAAAGCCAGTTGCAGAACAGGGAATAATAAGTATATGTTTGTGTGAAACTGATGTCTAACTCAGACTTACAGATATATCTAAATGCATGGAACTTTATTTGAATAATACATAAGAACCTCTTAGCAGGGGCTGCCTCTGACCAGTGTGATGGGGACAAGGTGAGGCAGGTATAGGGAGTAAAGGGCCCAGACTACAGTGAAGCACTCAACTCAGGTGCAAAATTTTAAAGGGCACCAAAAAACTCAATAACCAAGATAAATAATACTTAATGCAATATTTTAAAACTCAAGATTAATGCCAAACTATCAAAAATTTAAAGACATGATCAGTGAGCTAAGATAAAGACTCAAGAAAACAAATTGCTCTGCATAATAGAGCAGAAAGATTGTGAATTTTTTTTTAATTGAGGAGAAATGAGTCAGGATGCGAAAATATTAACCATCAATCTAACAGGTGGCTGGGAGCTACAGAGAAAGCAAAGCTGAGAAAATCACATTGTTGCAGGGTCCAAAGAACTCTTTAGAATAAGAGTAACATAACATTAATTTGAAATTGTTTGTGTGATACACTGTATATTTCTCTTATGTCCCTGACCCCCTAGAGATCTCTGAACAGGTTAAAACCCATCTCCATTTGCAGAGTTGACAGGGGCAAAAGATTTAGATGTTGTGGTAGGTAGAATAATAGCCTCCCAAAGATGTTTACGTCCTAATCCTCGGGACCTCTGAGGTTAGGTTACATGGCAAGGGAGAAGTTAAGGTTGCAGGTGAAATTAAAGATGCTAATCGGCTGACTTTAAGATAAGATTATCATCCTAGCTTATCCAGATGGACCCAATGTAACCACAAGGGTTCCTAAATGGGGAGAGGGTGGTAAAAGAATCATAACTAGAGAGATGGCATCATGAGAAACACTTGACTAGCCATTGTTGCTGGACTTGAAAATGGAAGGGGCCACAAGCCAAAGAATGTGGGCAGCTTCTAGAAGGTGAAAAAGCCAAGGAAGTGGATTCTCCTCCAGAGCCTCCAGAAGGAATGCAGCCCCACCAACACCTTGATTTTAGCCCCCTAAGACCCATCTCAGGCTTCTGGCTTCCAGAAGTATAAGATAATAAATTTGTGTTGGTTTCAGCAACCAAGTATGAGATAAGCAATATAGATCTTGGTACCTAGAAGTAGGGTGTTGCTGTAACATCTAAAAATGTGGAAGTGTCTCTGTCATACAAGGATACAGAATGCAGACGTACCAGGGTGTGTGTGAGGGAGAGGAAGGAAGTACAGCTCTCATACTAAAAGAAAGGAAGGCTCACAGAGCTGGTTTGGAGTCAGTCACACTCTCCCCTGGTAGTCAACCAGGAAGAAAGCTTCCCACAAGTTGGAATTCTCAGAATCGCCTCCATACTGAGCACAGAGAAGTCACATTCTCTGATTTCTGGGTTTGCTGCTTCTGTACAAAACAAGACAATTTTGACTCTGTTTGCCCACTGTACATGCCCTGGGAGGAATTGTGTAGCCTGCCTCAGTGGCAGTAAGTAAAGGGTTAACTTCCTCTCTGACTAATGCAAGTGTCCTGTCATCTCTCTATGGGGCAGAAATCAATGAAGGCTGTTTTCATCCAAGTAAAAATAAATCTTAATCACCTTTGTAAAGAAGGAGAAGATAAGCAGTGTTCTAAAAATGGATTCCCATAGTTAACAACTGTTAAGTGCTATTTCTTAAACGATACCAAAGATGACATCACATTCAGGTTATAGGGTGGACATCATCCACTGCTGATTAGGGAGCAATTGAAAGGGGGAAGGAAAGTAAATGAAGATATATAAGTAGTTTCAAAAACTGTATTGAAAGAGCTCTCAGAATGTGTGAGGCATATAAGAATGAGCAACCAGCAACACATCTCTAACATGGGTGGCTGGCAGGTGTTGATACCAGACAGGATATCCAGGTACCCTCACATTTCTCCTATGTCCTAGGCTGGACATGCTGGACAGACTCTGTTACTCACCCACATAGCCACATGAAACCATAAAAATCCTCAGCCACATGCTTTCTCTTGTCTCATATTATCACACCTCCTGTGCTTTTCCTAAAATCTTTATAGTACAGCTTCCAACTTCCCTCCTCTCTGCTACTGAAAATGCCTGTTTGATTGAGGGCTCTCAGTGGTTCTGTTTTCTATGGTAGATTGCATTATTGTTGGAATTATTTACCCTTCTATTGTCAGTAAAGGAAGTACACATTTTCATCTCATTGACTTTGTTTTTGGCCATGTGGCATGCTTTGACCAATGGCAGGTGAACAAATGTAACATATACCATATCCATGAAATTAAGATGTGTTGCAAGTTTCTACCCCATCTCTTGCTCTTTCTTTCTGTCTGTCATGAAGATGGTATGTTCTAGATTAGGATAATTCCTTCTCCTTGGGTTCCAAAATGAAAGACATATTGAGCGAAGGTGCAGCCAAACTATAGTTCTAACATGTGACATGAAAGAGAAATAAAATCTTGTTGTTTGATAAAGCACTGATATTTGAAGAATTTGTTACCATGGCCTCATTTAACAAAAGCTTACTATTACATCACCTACTTCAATAACTTCTCAAGTTTTATCTGCTCAATCTCTGCAATATTTCACAAAGTATGTCTTTAGAACTGTAGTAGTAAAAGAAACTCAAAAGGGATAGGGTAAGATAAATTTGGGAAATTCTGCATAACCACTTTTGGACATTAATAATACCCACCAGCATATTAAAGGCTCTGAGAAGTTCTGTCATATACAGCAGTGGTTAAAGGCATGAGCTCCGAAGTCATATTTCCTGGGTTTGAATCCTGAATCAACTACTACTTACTATATGAATGACTTTGAATAGGACACTTAATCTCTTTGAGTCTCAGTTTTCTCATTTAAAGGAGGAAGATAATAAGAGTACTCTTGCAGGGTTATAGTGAGAATTCAATGAGATATGAAAATTAAATACTAGTGGACTGCTTTCCAGGTCACAGAATGATCTGTTCTCTTTCCCAAACTCATAGAAACGGCACATAAAGTACATTAAATTATTAAAATAGCCATGATCATGCTCAGAAATAATACTCAAATCTCTTTACTAGTGATGCAAGAAAATTTTACAATTCTGAGACAGGCTGAAGCTCAAGGTTCACCAGGCACTGGAACTATAATTAGGTACTAAGGGTGAAGAGCTCAAATTCTACAGGAGAATGGGAAGCTGAACATTCTTCATGCATAGCCAGGGAACAGAAACAGTCTCCCAAGTGAGGCCAGAGGCCAGGACTGTGCTTCCCTTCTCTTACCCTCTGCAAACAGAGATTTTCAGGGATAGACAGGGGTCCAAAGGCCCTTTTTCATCTTGTACTACTTCTGTTCCTTTCAGTCCTAGCAGGCAGTGTTTCTGCCAATACATTGCCCTTAAAAGTTTTGTGGTTCTACTATGAAACTAGGGTTCATGTCATTAGACAAAGGACAAGCTTACAAATCTCCAAGCCTTTGTCTATCTTGGGATACTGCTGAGATTGCTGAGAGACGATACCCTTAATTTTCTTATTAGCCCTTTTTTATTTACTAAATGGCTCTCTGAGGCACCACTTTCAATCCTCCTGAGATCTTTGCAAAGGATTTTATAGCCACACCTTGAACTTCATCTTTATACTATGTTTCCCTAGATGTACCTCAGATTTTATCTTTTCCTGCTGGTAGATTCCTTGCCTTCCTGTCTGATCAGAGTCCATTGTGTCACCCTTTGCCTGCCCTGCCTGACATGCAATGCAACAAGTAGGATGGTATCTGGCATGTTGCAGGTGCTCAACCAATATTCATCACATAAATGAAGGAATTATTCTGAAAACCCCTAAGTTATCATAATGAGGCATGAACTAACCTAATGACTTTTCCACACGTTTTGTTGCCAACTCCCTCATTTTGAAGAAAAATACAAAACAAATGTACTGGGGATTTTCCTAACCAATTCACTAGGCTTAGAGCTTCCTGAACCATCTGTACCCCTGCCCATGCATCTCACTGTGCTAGAACTGAAGGAAAGGGAAGAGATCTGCTGTTGACTTCCAATCAGAGGTCTGGGGTATTTCAAGTACAACATGGCAGTGGTTGTCTCTCAGATTTCCCACCACAGCCTCCCAAGAGGCCTCTTTTCTACATGAGGAAAAGAGAGGACTATGGTTTAAAAGAAAAACTGTTGAAGGTAGCAGATGTAGTGGAAATGCCCAGCAAGCAGCAGATATTCCCTGGGAATGAGAGTCTAAAGAACCCACTAATACTCAGAGAATGAGAATGACACAGCACCTGTTGTCTTTGCAGGGCTGGGGAAAATGATAGTGCCCAGCACGACCCAGAGGAGGAAGCAATAACTGATCAAGATTAAGAACACATATAAGATACCTCCCGGGAGCACCCAGAAATGCCTGATGGAGGAAGGACAGATTTGTAGGGGCATTCACAGGTAGGGCTAGTGTAGCAGACACTGTTGGTGGCTTGCCCCATCACTATGGTGCAACCTCAAAGTCACCTGCAGCTTCCGTAGACAGATTCCGTACTTACCAATGGATTCCTACCCCAAGCATCTCCATCTCTGTGCCTGAGAGCTTCCTTTTGTAACTGGAGCAGGTTCAGCTCATGTTGGATAAAGAGGATCAGATGGAAACAGCCAGGGAGATCTTGCCCCTGGAAACAACCCTCAACCAATGAGGCACTGTAACAGATGAACAAACACTCAGCTTCCTTCCTGTCTGTGGAACAATTATAAGGTGAGCTCTACACAGGTCCTCAGAAAGTCTCAGCCCAGTTGTCCCACCAGGCTCATTAGTGTACCCTTAGTTGCCTGCCTTCCTTTCCTGGTCTCATGCCCACACTTCCTACTGTGCTTCCTGGAGTCATATCCTGAAAAAAAAAAATTACATGCACCCAAGTCCTTGGCTTCGGTCTATATTGGGGAGCAGAGGTAAGTCTACTGGGCCCAACTACCCAGAAACATAAAGACTCTATGTCTTAGCCAACATCCTCCCAGAACCCGTATCTGAAGGAGTCTGTTTCACCACCTCTCACTGGGAGTCTGGGCCCTTTTAATCAGAGCACCATGAGTGGAGTTGAGCTCACACAGTCAGAAACACAGATTCAAACCCCGACTCTACCCTTTTTGAGCTGTGGGCCTCTGGACAAGTTACTTTACCTCTCGGAACTTCTATCTCTTTTATAAAATAGAAATAATAGGAGTTCCTGCCTCTTAAGGTTAAAAGCAGTTTATGCACAAGCACTGAGCTTGACATGGTGCTTGGCACATAGTCCGTACTCCATCAGTGGCCACTCTCATTTTTATTATGTCTGTCTAGTCCCTAAATCTCTGATTTGGGGGACTTGCTCCAAACAATCAAGCCTATTCTCAGCATCATCTCTCAGGGCCCCCTGACCTCAAGCCCTCACACGAGCAGATGTCAGAAACTCCAGCCCAGGACTGGTTATTTCATCTGCAGGAAGCTTGACACCTGGCGTAGATGCTTTCCTGGAACAACCTCCTCTCCCAGATGTTTTCATGCCCCTGCCCAATGGCCCTTCAGCTGCAGAGAGGCTCAAAAGGAGTGAGCAACTTATGGACCTGGGGGACTTCAGCCCTTTTCCATCTGTCAGGCCAGCTCCCAAAACAGCCTGCAGATGCTCAACCCCAGGCAGCTGTGGGGCAAGTTGGCCTCTTTTTACCCCAGCACACAGCAGCTGGGCCATATGTTCACACCAGAGGACACAGCAGTTCATTCTGGGGGCAGCCTCCTTACTGCTCAGATTAATTCACTCATTCCAAAAGCAAATATCAAGCACCTACAAAGGGCTGGACCCTGAACTAGGCACTAGGAATACAAGTTTTGCCCTAGAGAGGCTCACAGTTTGGTGAGGAAGACAGATGATAAAAGAGGGCAGGTAGGTTTTGAGCTAGTGTAATTAGTTTTAAAACGAAAGTAAGCATACCTTTGGTAATGAGAGGAGCAAATAGATAAACTAACCTTGGGGGTCAAAAAAGATAAGACTTCCTGAAGTAGGTGGTTCCTGAGATGAGAATTGAAGGACAAAGAAAAGTGAACAGGATGGAAAGAAGGAAGAAAAGGTGCTCCTGGGAAGGCACAGCTTGAGCAAATATGGGAAGGTGCTATGTTCAGATTTTGGAGCCATGTACAAATCATTCACTGTACTGCCTACCTGGTACCACCTCCACTTCAAAACCTGCCATACTCATCCATATGAAAGAGTTGCCATATTTCTAGAAGACTTCACTCTCTTACAGTCCACTGGGCTTGAGTCACCCAACACAAGATAGGCTCAGAGATCCCCACCAGAGGATTTTAACTTAAGATCAAGTGGTGGCTGAAACTGTAAGATGATGAACTCAAGAATTGTTTCCAGTAGCAAAGCTGGTGATGTTCAAACATGATGCCCTTCCCATCAAGAGGGGGCCTCCCTTGAATCCAGGCAACACTTTTTGACTAACTTGATAAATAGACTATGGCAGAAGTGGCTTTCAAGGTTGTGTTAGGAAGGACCATGCACCCTCTGCCATTTTTCCTTCGGACACCCATCACTGAAGCCTTGAGCCACCATGTAGGAATTTTGGCTACCCTGAAATTGCTATACTAGAGTGACCACATAGACAGACTACAGAGTGGTAGAGACAGATAGCAGAGGAGCACCAGCTATCTCATCCCTCAGCCCAGGTGCCAGGTATGAGAGTAAGAAAGATGACTTCAACTGCAGCCAACATCAGTCAAATGGCAACCACATGAAAAAACTGAGGATTAGCCAACTGGCTGTGCCAAGGTAACCCTCAGAACCATGAGAGATAATAATGATAAATGCTTGTTAATGCAATAATAAATAAGCAACATAGAAAAGCTCTTCTGTAGTGAAAGAGAATGAAGCCAACACTGGAGATATGTAGAAGCTGCTTGACTTCTTGATCTAGTTACTCCTGGGCACTCTTCTGCCTGCCTTCCCTGCAAAAGTTTTCTTAGATTCTGTGAGCCAATGAACTCTTATTGCCTAAGTTAGCTCAAGTGGAATTTCTGTCTTTTTCAACCAAATTAATACAGGTGATTTGGGATAAACCTCAAGATCTTGATGTGTTTACAGCATGTGCTCTGGGGGTGAAAGTAAAGAGAGATGAGGGAGAAGAGATCATCTCAAGACAGATCATTGAGGAACTGCAGGCCACAGCAAGGAGTTTCAATTTATAACACACCCATCTCCATAAATGACTTGAGGAGGCTACTGAGGACTTTGGGCATTATTGTAAGGACAATAATGTCAGTGAACAATTTTCATCCAAAGAGTGACAGGCTTAGACATGCAGTGTGAAGAGGTCAACCTGCCAGTTTGGATGATGCATTGGAAGGAAGTAAACTGAACAGGAGTCAATTGACTGGATACAAGAAGGAAATGATAAGAAGCTGAACTAAAGTGGGGAAATGGGGGTGGAATAATAAAGTATTAAAAGGTAGAATGCACAGGACCCAGAACCTTTTATGGGAGTCAGTAAAAAGATGGGAAAAGACCAAGATGATTTCCAAGTTTGTGGTTTGAGCATCTGAAGAGGTAATGGTGCCTTCATCAAGATGTAAGAGGAAGACAAAGATGTGTCTTCAACTCGTATGTGCAGAGATTGGGGCATCTATGGCAAATTCAGGGAGAAAGATTATCCATTGATGTATCCATTTAACACATTCATTGAGCACGTATTATTTATTGAGCACATATTATATGTCAGGCTCTAGCAGGGTGTTTGCAAACAAAATTTATATGGTGCTTGCCCTCATACATTTTACCGTCCAGTGAAACAGATGGGAATGAATTGAAATTAGTTGCAAGTCACATATATAAGTGCAAACTCTTGAAGAATGCTATGAAGGAAACATACTGGAAGCTAGGACAGCACATTATAAGGAAACCTGGTGGAGCCTGCAGATATATCAGTTACCTTGATGGCATAACAAATAACTCCAATATTCAGTTCATAACACAGTTACATTCATTTTTTATTATCTCTTGCAGTTTCTTTTAGTTGGAATTCCAAAGATGCATTGTGGGGGTTACTTATCTCTGCTCCATGATGTCTGGGATCTCAGCTGGAAGGCTCAAACACTGGGGAGCTGAAATTATCTGAACTCTCATTCAGTCGTATGTTCGATGGGCAATGCTGGCTGTCATCTGGAGGCCTAAATTTCTCTCCCGGTGGTCTCTTCGCAGGTGCTACTTGAGCTTCCTCACAAAATGGTGGGGGGTACCATGGACAAGGGAAGAGAGGAACAGAGATGACAGACAGCACTCCAGGTAGCTGCTATGCTACCTTTTAAGACCTAGCCTTGGAAGTCACACAGCATCATTTCTGCCACTTTCTACTGATTGTGACAGTTACAAACATCCACCCCAAGTTCTATATAATGTAACACTGACCCACCTCTTGATGGAGAAATGTCAACATCACATTGTAAAAAAAGCATTTGGGATGGGAGATATATTAGTGTGGCCATCTTTGGAAAATATAATCTGCCACAGGAGAGCTAAGCAAAGACTGCTCAGAGAAAGTGACATTTGAGCTGAGATCTCAGCAATGAACACAAACCAACCAGTGACAGAGTGATGAAGACAGATTAGGGATGGTATTCCTAGCCGAGGGAACAGCATGTGAAGAGGCCCTGAAGTATGAAAGAGCACGATATATTCAAGAAGCTGATGGAGGCCAGAGAGGTTGGAGTGAGTTGAAAGTATGAATCAAAGGCTCAAGAAAAAGGTCAGTGCTGGAAGCAAAATGTGAAAGCCCAGCGTAGATGCCTCTGGAGGGGAGACGCCTGTGCAAAGAGACAGGAGAACAAGTCTCATAAAAACTTGAGTTAGCTTAGACTTAATGCCCTCTGCCAACTTCCTGCTTCTAAAATATGAGCAAGCTCAGAACTTGTCTTCACTGTCTCAATCAATAGAAGCTGTGTGCCTTGCTTCACTCTCTATTACCAGATGTAATAGCCAGCTTCCAAAGTGGCCCCCAAGGACCCTTGACTCCTGGTGTTCACACATTTCTGTAGTTTCCTCCCACACTGAATCAAGCTGACCTCTGTGACCAAAAGAATACTACAGAAGCGACAGTGCATGACTTCCCAGGGTAGATCATAAATGGCATTGGATTGCTTATTCTGGAAAGACAGCCATAAAGCCACAAGGATTCAAGCAGCCCTCTGAAGAAACCCATGTGGAGGAAGAACTGAGGTCTCCCATCAACAGTCAGCACCAACTTATCAGCCACTTTGCAATGGATCCTCAGCCACAGGCAAACCTTCAGGTGATTCTAGGACCCTAGGCTTCAAGTCCTCAAGGTGAGGTCTCAGACAACTTGAAGCAGAGACAGGGAATCCCCATTGTGCCCTGCCTTGATTAATGACTAACAAAATCCATGCAAGAAAATAAATGATTATTGTTGTTTCAGGCTATTAAAGTACTAAAGTGATTTGTTATACAGCTATGGATAACTACTACACTAGCCCTGACCCTTTGATTATCCTCCCCTACCTCACACCTCCCCCTGGATATAACTGGCTCCAGGAGATCCCTTGAGCTAGAAGAAATCACCCATTCAAAGACTGGCTCCATTTAGAGCTTTCCATGCAAGTAAAAAAAAAAAAATTCATCTCCATTTGCACACTTCTAGTGACAGAGAATTTACTACCTCCCAATTAACGGCCTTGCAGGCAGAAGAGATTTCCACCCTAGTCCCCACTGTGCTACTTCCTTCTTCTCTGGGAGCTGTCCCTGACCCAGTGCTGAAACCAGACCCCACTCACCCACCCGCAACCAAAAGATCAAATTAGAATTCCAAAAAGCATGCTTGACTAGGAAACATCAGCAAGAAAGTTCCATTTCCCTGTATCTCTAAATGAAAAAAGCCTCCTTGTCAGTTTGGAGCAATTAGCTGTGGGAGATGATGACGGAGCAGTGAGAGGTGCTGCAAGGGGGCAGAGTGGCAGCGGAAGCCCCGACTCAGACAGACATGCCGCAGATGGCACAATGAGATAACGCCTTTCACGTTTCAGAAATCACATTGTCAACAATGTTTCCAGATTCAGAAATTAGCTGAAGTCATCAGGAGTGCCTGGCAGCAAGCAGCAGGCACCCTGGTGGGGGCCCCTCATTTGACGTTATGCATTGGTGCAAAGAGAAACTGGCAAATTCACAGGAAAGGTTGGTGGGGCTACCATCTCCTAAGGCTGCAGGCAGGGCAAGCCTGGGGCAGATGGAGGCATTTTCTCAGGGTTAGCTATCAAAAGCCCCAATGTTCTATCTCCTGTCTCTATAGTAGGGGTTTAAGTTCAAGTGTCACACTGTAACCTCCTCTTTCCATTCCATGCCTTGTGGAATGTCCTCTTTAGAGGGTTACAGAAAGCAAAAGTGATTAATGCAATCACCCATGTCTTAAATTTATATTATTTGTGAAAAAATTATCCTAGTTAATGTAAAAACTGCTCTCTTTGCTAACCATAAGCCCTATCAGAAGCAGTCTATACCAGCCACTCTGACCTTTCCATTATAGTTGACCTGCCTCACATCCCCCTACCCTTAAAAGAGCTGGAAAAAATAATCAGAGGCTAGTACCCAGCTAGCAAAGATACCCACAACTCCAGCCAAATGCAATGATTTGGGGGGATTGGGAGTTAGCTATCATTGCAATCCTAGGTGGTACCATAAGCAAGCATGGGATGCAACAGGGAATAAAGATTACATCCCACTTTCAATAGTTCCCCCTTAATTGCAGTTTCACTCTTTATGGCTTTGGTTAGTGGTGCTCAACTGAGGTCCAAAAATATTAAACAGAAAATTCCAATGCTTTTACACTGTTGGTGGGAGTGTAAATTAGTTCAACCATTGTGTAAGACAGTGTGATGATTCCTCAAAGACCTAGAGGCAGAAATACCATTTGACCCAGCAATCCCATTACTGGGTATATACCCAAAGGAATAGAAATCATTCTATTATAAAAATACACGTACTCACATGTTCATTGCAGCACTACTCACAGTAGCAAAGAAATGGAATCAACCTAAATGCCCGTTAATGATAGACTGGATAAAGAAAATATGGTACATATACACCACGGAATACTATGCAGCCATAAAAAAGAAGATCATGTCCTTTGCAGAGACATGGACAGAGCTGGAGGCCATTATCCTCAGCAAACTAATGCAGGAACAAAAAACCAAATACCACATGTTCTCACTTACAAGTGGGAGCTCAATGATGAAAACACATGGACACATGGTGGGGGGACACACACTGGGGCCTGTCAGAGAGTTAGGAGGGAGGAGGGAGAAGAACATCAGGAAAAATGGCTAATGGATGCTGGGTTTAATACCTAGGTGATGAGATGATCTGCAAACCACCATGGCACACATTTACCCGTGTAACAAACCTGCACATCCTGTATATGTACCCCTGAACTTAAAACAATAGAGAATTCCAGAAATAAACAATTCATAAGTTTTAAATTGCATGCCATTCTGAGTAACATTACAAAATATCACACCATCCTGCTCCATTCCTCCTAGGATGTGAATCATCTCTTTGTCCAGCATATCCATCCATATAAGCTCCACTGCGCATTAGTGACTTAGTAGTGGCCTCAGTTATCAGATCAGCTGTTGAGGTATCGCAGTGCTTGAGTTCATGCAACCTTTATTTAACTGAAGAGTAACCTCAAAGCACAAGAGTAGTGATGCTGGCAATTCAGATACACCAAAAAGAAGCCATGAAGTGCTTCCTTTAAGTGAAAAGATGCAAGTTCTCTACTTACTAGGGAAAAGAAAAAAATTGTATGCTGAGATTGCTAAGATCTGCAGTATAAGAAGATATTTTAATAAAGAGAGATCACATTCACATAACTTTCATTAAAGTATATTGTAATAATTGTTCTATTTTATTATTCATTAGTTAGTCTCTTACTGTGCCTAATTTATCAATTAAACTTTATCATAGTTATTTACGAATAGAAAAATACATCGTGGCCGGGCGCAGTGGCCCATGCCTGTAATCCCAGCACTTTGGGAGGCCAAGGCAGGTGAATCACAAGGTCAAGAGTTCGAGACCAGCCTGGCCAATATGGTGAAGCCCTGTCTCTACTAAAAATGCAAAAATTAGCCAGGCATGGTGGCAGGCACCTGTAATCCCAGCTACTCGGGCAGCTGAGGCAGGAGAATCTCTTGAACCCGGGAAGCAGAGGTTGCAGTGAGCCAAGATCACGCCACTGCACTCTAGCCTGGGTAACAGAGCAAGACTCCATCTCAAAAAAAAAAAAGAAAAGAAAAAAGAAAAATACATCGTAAAAATAGAGCTCAGTACTATCCATGGTTTCAGGCATCCACTGGGGTCTTGGAATGTATCCCCCTTGGATAAGAGGGAGCAAATAATACATGCAAAGAATAAATACTCTGGAAAAAAATACTTCTTGTCTCTTCTCCTGAAGTACCTTCTTATGTTTGTGCCGGAAGGAATCAGGACTATTTATCTAATTGCAGAATCACACGTACTAAGACAAAAGAACAGGGTAAATGATTCCTCTTAGGAATTCAAAAGGACAAAAGCTAAGCTTGGACATGTGCCTATGCATAGTGTTGGAAACAAGGCTTGAAAATGGTAGGTAACAGGTGGGAAGTGGAGGGTGGAACACTGGTGGTTATGGTTACACAGATCATTGGGACTCAACTTGAAGCTCCCAACCAAATCTATAAATCCTTCAGGGAGTTCAAGCCCCAGGAGGTATCTGAGGCCCTTGCCTCCCTCCCAAAGTTCTGAAAAATATGGGGACCACTTTGCCATTGCAAGACATCCAGCAGCTAGTAGTCAGCTCTGGACAGTGATGAAACGCCAGGAGATGAAATGAGAGGGAAAGGTAAGTTGAGGATCTTGCCTAAAGAAAGTGGTTTGAGCAGCCTATAGTCTTTATGAAGGTCAACCAGCTGGGACCTACCAGCCAGGCCATCTCCTGGCATTGGCAAAATGTGAAAGGAGCCAAATCCAGAAGATAGCTCTGCCTCTGGGGGCATTTAAGGACCCAGGAGAGAGCATCTCTTTTATCCTCAGCCAATGGTGGGCTATAAGAACAGGGAACTGCTACTGAGTTATTCTCAAGACTCTCCTCCCCAAACTTCTTCTGGGGCTCAATTGCATCCAGATCTGCCTCTACTAGTAAGTCAGAGATGGATGGGGGAAAATGAGGCTTGATGAAACACCTTCTGTAAGCCAGATCTTTCGTATATTTCATCTCAGGTTGTGCTCTCAAAGGCCTCGTGGCCAAAGGATAATTAAAACAGCAAGTATCTAAATGGAATTATAGCTATCAGTATTGCTCGTGTAGAAATCCTGCTTCCACTGCCCCGGACTTCACCAAATTTGGTTGCCACACCCTCATGGGCTCTTGTTAGATATCAGAAGGAACTGAACTTTATCTCTGATTTTAGCCCTAGGACAGCCCATGTGGCCTGGGGAGACAAGAAAATTAATCAGGGACTAACAACCCAAAGAAACCAGGAGAGCTTAGACTTCTGCAAATTCTTAAAGAGCCTAAAAAGGGGGTTGGCCTCCCCCTTAACCAGTGGTTCACAAAGTGTGGTCCCTGGACCAGTGGCATTGACATCACCTGGGAACACGTTAGAAATGCAAATTGTAGGACTCCACCCTAATCCTAATGAATCGAAAACACTGGGGTTGGGGCCAGCAATCTGCATTTTTAAAAGCCCTGTAGGTGATCCTGACTCATGGCCAAATTTAAGAAGTACTGATTTAAAACTAGAAGGTCAAGTTAATCCCACCTAAATCTCAGGAGCAGGAACCGCGAGGACCCTTTGAACGTAGGCAGGCTCCCGACCTCTCTCCTTCCACGCAAATTCACTTGCTAGTCTGGCAGGGCCTTGCCCCAACACTGCCTGGTCTTTCCAGCTCCATCTCAGCTGAGAATATATGAGGGACACACCAGTCTCTGTGGAACTACTTGGGGGTGCTAAGAAGCATCATGCCTCTGGGGTTCTTGCTCCTCTTGGGAGCTTTCAGTGGGAAAACAGGGGCTATGTTCAAAAATTACTCTTTCCCCACTGGAAACACCGCATTTCAGCTGGGGGCTTTCCCCAAAGCTGCCAAGAGTAAAAGCCTTAGTCAGGCAAGGCTCCCACTCCCCTTTGAAAGTCCTGCAAGGGGCAGACACGCAGGCCCAGCCCTGAGGCTCTGAGCCGGGAGGCCTGTCACACCTGGGGAGGCCTCAAGATGCCAGCTTGGCAGCTGGGCCTGGATGGCAACACGACTGTCGGGTGATGGATCACTTTCCGATGAGGGTGCTGTGCAGGCCGCCAGCTGTGCCAGTGCAGACTCCCGATCAGCATGGCTGCACCGCTCCCCACTAACCCACACTTGCCGGAACAGGGAACCAGGAAACATCACACCTCGGGTGAGCAGCAATTAATCTGTGCAGGAGACAGGTCGAAGACAGCAAAGGGGAGCCACCAGAGAGCTGATGGGCCTCCCTGCCTTGCCTCCGGGTGGGATGGGCCCTCCAGACACACAGGCTGCCCAGCTTCAGGTGCACACAAACACACAGCCTTCCCCAGCAGCCCCATGGGGAGGCAAACACAGGGACCCTTAGCAGCCAACAGCACTGGACTGAGAGTCAGTAGAGGCAGGTTCAAATCCCAGCTCTGCCACTTACAGGTTCTGAGACCTTGAGTTTGGTCTGAGCATCATTTTCCACTTGGGAAGCACAATTGCAACCACTCAGAGCCATGGTGAGAAGCAAATGAAAGGACTTGTGTAAGTAAAGTATCTGGTATGTGGCAAACAATGACAAATAGTGACTCATTCCCCTGTCCTCAGCTATGCCCTGGGGTTCTCTTGGATAACCCTACATGGGATTACTAAGCAGGCAAAGAGCACTTCTCCCAAGCTGATGAGGTCCTGAAAGTAAAGGGGAAATGATGAAGAAGCAAATATCTTTCCATGGATCATCCAATCTGGGAACAGCCTGATGGTGGCAAAGAAAGAAGTAGCCCATGCAGGAACCCTGTGTCCAGCTGGCCTCCTGCTCCCAGCCTCATCCCTGTCCAGTCCACAAAACCAAGAGGTGATTTTTAGAAGATACATCTGATCATTTCCTTGTCCTACTTTTAAGCCTGGGGTGACTCCTGAATGCCAACAGAGCAAAGTAAAAATGTCTCAGCATGGCATTCAGTATCAGTCCCAAATTTGCTGAGTCTTTTTGCTCACCATGAACCTTGCTCTTCCAGCCACCCAGAAAAGTTTACCATTCCCAGAATACACCAGGACATTGCAAAACAGGGCCTTTGCATGTGCTGTCCCTCCACCAGGAAAGGCCAGCCTGTGCTCTTATCTATCTAAAGCACCTCCCCACTTACAGCTCACCTTTGGGAAGGCCCCCTTGATGCCCTATTCCAGGCATGAGTAATTACAACAGATTTCCTCGCACCTGGTATAAGTGTCTATCGAGACCCTCTGCCTATTAGGATCTGTTTGGTTTTTGGTCCCCTCCATCACTGATCTGTGAGCTCCTCCATCCCAGGGACCGTATTTGATTCCTCTCCACATCCCTGGCTCCAGCACAGTGCCTGGCACATAGTAGGTGCTCGATAAATGTTTAGGTAACTTAAGTGCTCTTTTCATTCACACCCCATAGTCATACCCATGTAAACTAATGATAGTGAAGCCACAGATGGTTTCCCCACAATGAGGCAGAGGGAAAATCAAGGTCCTGGCCACACCTAGTCATCTCCAGCCCAGAGCCAGCTTTTCCCAAGGTTCAAGAAGACTCAAGGTTACAGGATGGTCTGTTGACCCCTCAACCTCCCACTGGGTTAGCTAATGTCAAATTCCAGTGCAATTTATCCTTCTGTGGCCAAACCTATAGACTGCTTGAAAATAATATATTTCATCTCAGGGTTTTAAATCAGTGTTTTAGCCCCTCCTGGAAGGGCTCAGTGTCTCATCAGCCTCTTGAGAGCCTTAGGCCAGCAGCTATGTAACTTTTTGACCAGTATATCTACTGATCATGTGACCCCAGGGGTCACCAGAAAATTTGGAGAATCAAACAGCCTCATGAGCCAAAGGGAATTATGTAACAGTGCAACTAGTCTGTTTACCCTCCCAATGCTTAAATCATCTCTATAGGCTCCCTTCCCAGCTTAATATTTCCAATGACAGAGAACTCACCATCTCCAAGGATATCTTATTCTATCCTTGGTCAGCTCCTCAGATGTCTCCAAGTCCTGCAGTTTTCCATAGATAAATGGTTTTAATCACCCCAGGCCCCCTTCCTTCAACTATACTTCCCCTAATCTCTAAAATGTTTTGAGATAAGTTAAGAGGTTAATGTACCACCTGAATATCTCTGGGTCAAACACTCTCCTTCCACTGAATTCTCATTCTCTGCCCTGGATCACAGCTCTTGTGATATTTCTATTAACATGGCTTGAGGGTAAATGGGACTTGTGGATCCACATCATCCTGATTACTATACAAAGTCAAGAGTGAGCTAAAAGCCCACAAGACCTTACAGACCTGCTTCACTAAGCCAGAGCTCCCTGATCCTGCACTTGGACCACCGCTTCTGCAACCCAACACAGGACCCTCCCTTATTCTTCTGCTGATTCACCTAATAAAATCTGGCCGCACTTAAGCAACCAAGATCTAAAAAGATACTGATTTTTTCAGCCAGCTTCTTCACACATTTTCTCTTTCAACTTTATTTCACCAGCAAATCACGCAAGTGGCTTTTCCATGTCTTCAATTCAAATCATTAAAGTGCTAATATGATCAGGGCTATGATAGAGCCCATAGGCACTCCAATAAAGTCCTCCCCACAAAATGATATCAATTCATTTATCTGCTCTGAATGGGTAAACTAGTTTTTAGTATTCCAAGATCCTCTAAGACCCTATTTGTATTTTCAGTTTTCTCTCTAAGGATATCTAAAGTTTTTTTTTGTTATGTTCTGCTGAAAGCCAGATCAGTTATCTGCTTCATGGGACAGAGATTACTAGTTTAGCACCCAACACCTATGCTTCCTGGCTTTGTCAAGAGGCAATGTGTCAAGATACTATATTTCCCAGCCTCCCTTGCAAATAACAGTGGTCATGTGACATAGTTCTGGTCAATGAGATGGAAGTTATTGGGTAGCCCTCCCAGGAAAACCACTTTTAAAAAGCCAGCTCAGATGACACAGATCCTTTGTTCTTTGCCTTTCCTGCCTGAAATACTGATGTGATGTGGCAGGTGGAGCAGTCATTTTGCAACCATAAGGGAGAAGTCAAGACAATCACAGGCACTGTAGCCCTGAAAGTCATGGGTCTCTGAAATCAATGCTAGAGACCACCTGCTACTAGACTTCTCCTTGCAGGAAAAAAGAAGAATTTCTTAACTGTTTAAGCCACTCATCTTTTGGTTTCTGTTATTCAAAGCCAAGTACAATTCCTAACAGATATGTCACTATCCTACTCTGAGAGCCTAGTGACACTATCTAAAAAGGAAATGATATTATCCTCCTATAACTTATTCTAAGTGAGTCAATATTGGTTTCTAGTGATCTCCAATATGTTTACAATCTTGCCCTAAATAAATCATACTAGATTCCTGCCCAGGATTGAGTCACCTTTCTTCCCTTAAGGAAAAATGGAATTTTTTTTGCCAGTTTCCAGGCTTCAGGCATCTCTCTCCTCTAGGATTTCTGAAAATTAGCATCATTAATTCAAGGGTCTGCAATTTCCCAGAGATCACTCATCTTGCTAAAATTATTTCAACTAGTTTTGAGCTATCTATAAACTTCTACCTTTGAGTGTTGTCTTATCAATGTTAACTTTACCCTTTATGATCTGAAAATTTATCTTCCTTGACCAAAATGATAGCCAAATTCCTAGTTAAAGATTCTTATTTCCTTGACACTTTCCACATCAGTAGATCTGTCCTGAGCAAGGGCATCTTACTAACACCCCATTTGGCAGTCAAGTGTGTCTATACCTGCTTGGCCTTACACCCCAAAATATTGAGCTGAAATATAAGGAAATGCCTCTCCTTTGAATACTTCACCTGAAATACAGCTCTTTGTTCATGAACCCAAAGTAGCTGCAGGCCCAGAATATCTAGAGTTGTGGGAAACTTCAAGTTATGGATTGTATTAGGCTACTCTTGCATTGCTGTAAATAAATACCTGAGATTGGGTAATTTACAAAAAAAAAAAAGAGGTTCCATTGGCTCATGGGTCTGCAGGCTGTATAGAAGCATGGTGCTGGCATCTGCTTGGCTTCTAAAGAGGGACCAGGAAGCTTACAATCATGGCGGAAGGTAAAGCGGGGGCAGGCACATCATATGGTGAAAGCAGGAGCAAGTGAGAGAGTTGGAGGGAGGTACCACACACCTTTAAACAACCAGATCTCATGAACTCAGAGTGAGAGCTTACTTATCACCAAAGGGATGGCCCAAGCCATTCATAAGGGATTCACAACCATGATCCAAACACCTCCCACCAGGCCCCACCTCCAACACTGTGGATTGCATTTCAATATGAGTGTTGGGCAGGGATAAACATCCAAACTATATCATGGATATTAGCCATAGGCTTGCTTCTAGAATCCAGGGAGTCAAGGCCACCAAACAGCCATCTGAGGATGGAACCAGGAGTCTAGAATCTGACCATTCAGGTTCACATGATTTGCTACCTTATTCCCCTGTTGGACCAAGGGACAATTTAGTACCTGCTCCCAATCTTGGTCTCTTCGTGTAACAGGGAAGGTAATAACAGAGTTGCTGTGATTATTCAATTAGATAATAAACTTAAAGTTATTGGCACATAGTAATCTCTCAATTTTTTGCTGTATAATTATAAGCATCATCATTAAAAATCATAACTAATATGCTGCCTCCATCCCTATTGCAGATTTCAAACAAAAAATTATGCACCCAGAAGATATGTAAGGAAAGGCAGTAGAGTAAGGTCAGGGTATTTTTTTTACTGAGAACTTATAACAATCAATAATGTTTCTCCTCTCTATGGTTCATCCCTGCTGGCCTTAATGCAAAATGATGCTTACATTCAGACTGCCCTACTCAAAGTCTAAAGGATTAAAAATTATTGAAATGGCATATACTCATAGGTAGGGAACACTCTATCATGAGCTACAGTGAGATTTTATAATTTTTCTATTCTCTTCCAGTTAGAAGCAGGTCTTTTGTTCTTATATAGCTTTGGGATCCTTGTCTTGGTTTTAATTTTTCTTTAGTTGTAAAGTAATTCCTGTTAAATATACTGCCTGATCATTGTGGGAAGAACAGTGAAGAAAAACCTAATCTGCAAATCCACATTGAGAATTCTGGGCTGCCAGAGCAAATCATCCAAGAGTCCTATATTCCTGGAAAACACTTTGAGATAGAAGGTTGTACCCTTGGGTTTGGGATTGAGACTCCAAACTTCTAGCCATTCCGGACCAGCCATGTCCCAGATTAGAAAGGGACTGATTCTGAGTTAAAAGAATTTGGCTTCCTGAGCATTGTAAGCACGATAAGGGAAGAATCATTCCTAGCTGAGAGAGCTAGTAGTAGAAGGGTAAGCCTCCTAAATAGTCCTCAGTTTAAGAACAGCCTCGACTATGCAGGCAAGGATATAGGGGGCTATTGACTGAGGCCATCAAGGGACAGCAATAGCAAGCAAGTTTAATGGCTGTTGACAGTATGTGCACGACTTTTTAAAAGGAAATAGAATTATGAGACCCAAGATCCCAAGGATGCTACTGAAGGGGAGACTAATAGTATAAGATTATTGTAATTTTCCCCCAGGCTCTGTTTTGTCTATATGCATTTACCTATGCACTCACCCCTCATCATTTCTGAATACACTATATTTTATGCATCCTAAAACTGTTGTGGACTAGGGAAGCAAAGAGTTCATTGTGTTTTGTGCTTTCTAACAAATCTGCCTTCATTGGTTAGGCTCCCTACAGTTGCAAGCAACAGAACCCCAATCTAAATCCACTATAAGCTGAAAGAGGATTTATTATAAGAATTTTGAGGCATCCCATGAAACCTAAGGACAGAATGAAGTTAAGGCTTAATAAAAACAGGCACTAAGGATATCAACATCTCCAAGACATGCTCTTTGTCTCCTCTGTTTCTTCTAAACATGTTTCAATCTTCCCTCTTACAATAGACAGGATTCCTCCTCACAGGGAAAAAAAAATGAACCTATTGCTGTAAAGAAATTTTTAAAATCACTTACTGTTGACATATTGAGAATTTGTGTGTGTGTGTGTGTGTGTGTGTGTGTGCATTTACAACCAAATGCTTTAAATTTTATCACTTCCAAAATTTTCCTATTGATTCTCTCATGTTTTCCAGGTAGCTAATAATCTCTTCTGCAAGGGATAAGCATTTTATCTTATTGTTTGCCAGATGTCTACCTCATTTTTATTTTCTTCTCTAATAGCATTGGTAAGCATCTCTAGAACAATGTTCTATAAGAGAGTTGAGGGAAAGTATCATTTCCTCTTTCCTAAATTTAACAAGATTGTTTTTATTGCTTCACCATAAAGCATTCTTGTAATGAGGATTACCTAATTTTTTATTTATTAACTACCAAGGCATTATTAAAAAGCATCTGGGCCTTCTTCTCATTTCCTTGCCTGGAGCTCCTAATACTCTTGGAATTTCCTGAGTGATAATAATAATAGGACTGTCTTTTGTCTAGTAAGACAATTCTTGACTAGCCTCTAGATAGCTTCAGACTGGGGACAGGTCTCCATAAAGACCAAGCCTTGGTTAGAAGCCTAGAACTTTAAGCCCCACAACCCAGGAAAGAGGGGCTGGGGATTGAGTTAATAATCAATCATGCCTACATGATGAAGCTGCCATAAAAAAAAAAATCCTAAATGAGGGGATTTTTTGGAAGCGGAAAGCTTCCAAGTTGGTGAACACATCCATATGCTGCGAGGGTGGCACATCCTAGCTCCATGGGGACAGAAGCTCCTGTACTCAGGACCCTTCCAGACCTCACCCTATGCACCTCTTCATCTGGCGGTTCATTTGTATTCTCCAAAATAAACTGGTAAACAAAAGTTAAGTGATTCCCTTAGTTTTGCAAGCTATTCTAGCAAATTAACAAGCCTAAAGGGAATGGGGAGTGGCAACCCTTGACTTTGTAGCCAAGTTGGACAGAAGTGTGGGTAACCTGGCGACCTGACACTTGTGACTGGCATCTGAAGTGAGGACAGTCTTGTGAGACTGAGTGCCTAAACCTGCAGTTTAGGTGCTAATTCCAGGTAGCTAATGCCAGGTAGTTAGTGTTAGAATCAAGTTGAATTGTAGGATACCTAGTTGGTGTCAGAATTAGTTGATGTCAGGAGGGGAAAAAAAACCTCTCAAGTACAAATTTTAATAAAAATGAATGTGAAATTATATCTGTATTTTTTCAGAATTCATTCAGATATTAAATTTTCTGGCCTGGCAATATGACAAGTTATAATTATGGGTTTCTTAACATTGAATAATCCTGTTATTCCTTAGTAGAACCCCACTTAGAATACATTAATTTAAAGACACTGCTAAATTCTATGAAACAATGTTTTATTCAGGAATTTTATATCTTTATAAATAAGACAGGTCTGGAATTTTCTTGTGTTAGATTTTGGCATCAATGGTATGTTAAAATTATTATAATACTTAAGAAAATTCTCCTTCCTCTATCTTCTGTGCTAATTTGAATGACATCTGAAATATCTTGAATATTTGAAAAAACTTCACTATGAAATCATCAGGACTCAGGATCTTAAAGAGATCTTTAACAACTTCATTAATTTCTTCTATGTTATTTGTCCAAGTTTTTTAAGCACTTCTTAAGTCATCTAGTGTTTTTAAAAATATGTGAGTTCTGGATGTTCAGGAATGTTACCTTATAGATTCAATGCCATCCCCATCAAGCTACGAATGACTTTCTTCACAGAACTGGAAAAACTACTTTAAAGTTCATATGGAACCAAAAAAGAGCCCGCATCACCAAGTCCATCCTAAGCCAAAAGAACAAAGCTGGAGGCATCACACTACCTGACTTCAAACTATACTACAAGGCTATAGTAACCAAAACAGTGTGGTACTGGTACCAAAACAGAGATATAGACCAATGGAACAGAACAGAGCCCTCAGAAATAATGCCACATATCTACAACTATCTGATCTTTGACAAACCTGACAAAAACAAGAAATGGGGAAAGGATTCCCTATTTAATAAATGGTGCTGGGAAAACTGGCTAGCCATATATAGAAAGCTGAAACTGGATCCCTTCCTTACATCTTATACAAAAATTAATTCAAGATGGATTAAAGACTTAAATGTTAGACCTAAAACCATAAAAACCCTAGAAGAAAACCTAGGCAATACCATTCAGGACATAGGCATGGGCAAGGACTTCATGTCTAAAACACCAAAAGCAATGGCAACAAAAGACAAAATTGACAAATGGGATCTAATTGAACTAAAGAGCTTCTGCACAGCAAAAGAAACTACCATCAGAGTGAACAGGCAACCTACAGAATGGGAGAAAATTTTTGCAACCTACTCATCTGACAAAGGGCTAATATCCAGAATCTACAATGAACTCAAACAAATTTACAAGAAAAAAACAAACAACCCCATCAAAAAGTGGGTGAAGGATATGAACAGACACTTCTCAAAAGAAGACATTTATGCAGCCAAAAGACACATGAAAAAACGCTCATCATCACTGGCCATCAGAGAAATGCAAATCAAAGCCACAATGAGATACCATCTCACACCAGTTAGAATGGCAATCATTAAAAAGTCAGGAAACAGCAGGTCCTGGAGAGGATGTGGAGAAATAGGAACACTTTTACACTGTTGGTGGGACTGTAAACTAGTTCAACCATTGTGGAAGTCAGTGTGGTGATTCCTCAGGGATCTAGAACTGGAAATACCATTTGACCCAGCCATCCCATTACTGGGTATATACCCAAAGGATTATAAATCATGCTACTATAAAGACACATGCACACGTATGTTTATAGCGGCACTATTCACAATAGCAAAGACTTGGAACCAACCCAAATGTCCAACAATGATAGACTGGATTAAGAAAATGTGGCACATATACACCATGGAATACTATGCAGCCATAAAAAAGGATGAGTTCATGTCCTTTGAAGGGACATGGATGAAGCTGGAAACCATCATTCTCAGCAAACTATCGCAAGGACAAAAAACCAAACACCGCATGTTCTCACTCATAGGTGGGAATTGAACAATGAGAACACATGGACACAGGAAGGGGAACATCACACACCAGGGCCTGTTGTGGGGTGGGGGGAGGGTGGAGGGATAGCATTAGGAGATATACCTAATGTTAAATGATGAGTTAATGGGTGCAGCACACCAATATGGCACACGTATATATATGTAACAAACCTGCATGTTGTGCACATGTACCCTAAAACTTAGAGTATAATACATTAGAAAAAAAGAATGAAAAAAAAATTTTCTTGTCTTGTTATTGTCCTTTAATTTCTTTTGTATCTGTGGTTATATCCCCTTTCTCATTTCGATTTTGAAGTATTTGTGGTTTGTCTGAGGATTATTTAAAATTTAGACATGCTAATGATTTCATATAAATATTTTATATAAATATAATTATATTATATAGTTTTATATTTATTTATTATAAGAAATTGGCTCACAATTATGGAGGCTGACAAGTCCCAAGATCTACAGGGTGAGTCAGCAAGCCAGAGACCCAGAAGAGCCCATGTTTCAGCTTCAGTCTGAAGGCAGAAAGAAAAACCAAGGTCTCAGTTTGAAGGCAGTCAGGCAGGAGTTATTCTTACTCGGGGAGGGGGTAGCCTTTTTGTTCCATTCAGGCCTTAAACTGGTTGAATAAGACCCATACACATCAGAGAGTGCAATCTGCTTTACTCAGCTTACTGATTTAAATGTTAATCTCATCCACAAACACCTTCACAGACATACCCAGGATAATGTTTAACCAAATATCCAGGTTCCCCATGGCCTAGTCACGTTGACACATAAAAGTAACCATCACAAAAAGCATTTCCTCCTGCACATCTATTCCTATTTCTATGTCAGCTTCTAGGAGGTCCTGGACTAACACACTGTCCAGTCAGTTCTGCCACCCTCATCCAGGTCTCCCTGAACCCACCACTACCAGGACCATATAAGCAGAAGACCAAGAGAGAGGAGACAAAGTGAAAGAAGAAACACTGTGAATCACAGTGGGAGGGGAGAAAATCATGTCTTTTTCCTTCTTCGCCTTGAGGGAGAAAGGAGTTATTCCCACCTCTCTAAGCAAGTGTGGGATGGAAACTTCAAAGAAATCACTTGTAGAGCTTGGGATAACAGGAAGATGCAGGGTAACTGACATCTCCTTCCCTCATTAGACATCTGCCTAGTCAAGCAATTCAAGAGGGAGAAAAGACATGGGGAGAGATGGCAAGAGGGGCAAGGGCAGACACGGGGCCTCCCCATCACTGTTTCCCAGGAAAAGCCTGGCTGTCAACCAGGAGAGCAAAGGAGATGGGCAATGAATTGGATGTGAGAATAAAGTTTTAACCTGGTCCAGACTGTACGAGGCATTTTTTAAGAAAGTAATTACATTTTAAACCGTTTTATTGAGGTATGATTGACACGCAAAAAGCTATACATTTTTAACATATACAACTCCAGGAGTTTGATGATATAATAAATATACACCCATGAAACCATCACCATAAACATATCCATCAAGGCCATAAACATATGCATTACCTCCTAAAGTTTCCTTCCACCTCCTTGATTAGTGTGTGCATATGTGTGTGTGTGTGTGTGTGTGTGTGTGTCTGTGTGTCTGTGTGTAAGAACACTTAACAGAAGATCTACCCTCTCAGCAAAGTTTAAAGTTTGTAAGTATACAATATAGTTTTGTCAGCTTTAGGCACTATATACTGTATAGTGATCTCCAGAATTTATTTATTTTGCATAACTGAAACATGTACCCTTTGACCATCACTTACCTCCCCATTTCCTCTTCCCCGCTCCCCTCACCCCTGGAAGCCACCACCCTACTTTCTGCTTTTGTGAGTTTGACTATAGTATGTTCCACATACAATGAGGTCATACAATATTTGTCTTTCTGTGTCTGGCTTATTTCACTTAGCATGATGTCCTCTAGGTCCATTTATGCTGTCGCAAATGACAACATAGCTTCTTAAGTCTAAATAACATTCCATTGTATGTATACACCATACTTTATTAATTCATTCAACAGTGAACTTTTAGGTTGTTTTTATATCTTCACTATCGTGAACAATGCTGCAATGAACATAGAAGTGCAAGTATCTCTTCAAGATCCTAATTTCTGTTCCTTCCTAATTTTGATATCCAGAAGTGGGACTGCTGGATCATATGGTAGTTCTAAGTTTTTAAGGAACCTCTGTACTGTTTTCCATAATGACTATACCAATTTACATTCTCATTTACAGTGTACCAGCATTCCCTTTTCTTCACATCTTCATTAACATTTTTTAATAATGGCCATCCTAGCAGGTGTAAAGTGATATCTCGTGTGTTCAACTTGCATTTTCCCAATGATTTGTGATGTTGATCATCTTTTATATAACTGTTGGCCATTTGTATGTCTTTTCTGCAGAAGTGTCTATTAGATCTTTTGCTCATATTTTAATCAGGTTATTTGGTATTTTGCTATTGCATTGCAGGACGTCCTTATATATTTCGGATGGTAATCCCTTATCAGATATTTAGTTTGCAAATTTTCTCCCATTCCATAGGTTGCCTTTTTATTTTGTTGAATTTTTCCCTTTGCTGTGCAGAAATTTTTCCATTTAATTTAGTCCATTTATTTTTGCTTTTGTTGCCTGTGCTTTTGGTGTCATATCCAAAAAAATCATTGCCAAGGAAGTTTTCTGTTTTCTTCTAGTTTTACAGCTTCAGGTCTTATATTTAAGTCTTTAATACATTTTGGGTTTATTTCTGGATTTATTTCCACCACTACTCACCTGGTTTGGGGAGTTGCCAATCAAGCCCTGGAAGTTCAAATGGCCTCCACTACCCAAGAGAAAGGCGGAGTGAAGTGCAGCACTATGAATTTTAACATAGTGTTCAATATATGCTTCCCTGCTAATTGCTCTTTCTTTACCATTCTCCCCTTCTACAACCAAAACTGATTCTCTCCCTTAAATCTGCCCTCCTGCCAGTATTTCTCCTCTCAGTAGAAGCAACATCGTTCATTCAGTTACTCAGGCAAATGCCTTGGAATCATCCTGGATTCCTCTGTTCCTCATTCCCCACATCCAATACATCAGCAAACCACAAGCCTCTTCCTTCAAAATGTATCACGTCACTGACCCCATTTTACCGCCTTCTTCCCAACACCTAGACCAAGCTGCCATCATCAACCTCTGCCTGCAATGGCCTCTGCTGTGGTTTGAATGTATGTGTCCCTCCAAAATTCATATGCTGAAACTCACACCCCAAGGTGATGGGTATTAGAGGTAGACCTTTTTGGGAAGTGATGAGGGCTCCACCCTCATGAATGGGATTAATGCCCTTGTAAAAGGGGCTTCAGAGAACTGCCTGGCCCTTTTTCCCCTTTCGCCATGTGGGAATGCAGTAAGAAACATCATCTATGAAGCAGAAAGTGAGTCTTCACCAGACACTAAATCTGCTGGTGCCTTGATCTTGGACTTCCTAGCCGCCAGAACTGTGAGAAATAAATCTCTGTTGTTTATAAATTACCCAGTCTGTGGTATTTTGTTACAGCAACAGGAACAGACCGAAATAGTTTCCTAATTGGGTTTCCTGCATCTTCTCTTGCCCCTTTCTGTTCTATTCTTTACACAGCAAATAGAATAATCTTCGTAAAACATAAAATAGAGCATTCCACTCTCTGCTTTCAAATCTCCCCAATGGCTTCTTATCACACTTAGAATAAAATCAGTCTTTGCTGTTGCCTGCAAGGCCAGACATGCCCTGGCCTCAGGCCATACCTCTGGCTGTACTTTCTATCCCTTTTTTCTTTGACTGCTACACTCCAGCCACCTTCCCTAAAACCCACCAGGCACACTCCTGCTTCAAGGCCTTTGAGCATGAGGTTTCCTTTGCTTGGAAAGTCTTTTCCCACAGATATTCACATGGTATATTCTCTCGCTTCCTCAAGTGTATGATCAAGTGTTGCCTCCTTGGGGAATCCTTGCCTGATCATGCTAACAAAATAGCACATATCACCACCTGACTTTGTGGCCACATCACTCTAATCTCTGTCTCCATTTTTATGTGACCCCTTCTCTTCTGCCTATATCAAATCTCCCTCTGCCTCTCTCTTAAAAGGACATTTGGGTTTGGACTTAGGTCCCACCCAGATAATCCAGGATTACCTCCTCATCTCAACATCCTTAACTTAATCAAAACTGCAAAGACCCTTTATCTAAAAAGGTAACACTCACAGGTTCTAGGGATTAGGACATAGACTATCTCCTGAAGCCATTATTAGCCTGTCACAGTCCAGCTGTAAAATGTGTTTAATATCTTTCCTGTTTATGACAACCTGATCATTCTCACGATAGAGCTGTAGGATAGTTCTACCCACACAGATTTCTTCTCTCCTCTCCCCAGGATTCCCTCTTTTCCAGAGAAGCTGTAGTTTTCAGCCCAGCTTCTTTTTCTGACTCATCAGAAAGCACCTGGGAACCTGTGATGGATAGAAGGTTACAGCACAAATTTTGGGTCTTGGGTCATAGGGCTGCCACTTGCTGGCTGGTGAATGTAGACAAGTCACTTACACTCCTTGAATCTCAGAGGCGAGGACTTAGTATGTGCCAAACTCTTCATGGATTGCCTCCTTAGTCCTCCCAAGAACACAGTGAGTTAAGTGCCATTTCTAAATAATTCATTTATTTACATTTTATATCAGCAACTACCTATTCTGGGTACAGTTCCAGCACTATAGATACAGCAATAAATAGGAAAATCTCCGCCCTCATGGAAATTACTTTCAAATGGTGAAGACAGATATCAGGGAAATAAAGATAACCGCAGAGAGTGATAATGGCTATGAAGTCAATAATTTAATGTAACAATATTTAGACATGGTGGTAAGGAACTCCTTTAGATGAGGTTGCCTGGGAAGGCCTCTCCAAGGAAGTGGCATTTGACCTGAGACTTGAATAGTATGAAAAAAGTATCATGCAAATATCTAGGAGAAGAACTTTCCAGGTGAAAACAAATTGATATATTCAAGGAACAGAAGAAGCCACTTGCACTCCAAGAAACCAAGATGTCAGGGTATTAGCATCTTGCCTAAGATCACTGGGCTGGTAAGTGGCAAAGTTGGGGCTTGAAGGCAGAAACTGTAATCCAAGAGCCTGCCCTATTCACCACCATGGAAGAATATTCTTCTTACCCCCCTTCCATGTATGTCTTGACAATTAAATGAGAAGGAGAATTAATAATGGCACTGCCCAGTTGATGTTAGTTGTCATCATAGTACTTTCCTGAGTGGGCTTCCAGACCAGTCCCTGGAGAACCAACGACCAGGAAGAGATGTCCACTGATCTGCCTCAAGCTCCAAGGGAGGATGTCAAGGAGGAGCTACCACCTGGCCCTTCTAGTATAGCCACCCACCTGTGCAGGGCCCAGACTAGGGTGCACTCAGGGCACAAACATTAAGGAGGCACTCACTCTTAATGCTGCTTCTGAATTTGCACAAGCCTGAGAGTGAAGGCCTCCTTAAATTCTGCACCCTGGCTTGCCTTACCCTAGTCCCAGCCCTGTATCTGTGCCCCAAACCATTACCTATCCAGAGCTCTTCAACGTGCAAGAGGTTGTCATTCTGGTGGCCTTCCACTGGCTTCCACTCCTCTCAGCTGTATCTATTAAGCCTAGATAACCCAGGGCACAGCCAGGTCTGTCCCCTCTGCTCTGGGGCTGAAATCCCAGCATTCCCCATGCCCCAGCCCATCTCAGCCAGGACAGAGTGCTGGCTCAGCAATTCCTCCATCCAGGTGGCTTCCGCTGATCATGAGTTCACAAGGACTCTGAGTGGCCCTCAGGATGACAGCTCTTTTATCACTTGGTGTCACAGCATGAGCCAGGGAAGGAGGCAGATGATATGACTGTAAAGTCATGTTTCCAGAAATGCCAACCAGCCTTCTCTGACACCACACCTGGACCACCAGCTCCTTTGCCAACTTCCCCATTGTTTTATTATAATGAGCAACAAGCTCATTAATAACTCTCCCCCCACTTCCTGAGTCCCAGCCACAGGGGGAACCAGCAGGTGCAAGGGGCTCACAATTAGTTCTTCATAATGCATGGTTGGCAATAAACCCACTCTGAAGCTGGAACAACCAGGATCCAGCTCCGTGCAGTGTCTGCAGCCACTGGAGTAATTAATGGCAGAGCCATAGGATAGTGAGTTAACCCTTATGAAGCCATCAAGCCTAGGAATCTTGGGAAATTGGAAACCTCAAGAAAATAAAGCATTTTGCATGCACTAGAAGAAAATGGCCAACATCTGGTCTTAGTCTTCCTGCCTGTACCTCTGGTGTTACACCTGCACCACCATTACCACCTCTGTGAAGACACGCTGAATCTTTGTGCTCTGCCCTGTCCTCTCACCCCCGCATTTCCACTGGCAGCCCAGCTGGCTCAGATGAATGTAGGCATTGGGACCTTTATCGGAAAAAGGCAACCTGGGGCCCACGGGGAGATCATGAGGTTAGAAGTAAGTACTACAGGGGAAAATAAGTTCTTAAACTACAGCTGAGCAAAGGGGACCATCCAAGGGCACTAAGCAGGCGTGGAAATCATAAGTGTGTAATGAGCTCAATCTCCACAGTTGTGTGGTTTTCTCCAGCAAAGAATGATAAAGGTTACGTAGGACTGCCAAGAGTGTATCAGACAAAGGTCACAGGAGTGGTATACAACAATGAAGCCTAGATTGGGCATATTGGGGATTCAATCCAGGAAGGGCTGGTAGACTCAGAGTAGGGAAATAAATACCAATGGGGTTAGAGAAAGGTCAAAAAGGCAAGTCAACAAAAGTGAAAGAAAGGAGGAAGAAGGACAGCAGGGAAGGACCTCTTAGAACCTAAGATTTCAGAGGCCAAGTGTTCAAATATAATGACTAGATCCAAACCATGGTCATGGGCTTAGGTAGTTGTCAACAGGGCCATCCCATTGGATAACTCCAGGAATACCATTCACATAAAATTCAAAGGAGTTGTGCAACATGGTGGCTGATGGAGAGTAAGTGCCAGTCATTGGAGATGGGGCAGCCAAGCAACTGTAAAGCAAGGGCAAGGGAGGGGTGACCCTCAGGAGCACTGGAGATGCCCTGGATGATGGTGGGATGATTCAGGGTAGAGAGGAAGCCTGTGGTGTGGGAAAAATAGGACCTTGGCCCCAAGCAAGCCTAACCTCAAATCCAATTCCCCTATTACTGTGTGTCCCTGTAGCTATCTCTTAGCTCCTCTTGGTTTCTGGTGTCATGTTTTTATAATGGAATCAAGAGTACTTAACTTCAGGGTGGTAATGAGAATTTTTAAAGATGGTTTATGTTCAGGAGGATGCTATTCTGTGACTTCTTTGCAATCAGATCTGTTCCTCCCTCTTCCCTAACTCTCCTCTCTATCAAAGAGAGCCAACCTCTGACTTGGCTTCAAGATCAGCTGGCTTCCAGCAGGAGAGGGCCAATGGGAAGTCCTGTTGGGAGACTGGAAGGCAAGAGGAAGGAAAATTCTGGCTATTTTTCCATCATCTTCTTCCTCCCTCCCCAGGCAACATCTCTAGCAAGAGCAGAACCTCCTCGATGTTTTCAGCTCCTGTGGAACAGGACACTTGATATTTCAACTTCTGCCCCAAAGCCCTGATAACTACATCATTTCCCTTTGCCTCTCTAGCCCTGGAGATGGTAGTGGCTTCCCACTTTTGAATAAAGTCTGGATGGCCTCACCCTCTCCTACTAAGCTTCTCAACTTTTCCATCACCTGTGTAATCAACTCCATAATTAAATTCTCCCTTTTACTTAACTGCTACAAGTGCCTAGTGTCATGCTTGGCACACAGGGGAAACTTAAATAGCTTTCAGTTATTTTATGTTTAGGTTAACATTATTAACATTTAGTTTTCCAAGACCTTTGAGAACGTGGTAATCATTCCACCAAAGATTGAGACCAGGATGGGAACAAGATGGCATAACTACTCACATGTACTTCTAAGGACAGAGATGGCTGATGGACGATTACAGGGTATATTGTTTACTTAGGCCTCTAAATCTCACCTTCAAAATGGTGACTGAGTGCTTGTCTTTATATCCCAGGGCCTGACACAGGCCCTGGAACACAGCAATTCCTCAAAGTAATAGTTATTGGACTGACTTGAAATCTTTCTGGATGTGTAGTCAGAACAGCACTTATTTATGAGTCTGGAAAGCCCTGAGTTCAGGTTGCAGGGTCTCACCTGTGTGTGCACAGAAATTTTAGAAATCAGAAATAGATTAGGAGGGCCGAGATTAGAGCAAGATGAGTGAGGCACTTTTCTCAGGTACAGAACTTAAAAGTGCACCAAGAAAACTCAGCAATCAGAATACATATTATATGGCAACATTTTAAAATCATAATTAGTGCAAAAATCCATAATGAACAAAATATCAAAATTTGAATAAAGATAGGATTCACATTATGGATTTTTTTCTTTTTGCCTAAGGCTGTAGTACAGCTGAGCCCATGCTGACTAGAACTGAGTAGCTACTTTCTATAATTACTCCGCTAGTACTTCAGGAGCCTGATGTCCCTGGGGTTAAGATCCTAGTCCCCCCAAACACACACACTGCTATATATAGGCTCTGAAACAGGGACTGGGTCTGCCTTATTCCCTGTTGTAACTTCAGCTTCTAAAACTGTGCCTAGCACATAGTAGGTGCAAATAAACATGTTAAATGAATGAATGAATGAAAGAACAAATTGTCTCCTCTGTATTCTTGGGATTCCAATAGGATCACCAAGAAGGTATTCTAACAATGCACCTTTAAAAAAATAGTCTAAACTCACTAGGAATCAAAGAAATGTAAATTGAAACAACGAAGTGCAATTTTTCACTGTTAGAATTAGCAAAGGTTTAAGAGATTGACAATACGCTGGACTGATGTGGAAATCAAGAAAAGGACATTCCTATGCATTACTGCTAGGACTGAAAATTAATGCAGTGTTTCTGGACAGCAATTTGGCAATATGCAACAAAAGCCCTTGGAAAGTACATTTCTTTTGACGAGCAATCCTACTTCAAAGAATTATTCTAAGGAAATAATTAGGCAAGTGCCAGAAGATGTTTCTTCCAAGGAGTTTTATCACAATATTGTTTATAACAGCAAGAGCTTGCAAACAGCCTAAAGGTCCAAAAGTATTGGACTCATTAAGAAATACTAATAAATTGATGCTTCATATGATGGAATACTATGCAGCTATTTAAAATGATGATATGGCCCCCTATTTACTTAAAATAGAAGGATATTTATGATGTGTTAAATGAGATAAAAGATAAAGCAATTACTGTAATCACCAATTTTAAAGTATACATGGAGAATGTTTAGAAGGTTGAATATGAATGGTGGTTATCTCTAAGTAGCAGAATATCAGATAATTTTAATTTTTTTTGAGACAGGTCTTACTCTGTTACCCAGGTTAGAGTGCAGTGGCCCCATGATCACGGCTCACTGCAGCCTCAACGTCCCCAGGTTCTGGTGATCCTCCTGCCTCAGGCTCTGAGCAGCTGGGACTACAGGCATGCACCACCACACCCAGATGATTTTTCCTTTTTTTTGTAGAGACTGGGTTTTGTCATGTTGCCCGGGCTGGTCTCAAACTCCTCAGCTCAAGCAATTTGCTCACCTTGGTCTCCCAAAGTGCTGGGATTACAGGCGTGAGCCACCATGCCAAGCCTAGATGATTTTAATTTTTTAATCTTTCATTTATCTGAATTATCTAAATTTTATACAATGATCATCTATAACCTGTGTAACTCTGAGAAATGAAAAGTGATCTATTCTGGGTTTTGCATCTTGCTGGGTGAATTTCCCAGCAGGAGCAAGTTAAATCTCCATTATCACCCTAACCTACTTTGGGGCTTCCTTTGTTATCAGAATCAGGTCATAAAATATTGTACAAATTCTTCTCCACTTATGAGAGTCTATTTGCCCTCCCTTGGCCAACACCCCAATGCCCTAAAGAAATGTCTCTGAGATTGGGTCACCATTCTGGCACACTCAAAGTACTCATGGAGCAAAGGTCCCAAATGTCACCTTTTTTCAAACCAAAAGGTTGATCCTGTTGACTGACTGAAGATAAACCTAACATGTCTCAGGCCAGTTTTGCCATTTGTGAAATGAGGATGAGTATTTACCATACAGGTGGACCAAAAGGCAAAACTGGTGTCCAGCAAAATAAGACAGGTCATGCTGCAAAAGCAACCCCAAAATTTCGGGATTGAAACAACAGCTTCATGTCTTACTACACAGCACATCTGTCATAGGTCTGCTGGGGCCCTGCTGCATCTTATCCTCCCTCAAAGACCCAGGCTGAGGAAGACTTCACCTGCAGGATTTCCCTTAGCCAAAGCAGGGGAAAGAAAACATGGCACCTAATGCACTACCTCTTAAAACTTCCACCTAAAAACGGTCCACCATGTCACTGTGTTCTCATCTCATTGGCCAAAACAAGCCACGTGGCACACCTGGACTAAAAGAGAAAGGGAAATTCAATCCTATCACGTGTCTAAGAGACCAAAACCCAGAAATATTGGTGAATAGCAAAAATAACTCCCATAGTAGATGTTTATAACTATTTTTTGCATAAGAGGAAACACTTACTTCAAACCCCAGATTCTGTGGCAAAGAGCACTATGATGTCTAAGGCGTTGTGCTAGGTAAAACTTAACAGTGGGAAATCAATTTAAGTATTGTTTACCAAAGTCACACAGCTAGTAAGGGCTAGATCCAGGATTTGATTCTGCAAATTATGCCCTATTTATCATGTCTATGCCTATTTATGCTATTCCAAGGTTACTTAACTTCTGCCACACTGTTTCTTCCTCATTTTCCAGAAGCAAGTAATATTGACTGCTTGGGGATTTTTCTAACAGAGTGATGTACTCTCCCTGCAATGGTAGGCATAAAGGTTATGTGAGATGGGGCAATGTGTATTGTATAAGGTCTGATCAAAGACAGTGCCTGGAGAAGCCAAGGAGCAGCTTGTCTCCTATGTTCACAAGATGGGGCATTGGGGGTGTCCATTGTATTCTGCGAGATACACCTTATCCCTGGGCTAAAATGAAGGCCACTCAGTTACCAGAGAGCACGTGTCCCCTTACTCAATTATTGGAAGACACATGTCTACTCACTCTGTTATTAGAGGGTATGTGTCACTATCCAAATATGGCAGACAGTCTTGACACATTCATCAGCCTCTCCTCACCACCACACACATGCACCATGTGTACATACATGCACCATGTGCATATACATGAGCTGCCACCTTAGACAGCTCATGCCCACTTGCAATGATGTCATAAACACACATACTGAGACTGTGCCACAGGCAGCATCAACTCATGCAATATCCATAAATGCTTCACATGTTCACATGATTTATGGTCATCCATATGTGTATACATTTTGCTCAACCATATGAAATTGCTCTTTTATTGGCAATTTCATTTGGCTCAAACTAATGTACATACAATTATATAAAATCACAGCTATTTCATGAATGTACATACAACCACACGTACACACACAGCTCATACTCACGACATACACATACACACACACACAGAATGTATGCATGCACCATGTACAACTTGCTTCTCATCCCCCATCTATTGCCTGACCCAGGCGCAGGCTCCGTGGTAGTGAGTTCCATCACTGTCATTGTCAAGGCTGCTATTAAAGCTCAGCTCCAACCATCCAAGAAATCAGTCACTGGGGCTTGGCCTCTGTGGCCCTGGCCTCAACCCGCAGCTGTGCTCAATGTCTCTCCCTACCCTGCCCCATCCAGTTAGCCTTGTCTTTAACCCTAAATACCCCTTTCTTTGCTCCCTGTGTTAGTCCGTTCTCACGCTGCTGTAAGAAACTACCCGCGACTGGGTAATTTATAAAGGAAAGAGATTTAATTCACTCACAGTTCTGCAGGGCTGGGGAGCCCTCAGAAAACTTACAATCATGGTGGAAGGCACCTCTTCACAGGGCAGCAGGAGAGAGAAGAATGAGAACCAAATGAAAGGGGAAGCCCCTTATAGAACCATCAGATCTTGTGAAAACTTACTATCATGAGAATAGCATGGGGAAAATGCTCCCATGATTCAATTACCTCCCACCACGCCCCTCCCACCACACATGGAGATTATGGGAGCTACCATTCAACATGAGATTTAGGTGGGGACACAGCCAACCCACATCACTCCCCATCACTCTTGCACAGCCTGAAAGGCTCCTACCAGCTGAAAGGCTGCCTAGAAGTTGTGGAGCCTCACTCTCTTAGACACTCCAGCCCTATCCTAAAACTCTACACAAACATGCAGACTAGAGGGTGGAAGGATGACCATCAAAGACAGAGAGAGAAGGCCCCTGGGGCTCAGGGCTGCCAAAGGTGAAGATATTTATTGAGCTCCAATTCTGTCAGGTCCTGTACTAGGCACTAAGGATGTTGTAATGAACAAAAGCAGATAGAATCCCTGTTTATACAGTTCTCACATTCAAGGGCAGAGAGGGACAAATTTTTTTTTAAGTACAAATAAACATAAAATTCCAACTCTAAGAAGTGGTATGGAGGAGAGGTATATATGCCTCAGGTTCTTCATCTGTACAATGGGATAATAATAGTACCGACCTCATAGGATCGATGTGAGGATTAAATGAAATAACATGTGTAAAGTTCTTATAATGGGCCTTGATACACAGTAAGTGCTATATATTGTTAGCTCTTTTATTATAGCTAGATTATTCTATATGGAGGGAATTAAGTTAATCAGAGTGATTAATAAAGGCTTCCCCATGAAAGTTACAGCTCAGCTGATACCTGAGGATGAGTAGGAATCAAGGAGATGAAGAAGAGAGGGCATGTCATGTGCAAAGTCCCTGTAGCAGGAGACATTAACTGACAGATGCTCACATGGTTTCAGTGCAAACGGTGAGGAGGTGGTCATTCAGCATGAGACTGGGTGGGCTGACAGGCAGCAGACTGTGCAGGGCATTGAAAGCCATAGCAAGAAGTCAACATTTGTAGAACATAAATGCAATAGGAGGCCTTTGCAGAGTTATAGACAGAGAATAATATGGTTTGCATTTGCATTTTGAAAGACCACTCCTGCTGAAATGCAGAGAATAGATTGAAAGAAGACTACATCAGTCACCAATGGGACACCTTATAGGACAATCCAAGCTGTGTGATGCAAGTGGGCCATTGTTAAAAATTCACTGACATGAGTTAATCCCAGGATGGGATTAATTCACTGACATGAGTTAATCCCAGGATGGGATTAACTCACTGGCAGGGGGACTTTCTCAGTGTAGAGGAGCACAGCAAGGCTGCATCTGTAACCACTGGGGAATGAAGCCCAGGATGGGAGCATATAAGGAGAGGTGACTTTCGGTCCATCACATAGGCAGCAAAGTCATAACTGCAAGACTTGAGTATATTTGGAGCAGGATTCAAGAAGCAGGTGGAAATGAAAGTCCCGGGTTCTCATTCTTGGGGAAAGAATTACTGAAAAGAACAGATAAGGTGAAGCAGATGGCAGGTCACCAGCCACAGAATCAGGAAAACATGACAGAAACCTGCATCATCCAATATTCCCCTGAGGATAACAAGTAACTTTCATCTCACGTGCATGCTCTAGTTGGTTGGGAGAGGCTGCCTGTAGTTCTATGTTGAGAAAAATTCTGAAGTCAAGTCTAGGGTTAGTAAGAGTGTTGTGATTTATTAACATGCCTATCTTGGGCACAGAAGGTAGGAACTAGTGGGACATGTATCATGGGTTTACCACCCCTGAACTATGAATGTATTCATCCAAGCTCTTGTGGTTGTGAGTGACAGAAACCCAATTCAAAATAGCTTAAGCAAAAAATTAAAAAAGAAACATACTGGCTCATATAACTGGGAAGTCTAAGTCTGAGATACAGCAGAATCCAAGTGATGCTGCTGTCAGAACTTAATCAAGCCCTCTCAGTCTCTTGACTTTGCTCTTCTTGATTGTGTCCTTAGGTAGGTTACCCCCTCTTAGGGGTGACCAAGCCAGCCTGTCTGTCCTTAAGGCTATATTCCAAATGAGTCAATGTCATTTTTCATAATACGTCAAGCAAAAGTCCCAGCAAAGGCTCTGATTGGCCTGGCGGGGTTATATGCCCACCCATGGGTGGCAGGGGTATAAGCTTCCTAAAAGCCGTATTTGGAAAGTTCAGTTTCCTGACCAAGATGTTTATAGACAAAGGACTTGGTAGTTCCTAAAATAATCAAAGCTGGACAGACAGAAAGAAAAGGTATGTCCATACAGGGCTTATGTGGCCATGAGGCTAATTCCAGGTTCACCCACTGAACGTGCCCACAGGTTCCTTCCTTTGGTGCCTGTGCAGCTAATGGAAGCTTTGCAGATCTCAGGCTGATGGAGACAGCGACTGTCACGAAGGCTTAATGGGCATCATAGTCAAAGGAGGATATACAGCTAAGAAGCTAATAGAGACTGAAAGCCAGAAAACAGAATCCTAGCATGTCACCAAACCAAGGGCATCAGAAGCAGATATGGTAAGGGCAGCTT
Source organism: Homo sapiens (assembly GCF_000001405.40). Lineage (NCBI taxonomy): Eukaryota > Metazoa > Chordata > Mammalia > Primates > Hominidae > Homo > Homo sapiens. The sequence continues at coordinate 39,167,835 of NC_000020.11, read as the reverse complement.
GGAATAAGAACAGGGAGAGAGGAAAGCAGAAGCCAGTGGGTTAGGGAGGAGGTAGGTGGGCAGTTTTGGTGACCTCCTGGGAGAGGCCTTGCTCTCTGTTTATCTACTGCAGTCTCCGAGGCATTATTCCATCAGTCCGCCCATCTTCCAGGATCTTCAGCCTCTCCCACAACATTGGCTCCTTCCTCTCAAAATACAAAACAGACTCAAGTCCCATCATACTCAAAAAAAAAAAAAAAAAAAAAAAAAAGCCCTTCCCCAATTCTGCATTTTCTTTAATCTACAGTAGCATTTCCTGAGGTATGTGAAGTGTGTTCTACAGCAGCACTATTCCTGGTGTGTGATCCACAGATACTTGCTGTTCACAAACTGGCTCCTGACGTGTAACAAGAAACGAAATTGAGAGCAGCTGTTTAGGAACCATAATAACAATTTGACAGAGTAACTATATGTCTGTTGAATCTAATAATAAAAAGTAGGCCTGTATTTTGTGTATTTTTTTCATTTTTTCAGTAACTCATTTTTGTTGTATTTTACAAAAGTATCAGTCTGCATGCAACAGGTTGAAAATTTAAAACATACACACATGTGCACTGATCTTAACACAGATGGTTTGAGAAATACTGTTTTACAAAATTAGTGTTCTGTGATATATTCAATGTAAAAATAAAATAAGAATGGGTTAATTAAGTATGGGAATGAAAGTCGGTACAAAAGAAGGCATTTTTAAGTTTCATAATCCAAAATAAGTGGTATATTCCTCCCTGAGGCTGAAAAAGCACATCAATTTATGAAAGGCATTCTCTGCAGCCATATCTTGGAACTCTAAGGTTTGAAAGAGCTTTTAGGCTGCAAGACCAATATCCACCAGCTTATTTTCCCAGCATAATTCCTGGCATTTAATATTCAATAATTATTAGTTTGAATAAACTCGTTATCCGGATTGGTTCCTGTTCCAGTTATTCATTTCTGTATAACCAAACACCTCAAAACTTAGTAGTTCAGCATAGCAATTTATCACTCCCTCTCATTTTTCTATGGATTGACTGGGCTCAGCTGGGCAGTTCTCACTTGGGGTTTCTCATGCAGTTGCAGTTACATGGTGGCTGGGACTATGGTCATCTGAAAGGTCAACTCAGCTGGACATCCAAGACGACCTCTTCACTCACGTTTGGCACCTCAGTTGCAATGGCTAGAAAAGATGAGAACTGGCCAAGCATCCCTCTCTACATGGTCTCTCCAGGTGGTTAGCTTGTTCTTCCTCATAGCATGGCAGTCTCAGGGTAATTGAACATCTTATATATTATTTGGCTTTCCCCAGAGCAAGTTCAAAAAAAAAAAAAAAAAAGCAAGTAGAAGAATCCAGTTCTCTTAAAGGCCAGCAAGGCGCAGAACTGGCACAGCACCAATGGAAGCTTTGCAGGGCTCAGGCTAGTGGAGACAGTGACTCTCACCAAGGCTTCAGGGGCACCATAGTTAAAGGAGGATATAGAGCTGAGACACTAATAGAAAGATACTGAAGGCCAGAAAACAGAATCCTAGCATGTCACCAAACCAAGGGGATCAGAAGCAGATATGGCAAGGGCAGCTTGGAATAAGAACAGGGAGAGAGAAGAGCAGAGGCCAGTGGCCAACATATTCCATTGGTTGAAGTAAACATGAGGCCAGCCACTCCATCTCTCAGTGGGAGAATAACAATTTGCAGTTATCGTTGTCCAATACTGTCTCTCTGGCAATACTGCAACCCCTAAGTGATAGATATCAAGAAGAACAATCTTTAATATTATTTTTCATTATAATAATTCTCACCATCACTTACTAGGCCCTGACTTGCTATGCTCAGCACTTCATATCTATTATTCCATTAAATTCTCACAACAATTATTTTTATTTTATAGAAAATGAAGCTGAGGTTCAGAGACTTACTCAAGGTTATACAGAGAGTAAGTGACAGGAATAGGACACAAAACCAAGGCTACAGTCTTGTAGCCTTTTGAGCTTTAGAGCTCACAGTCTTGACTACTGACTTGTCCATTGACCCAACACCTCTGATTCATCTCAATTATCACCCCAAATATTGTTTGGTTTGCCCTTGATTCACCTCCAGAAGATTCACCTGGCCTGCCTAGCTTTCCATCAAGCAGCAAACCTGCCAACAGCTCCTCCCCACATTTCTTTTTTTTTAAATAATGCCCTGTCCATCAGCAATGAGTTAGGAATGACCTCGTAGCTCAAGAACTGCAAGTCATATTTCTGCGGGGACCTATGAGGGGCTGCCAAAGTGCCTCTCAGGCCTGGCCAGAGTGAGCAGGTAATTAGATTGAATCCACTCTTTGGCTCAGTTTCTTTTCCAAGCAAATCGGCCGTTAAGCAATCCATTCTTCAGGCACTCATACATCACCTGAGAACACCAGGCCATGATGGATGAGCTGGGCCATCAGCAAGGCCCACGATGGATGGCTGTCATTCATCACTGTGAGGAGCCAAAGGAGTCATGAGTTACTCTGGCTGTGGCACCTTCCAGCCCCTTTGGGGCCAGAGCCAGGAGGACAGAGGCTGGGAGTGGGGGTGTAGAGCTGGGAAGACTTCTCTGGGAGATGTGTCAGCAACCATAGGAACATTCTGTCTGAGCCACTCCAAAGTAACGAAATGTTTAATGCGGTTTGTTGCTGGAACAAGGAGCTCATAAGAAAAGGAGAATGTAATAGATAAGATCACGGACTTTGGAAATTGTACTTGCCTGATACGTGTCTTTGTTCTGCCTTTTCCTTGTTGTGTAAGCTTGAGCAAAGGATTTACCTCTCAGAAACTCAGCTTCCTCATCTCATTCCAGGTGCTCCTTCACATTTCTTAACCCCTCATAGTTAGTTAGGCTGGGCCATGTGACAAGTTCTGGTTAATGAAACACGTGTGCAAGTAACAGCTGTCACATCTGAATGACACACTAAAAAGTTCCCAGAAGGCTCTCCAACCTCTCTCTTCCCCTGCCACAATAACCAAGAGGTCTCATGCTAAGATATCAGAGCTGCAGAATAAAAATAGCCTGGATGGCTGATCATCTGGAAGGTGACTGCGCTGGAGGGCTGCACAGACCCACAGCTGACATTGAGTCAGCAAGAGATAAACCTTTGTTAGGCTAAGCCATTCAGTTCATTGTTTGTTATGGCAGCATACACTACATGTGTTTGGCTGTTTTGGCATTGCTATAAAGAAATACCTGAGACTGGACAATTTATAAAGAAAAGAGGTTTAATTGGCTCACAGTTCTACAGGCTTTACAGGAACCATGGTGTTAGCTTCTGGGGAGACATGAGGAAGCTTATAATCATGGCAGAAAGCAAAGGAGCAGCAGCCACATCACATGGCAAAAGCCAAAGCAAGAGAAAGAGGTGCAAGGGTGTAGGTATCACACACTTTTAAACGACCAGATCTCGTATGAGCTCAGAGCAAGAGCTCATTTATCACGAAAGGGATGACCCAAACTATTCATGAGGGATCCATACCCATGATCCAAACATCTCTCACCAGGCCCCATCTCCAATGTTGGGGATTACCATTCAACATTAGATTTGGTGGGGACACATATTCAAACTATATCACTAGCCTACTCTGGCAAATACTCCATATCAGGGATTGGCAAACAGCCAGATAATACATATTCTAGGCTTTGTGGGCCAGATGCTCTGTTTCATAATCTTCTTCATTTTGTTTACAACTGTTTTAAAATGAGAAAAAGCATTGTTAGCTTGCAGACCTTACAAAATAAGCCACAGGCTGGATTTGGTCTACAGGTTGTAGATTGTGAACCCCAGCCTAAATCATAAGATTGTTGTGAAAATTAAATGAGATGATGAACACATGCATTTTTTAAATGTTAGCTGCTACTAACTTTAACAGTGGTAATGGTTATTATAAACAGTAATATTTACAACTATGCCAGGAACTCCTGTAGGCATTGGTGATTTTGCAATGAACAAATCATTATGAAACTTATATTGGGGAGGGGGTGGTTATCGTTGTTGTTATGGTGACATCAGTCGTGGCGACGATAGCAAAGGTTATAGGATATTGTAAAAGTTTAATCCAATTCATGGGGCCTAAATCCTTCCTTCTGTTATGATTTGGGACAACTGTCATGGCTGGAGCCTGAAAGAAGCATCCTCTCTGCCCAAGTCCCATGGTTTCCAAGGACAAAATCATCTGGCCATTCCATGTAGCCCTTGTACCATAATAATGATCATAATATTTGACCAGCCCAAGTTCTCACTGAACCATGTCCAATGTTAATGTCCTCCCTGCCACATGCAACCCCAAAACAGTGCTCCAAAAGGTCCCTTTAGCTGCAGAGTGGTTAAAGCTGCCTTGCTCACCCATGTGTAGATCCCTGGTCTGGAAGACGTGCATGCCCAAGATTTGCTGGGGTAAAGATAAAGCCCTCCCTAATGTGTATGGCTTTGAGATGTAGCTTCCGAGTTTCTGTAGTAATTTACAACCTATATTTATTGAGAGCCTGTTATATGTTGGAAACTATCCTATATAATTTATTGACTCATTTGGCATTAACCCAAATGAGACTGAGGGTCAGAGAGGTGATAAACCTCGCCCAACACTACTGTTGAGTGTGGCCAAGGCATAAAAGTGATGATCTTGCTGACTCCAAAATCATTGTGTTCTGCCTGCTACACCACACTGCCTTTCTACAGAGGAAGGACTCATCAACTGTACATTGCAGAAACCTGCACCAAAGAGGCAGAGTTGTTTTTTCTACTGCTGTTTAAAAAGAAAAACAAAAAAAACAAAAAAACAAGAAAAAAAAAAAAGGAATGCCCTTGGGATTTTGATGAGGATAGCATTGAATCCACAGACCACCTTGGGCAGTATGAACATTTTTAATAAGTCTTTCAATGTATGAATATGGGATGTCTTTTCATTTATTTGTGTCTTGTTTTATTTCTTTCACTGATGTTTTATAGTTATCAGTGTACAAGTCTTTTACCTCCTTGGTTAAGTCTATTACTTAGTATTTTTTTCTTGCTGATACTATTGTAAATGGGATTATTTTCTTAATTTCCTTTTCAGATAGTTCCTTGTGAGAGTACAGAAATGTAATTGATTTTTTATGTTGATTTTTCACCCTAAAACTTTATTGAATTTGTTTATTACTTCTAACAGGTTTTTTGTGGAATTTTTAGGGTTTTCTACATATAAGATCATGTCATCTATAAACAGAGATAATTTTATTTCTCCCTTTGTGATTTGAATGCCTTTTATTTTTTATTTCTTGCCTAATTGCTCTAGCTAAGATTTCCAGCACTGTCTTGAACAGAAGTAGTAAAGGTGGGTATCTTTGTCTTGTTCTAATCTTAGAGAAAAAGCTTTCAGTTTTTCAGCATTATGTGATGTTAACTGTGGGTTTGTTGTTGTATTAGTCTGTTCTCATGCTGCTACAAAGAACTGCTGAGACTGGGTAATGCATAAAGGAGAGAGATTTAACTGACTCACAGCTCCACATGGCTGGGGAGGCCTCAGGAAACTTACAATCATGGCAGAAAGGGAAACAAACACATCCTTCTTCACATGATGGCAAGAAAGAGACGTGCCCAGCAAAGAGGAAGAAGCCCCTTATAAAATCATCAGATGTCATAAGAACTCACTCACTATCATGAGAATAGCAGCATGGGGGTAACCACCCCAGTGATTCAATTACCTCCCACTGGGTCCCTCCCACAATATGTAGGAATTATGTTAACTACAATTCAAGATGAGATTTGGGTGGGGACACAGACAAACCACATCAGTTGTATATGGCCTTTATTGTTAGAGCAAAATTTTTTTAAATAGAGAATCAAAAAACAATAAAGTCAACAAAACTAAGAGTTCAGTTCTTGAAAAGATAAAAATTGAAAAACCTTTATCTACACTAAGAAAAAAGAGAAAAGACTCAAAATCAGAAGTAAAAGAGGAGCCATTAAAACTGATGCCACAGACATAAAAAGGACTGTAAAAGACTACTATGAACAATTACATGCTAATAAATGGAATAACCTAGAATTCATAAATTTCTAGAAACATATAACCTACCAAGCCTGAATCATTAAAAAATAGAAAACCTAAGAGACCAATAACAAATGAGGACATTGAATCAGTAATCAAAAAATCTCCCAATAGAGAAAACCCAGGACCAGATGGCTTCACTGGTTAATTCAACCAAATATTTAAAGGAGAACTAACACGAATCCTTCTCAAACTCTTCAAAAAAACTGAAGAGGAAGGAACACTTCCAAACTCATTTTACAAGGCCATCATTACCCTGATACCAAAACCAGATGAGAACACTACCAAAAAGAAAATTATAGGCCAATATCCCTGATGAATGTAGATGCAAAAATTCTCAACAAAACACAAGGAAACCAAATGCAACAATACATTAAGTTCATACACCATAACCAAATGGGATTTATCCCAGGGATGGTTCAATATAAGAAAATCAATTAATGTGATATACCACATTAATAAAGAACTAATATGACATGATCACCTCAATAAAGGCAGAAAAAGCTTTTGACTAAATTCAAAATTCATACCCTTAAAATTTTCAACAAAGTAGGTATAAAAGGAATTTGCGCCAACATAATAAAGGCCCTATAAGACAAACCCACAGCTAACATTGCACAATGTTGAAAAACTAAAAACTCTTCCTCTAAGATCAGGAAAAAGACAAGGATACCCACTCTCACCACTTCTATTCAACATAGCATCAGAAGTCCTAGCCAGAGCAATGAGGCAAGAAAAATAAAGGCATCCAAACTTGAATTTAGTCAAAAGCTTTTTCTGAAAGGAAGAAGTAAAATTATACCTGTTTGCAGATGACACAGTCTTATATATAGAAAATCTTACACTAAGCTTCTGGAAAGCAGGGATGTTTGCTTTCTGAAAGCCCACCACCTGTGCAAAGCCTGGGAATGACAGGAGCTCACCCAGCACGGGGCATACAGCCTTCTTGTTAGGACTCTGGTGATGGGGGGAAAGTGGTCATACCTGTGGTGATTTAGAAGGTTGATAACTCATCACTCACTACCAGGTGAATCTGGATAAGCATGTTCTTCCTGTAAATGGCACCACAATCCATCCGCATGCTCAAACTGAAAACTAGGAGTCATTCCTGCTTTCTCCCTAATCCCACCCAATTCATTAACAACTCCTGTCGACCTGAACTCCTGAGCACGCCTGAGATCCAGCCACCTCTCTCCATCTCATCCACCCTCACCAAGCCCTGGCCACCACCATCTCTTCCAGAACAACTGCAGCAGCCTCCTCATCAGTCGTCCTGCTTTTCCTCTTACTTCCCTTCAATCTATTCTCCATGTTGTAGCCATAGCAATCTCTGTAAAATGGAAGTGAAACCATGCTATTCCCCCAAAATACTTTCCATTGCTCCTAACAGAAATCCTGTTGCCCTCTCATCACCTACAAGGTGCGGTGTATGGTCCGATCCCTGCCTTCCCCATCCAGCTTACCTCACACCATTCTATCCCTTTCCCAAACAGTCTATTCCAGCACACTGGTCTCCTCTCAGATTCCATAACACATCAAGCCCTTGCCACCTTGGGGCTTCTGTAGGTACTTGGAATGACCTTTCTTTGTTCTCCCTGGCTAGCTCCTTGGAAGTCCTTGGAGAGGACTTCTCTGACCCCCTATCTAAATAATTATTCACCTCACCTTGAATCTCATCACTATGTTTATTTCCTTCCCAGTACCTGTAACAAGCAAAATATTCTTTTATTTGTTTACTTGTTTATCACCCCTACTAGACTATGTGGCTCCATGAGGATAGGATGTGCATCTGTCCAAATCATTACTGTGTCCCCAGTGTTCAGCACAGTGCCTGACACATGGCAGAAGCTCAATACATATTTGTTGAGTGCATAATCCACAGAAAGAAAACCTCACAGCAGGGTCTGCAAGATCCCCATGCCCATGCTGACCTAGCCTCGACCCATCATGTTCACTGTCCACCTAATCACATGGTCTCAACATGTGGCTTCACTGGGCCACTGTCACTTTGGATACAGCTTTCCCCCCACCATGACTCCTGAGAAAGCTCTGAAGCAAAGAAAGTGTTCTCTGTGGCTTTGTGTCCTCAAGGCCTAGGACAGTGCTCTGCACCTGGCAGGCACACAGGAAAGGTTGATGATGGTGCAAAAACTCTGCTTTGAAACAATATTGCAGACAAGGTGGGAGGGAACAGCAGAATCTCACTGATACCATCTCAAAGTCACATGAAGAATCTTTAGGAAACCAAGGAGAATGCTGGAGAAGCCAGAAGAAAAATAATGTATTGATTTTCCAAAACAGGAAGCAGTCAGATTCAATCCCTTTTTTGACTCTAGACCTTCTCATAAACTGGTCAGTTGGCAAGTAATTTAAAAAGAATGAAGCAATTACCATGATCTGATGTCCATCTCCAGAGAATGTCAGGTGAAATTACTCTAATTTCCTTTTTGATGCAGTGCCCATGCTTGGGACTGATAATATCTGTATTTTAGACAAGTATTCATTTAACAAATATTTATTTATTGAGATAGCACCAATTTCAGGCTCTGTGCTTGCACTGTGGATATAGCATGAATAAAATCAGCAGAACCCATGTCCTCAGGTAGCTGCATGAGGTGCCAGACACAGCACACAGCTTAGTAACATGTATAGTATGTTCCATGGCAATGATTGCTATGAAGAAAAACCAAGGCAAGGTAAGGGGACAGAATGAGCAGTGGGGAAATTAGCATTAAGTAGGATGGTCAGGGAAGAGCTGAGAAGGGGGCATCTTGACTGAGACTGAAGAAGGTTGGGAAGCAGACCATGCAGATTCTTGGGGCTGGGGCTTCCCAGGTAGAGGAAGGAGCAGGTGCTTCGCCTGAAATCACAGCATTTTGGAAGACCAAGACGGAAAGACCACTTGAGTCAGAAGTTCGAGATCAGCCTGGGCAACACAGCAAAAGCCCATCTCTACAAAAAAAAAAAAAATTAGCTGGGCAAGATGCCATGAACCTGTAGTTACAGCTACTCAGAAGGCTGAGGTGAGAGGATCACTTGAGCCCAGGAGGCAGAGGTTGCCATGAGCCCACATCATGCCACTGCACTCCAGCCTGGGCAACAGAGCCAGACCCTGTCTCAAAAAAAAGAGAAGAGAAGACATGGCTAGGCATGGTGGCTCACACCTGTAATCCCAACACTTTGGGAAGCTGAGGCAGAAGGATCACTTGAGGTCAGGACTTCAAGACCAACCTGGGCAACATAGCAAGACTTTATTTCTTTAAAAAAAAAAAATAGCTGGGTGTGATGGCATGCACCTAAGGGCTAAGCTACTTGAGAAGCTGAGGTGGGAAGACAGTTTGAGCCCTGGAGGTTGAGGCTTCAGTGAGCCATGATCATGCCTCTGCACTCCAGCCTGGGCAACACAGTGAGACCCTGTCTGGAAAAAAAAAAAAAAAAGGAAAAAAAGAATGGCAGACATCTCAGCAGGGGGCCACAGGTTTGGTTCTTGCCATGTTCTCTTATAACTTCACAGACTTAGAAAATGAGCTCTTCTCTTCCAAAGCCTAAGAAATAACTGATTTGGCAGAATCAAAATGATCTCCACAAACTGGATGGCTGGGACAAAACCAACAAAGGAAATTCAACAGGGGTGATTCTTTCATCACACATTGAAGTTCGGTTCAAATCATATATTGCATAAGCTCGGGGGAAAAGAATTTGAAATCCTGTGGACCCTCTTGTAAAATAATAGGATTGTTTTTCCTGAAAAAGGCACATGGGTCATGAGAGGGGACCCTTCTATAGTCCTCTGTGCTGCACAGAGCACACCTGGAGCTCTGTGCCCAGCTCAAGGATCTTCCCTGGCTTGACCCAACTCAAACCAATGGCAAAAGCCATGTCCGGCAGAACATTAGCAAGGTGCTAGGGAGCATAGCTCACATTGCCCTTCATCCCAAATTCGGACTCCTGAGGTGAGGATGTGAACCCCAGGTTTCCCCACCCTCCTTGACATGAGAGTCCAATACCCCTCACCATGCCCCAGTGTCCATCCACAGAGATGGACTGCGGTGAGCCTGCCCCAAAGAAGACTGGGAAGAGGCTCACTCTATTATCAGCCTCTGGTCCCAGCCCGAAGGAAGGTTCAGAGACTCAGGGCCTATAGGGGGCCAGGCAGGAGACACTAGTGGCTGATACCTGGAACAACCAGTCACAACCCAAACTCCCATCTCCCTCCTACCACAGATACTGTCATTCTACTCAGGGCCATGTGTTAGGGAACGTGAGACTGAGTCAGCCTTTGGGGACACACCTGCTGGAGGTTATCAAAGGCACTCACCCAGAACCATCACTGGCATGGGTCAGGCCTGCAGCTCCTTGAACCTCAGCAGGAGCTAGATGGGGAAGAGGAGCAGGCTGGGGCTGGCCACCTGGCTGTGGACCTGGCCCCAAGGTGAGAAGTCAGCAGTCCAGTGCCAATGTCCACAGAGGTATAGCAAATTCAGTTCCACTCGGCCTACATCAATATCCAGATGCATCCAACCCTGATCAGGATACCAGACCTGGGGACAGAGTGACAGAGTCCAGTGCAATAGGGAGTGTTAGGAGAGGGCGAAGAGTCAGGGTCCAGCCAAGCAAAACAGGATCAGAGCAGGATTCCAGCAACTGAGACACCATAAGAGCTAGCAGATCAGTCAAATGAGAAGTTTCTAGTACTGCTATACCACTCAGGCAAGGGAAACTGTGCTCTCAGTGGGGAGCTGAGGAAGACTATGACCTGGTGGAAGTGAGGCGACGCCAGGCATTGAAGCAGCAGGCTGAAGGCCAGGAAACAGAGGCAGTGGCTCTCCAGCCAGCCTGTTCACATTGAGCCTATACTCCAGTGAGATTTGCCAGGTATGGAGAGCTTCTGAAAGTCACAGTGACCCATCTCTGGCCAGGAACCTGGTCCTCCTCCTTCAAACCCTGTCACTAGGGCAGTGTGCTCTGCTCTCTGCCTGGTTATTGAATCCTCCCTCCAGGAAACTGGTCATTGCAGAGGAAAGCTAAATTGCATGTGTTTGCCAAGGAAAGGAATCCCTGCAGCAAGAATCTTGGGCAAGCCATCCTTACAGGCATTGGTCCCAGGGGCCTCTCCATCAGTGTACGGAGCCACCCTCCTTGGGTTCCCAGTGTCCGTTCCCCCTGTTCAACTCCAGCCACTCTGGCGCCTCAGCAAACGGTCACCTTTGCAGACTAGCCAAGTGAAAACAGAACTCCCCCACTTCTTGTTCTTTAAAACCCACTCCTGTTTTTTATTTTTTATTATTTAATTCTAGGGCATTTCCAAAACTCAGACAGACTTTTCCACATTGGTTTCTTTTCCCAGTTGCCCATTCCAAAAGGAAAACTCAAGATCCACAGTTTCCCTTGCACATCAGGATTGGGGTTCGAGGCCATGCTCTGTGGCCGTGGATGCTGCTGTTGTATTACTTTTATGAGTGTTAAATTTTTAAAAATCATAACAAAGGTTGGCTCCGGCAGTCGTGCATGCTGAGGCCTCACAATGCTTGCTGTCGTAAGGGGCTGATTACTCAACTCCATTTATCAAAGTGTCACTTCTCTGACAGGCCCTAATAAATATCCTGCCAGAGACCCCGCACCTGGCAGCCGGGCCTCTCGGCAACACGCCGCTAACCTAATTTGCTAATTGCTGCTTTCCCCATTAATTTTAGTCCTGTCTTGTTTGGTGTTGACATGGAGGAAAAAGAAATGGGGTGGAAAAAACAGACAAGAAAGAAAATATCTCGGGGTCCCCCAGCATTCACTCCGCCCTCCCGCCCCTTCACATAACCACTCAATCGCATTCACCCCTAAATACCAACTTCCTTCCCCTCTCTTCTTCTCATCATGGCTGGGGGAGATTAAACATTTAAAGGTGCAGGTACCATATTTTCCAAAGCAAAAATCAGGACATGTGCCTCATAATAGGATATAATGTTTGAAAATGGGGCCGTTGTAGAAATATAAGGGGCCTGTGGTTACCATATCTAAAGAATTTCAGCCAGGCATCATGGTGTACTCCTGTAATCCCAGCACTTTGAGAGGCTAAGGCAGGAGGATTGCTTGAGCCCAGGAGTTCAAGGCTGCAGTGAACTATGATCACAACAATGCACTTCAGCCTGGGCAGAAAAGCGAGACTCTGTCTCTTACAAGAAGGGGGGAAAAAAAAAAAAGAATGTCATCATTCTAATCAATATCATTGCACTAGCTAGGGAAGAGATTAAGTAGGACATCAAGGGGTTAACAAGTCCAGCCCATCAGTCATCTCCTACCCCTGCAACCCAGAGCCTTCAAGCCCTGAGGTTCCTCATTCCAACCCTCCCTGCATCACAGGTAAACTCCCTTTTGGTCTCTAAAGGTCTCACCTCCCTTTTGGTCTCACTCTAAACAATGATGTCCAAGACAACATCACGGTCTGCCTAAGGATTGACCTTCCAGCCAGGATTGACTCACCCAGATGGTGAAGAGGCCTTACTGTGGATTATCTGGTTATAGATCATTACCTTTGAGCCCGGTGGGTTCAAAGACCTGAATACACTCTCTTCACTGAGATGAATGAAAGTTTCTATCTTAAAAACGAGGATGGCTGTCTCACCCACCCAAGGATCTGAAAATGATCTCCTCCTCCATCTGGGTACATGGAAACCTTGGGCATTGATCTGGTGGTCCCACACTGGACAGACTGGATATATCCATAGATTCTATTTAATTCATGTACTTCCTCATTATAGATTTCATTATAGGCAAATCAGCAACATCAAACAAGACAGGGTTGTGGCACTGCAATTTTTTTTAAAGTTGACTAAGATGGTATATGCTTGTTGTAGAAAAATGTACACCTCCAGAAAGACGCAAAGATTCTTCAATGTCCCATCACTCCAGGACAACAGCCATAGGAGTATATATTACTTTGCATATAGATCATGCTATTATACCACCTGTCTCGTTTTTTCACTCACATATCAAGATGCTCTTCTGTGCCATTAAGCATATATCTCCATCATTCTTTTTAACCATTTTACCAGAATTTATTTACTAGTCATATACGGACAGCTAAAATGGATATTTAAGTTGTTCCGTCTTTTTTCCTATCCACAATGCTGTGATGAATAGCCTTGCACAGTAGTCCCCTTCTTATCCACAGTTTTGCTTTTCATCGTCTCAGTTACCCACGGTCAGTTTGAAAAATCATCATGGCTCAATGATCCAGGACCACTCAAAAGCAAGTTATCCTCCTTCTGATGTATTGTCATAGTGGAAAATATCAAGGTTGATAGTAGCTTAATGCCACATCACAATACCTATGTCATTCGAAAACTCACTTTGTCTCATTATGTAGGCATTTTACCATCTCAGATCTTCACAAGAAGGGTGAGTACAGTATAATAAGATATTTTGAGAGACAGAGAGACTACATTTAAATAACTTTTATTACTGTATATTGTTATAATGGTTCTATTTTATTACTGTTGTTGTTAATCTCTTACTCTGCTTAATTTGTAAATTAAACTTTATCATAGGTGTGTATATATGGTATAGGAAAAAACACGGTACATTTGTATAGGGTTCAGTAGTATGCACAGTGAGAGGCACCTAGTGGGGGATTTGGAATGTATCCCCCACAAATAAGGGGCTACTATACCTACACCTTTGTTCATTTGTACACCTTTGTTCATTTGTCCAATTATTATCCTAGGATAGATGGTTAGAGGTAGAAGCACCAGTTTAAATGGTGTGTACATTTAAAATTTAGATAAACTTTCTCACATTGTCCCTGCAGAAAAGATGAACAAACTTATATTGCCCCCACCATCATGGTGCATGAGATTTTACTACTGTACAACCTCAAATTAGTCAGTTATTTTTCATTTTTAATCATTGCCAGTCCTCTCGGTAACAAATTATATTTTTATTTGCATTTTTATTTGTTGTGAAGTTCAACTGTTTTTATGTTTGCAGGACACTCAAATTTATTTTGTAAATTACCTGTCCTTACCCTTTGCAAATTTTTCTATTTGCATTTTTCTTATTAATTTATAGGCACTTTTTATATATTAGGGATACTGTTCCTTCACCATGTACAAGTTTTTCATCCATTCTTCCTACCATGCCCAGTTTATTACTTCAATTTTCTATATAGTGTTTATTATATGATAGTGGAAAATACCAAGAACATTTGCGTATAATAAAATCTACAGTAGGGAAGTACATGAGATAAGTAGACTCTATGGACATATCCACTCTATTCAGTGTGGGACCACCAGCAAAACACTAAGGCTTCCATGTGCCAAAACAGAGAAGAATATTATATGCAGATTCCTGGATGAGTGAGACAGCCCTAAAATCTCTCAGCTTCCTCATATTCATCTACTCCTTCCCTCGATGGATTGCGAGTTTCCTGATGACCTGAATTCCAGGAAGGAGCTGTTAGAACCAAGCAAGGCTATGTGACAAGTCAGTAGCCCAGCCTTCGAGATTCTCACCTTGACAACAGTGAGCTCTCTGAGACTTCAGTTACCTGGCTTCAGCCTAAATAGAGCACCCAGTTATTTGTCCCCAGGTCACAGCACCATGTATATTTTGTTGAGGATATAAACCATATATCCTCACCAAAAGTGGAGTGTGGGTTAGAAAGAGGGAATGGCATAAGAGTAAAGAAGAAACTAGGGAGAGGCACATTTGAGTTAGTCAAAACATTCTTCATGCCTGAGTTCCATAGCCAGGTTATCACTGGTGGTAGAGGATGAAGTTCAGGTGATCACATACGCTGGAGGCAGAAGATCAAGGACAACACCCAAGTGTACAGGGATATGTGTGCATGTTTACATTCCAGCTGCTCAGTGTCCACAGGTGTATTCACATGCAGGCTCAGGTGTGTGTACAAAGCTGTGTGGCAGGCATGGGTGGGAATGAACTGAACAAGGCTGACATGAGTGTGTCCAAGTCCATCTTTGTACAAGCCTGCCAGTGTAATTATCTACTTAGAGACTGTGCCTGGACAGAGAAATGAAGATAAATGTCTTTGTATACAAGGACAGGGTTGCAATATCTGTGAGACTATAAAGGACAAGAGACATTAGACTCAACGCAGTAACTTTTCTAAATGTTTTCCAGATTTACACACTCAGTCCCAGAGGTGCTGAAACTACATCAGAACTAAGACCATGTGTTTGAAATACCCTCATCCTCTTTCATATACTTGGAAAACTTCTACTTCTACTTCAAGACCCGACTCATTTGTCCCCATCCCCCCAACCAGCCTCATGGAAGAGTTCATCTTAGGACCTCTGTTTTATAATACTCTTCACACCATATTCCAGTTATCTGTGTACACACATTCCTCCTAACTAGCCCATAACCTCCTCCAGGTCAGGACCTGTGGACCTATGTCTTACTTGTCTCTGTACACACAGCATCTGGTTTCCCGGCATTCGGCAGGTAGAATAAACATTTGCAGAATGAGTTCTTGAATGACGGCTCTCTTGGTCACACACACACACACACACACGGCTCTGTTGGCCCTGAGGTCACACAGCCTTGGATTGGATGTCAGCTATAGTACACAACAAAGATATTGGGACACTCCTACTTCCACTAAGTCAGTGACAGCAAGAAAAGAGGTATATATATCCAGGCCTGCTTAATTAAAGCAATCAATAAAAGCCCCCCCCCCCCCAGGCCCTCCAAAGATGTCCAGTAAGGAAGCATTTAGAAGCCTTCTCCTTTCCTCTCACCACTGTCTAGAACATGGGTTGACAAACTTTTTCTTAAAAGGCCAGAGAGTAAATAATCTGGGCTTTGAGGGCTCTATGATCGACTGTAGCTTTCACTTGTCTACTGTTTGAGAGCAGTCACAGACAATACATGAACTACATATGTATGGCATGGCTGCAGACCAATAGAACTGCACAGTCTGCCAATCCCTGGTCTAGAATTCTGAAGTGGAGGAAGAGGCTCAGACCTACACCAAGGACAGCAGTGGCCTCTGTCAAGGGAGGCTAACCCATCATCACCCTTTCTGAGAACCACACAGCCAGGCCCCTCACCCCCACATCAACACCATGCCAAAGTAGAGACGCACTAGAGGCTGAAGACAGAGCTACTGCGTGTGGTTGCCCAAGCTGTGCACTGCACAAATTCAGGCGATGCCATTCACATAGACCTTGATATGAATGGTGCCCTCCCGTGAGTTGGACAACATGTCAGCCCTGCCTAAGGGTTGCCAAGAAGCCTCATATTTGTAAGAGTCACTGGCTGGTGGGTGATCATGTAGACCTTTGGCTGCTAGTCCACTAGTTCAAACACCTGATGGACAAGGGTGTCTCCCCCAAGAAAGGACTGTGAGCCTCTGCTTCTTTGGAAGCAGTGTAATGGGGGCTTTCACATTGCATAGATAATTTGAGGCTGAGAGGCCAGGGCTGAAGGGTGCCTGGAAGGAGTGGACCAGGGACTATAAGGAGTTGTCGGAATTTTTTTAAAGCTGTTTCTGTTGAGACTTAAAGAGCATGTGATTTGGGAATGCAAAGCTGCCTGCCCCCAACATGCCACTGCTGAGTCTGTTGCTCTCAGCTCCTGGTTGCTCAGGAATCCAAGAGGCAGCAGGGGCCCCTGGAAGTATCCAGCCAGGCACCCCACCTAAGGAGCATGGAGGCCAGCTCTGGGGAGGAGGTGAAGTCAGCCTTCATCCTCACAGGCTACAGGGCCCAGCCCCTCAGAGCCACCAAAGAACCACCCCAGATCCCACCCTACCCCAAAAGGCCCCAGAGCTGGCCGCAGCTGGCCCCAGATCCCTCCCAGGATAAGCCTGCTGCCCAGCTCTCAGCCATTAAACTCCGCTGAGCCTCTTTCCAATAGCTACAGATGAACAAAATATTGCCCTGTTCCCAGTTACGTTAAAAGGGCCTAGTAAAGAATAATGGCAAAGATGCTCACGGCCAAAAGCTGCTCTTGATGGCCCTTTAAGCGAGATTTAAAGCCGGCATTTAGCAGTGTCCCTGGATCACTTGCTGGCACCGATCGGTGGGAAGTATGTGCGTGGCGCCTCCCCGGGCCAGCAGGCAGGGCCATTCGTCATTCCAGGCCCCTCTGCCTGCCCCCTGTACTGTGCTGGCTCCCCACTAGCGCTGCCCAAGTCCATTAGGCCCCTGCCTGATCTGCCCACTAATAATCCCGGCTGTCAGGTGCCTCAGGATGAGACAAGCAGAGGGGATGGGGAGGCCGTAAGGTGTGCCAGGATCTGAGAAACTGAGTCAGGGACAGGGGTGGAAGCAAGGAAGAAAAGGTGGTGGGGTCCCTGGAGAATAGAGGGCCCTGTTAATTTACTTATTCAACATGGATTTATAGAACTCCTGTATATGCCAGGCAAGCCAGGTAGAGAGATGCATAAACAAGCACATTTGCTCACTACCCTTATAAAATGTATTATTGGCTGGGCACAATGGTTCACGCCTATAATCTCAGAACTTTGGGAGGCAAAGGCAGGCAGATTGCTTGAGCCCAGGAGTTCAAGACCAGCCTGGGCAACATGGCAAAATCCTGTCTTTACAAAAAAAATACAAAAATTAGCCGGGTGCAATGGTGTGCACCTGTAACCCCAGCAACTTGGGAGGCTGAGGCAGGAGAATCACTTGAGCTTGGGAGGCGGAGGTTGCAGTGAACCAAGATCATGCCACTGCACTCCAGCCTATGTGACAGGAGTGAAATCCTGCCTCAAAAAATAAGATAAAATGTATTCTCCAGAGAAGAGGAGAAATAGTAAACTTTCAATAACAGTAAAGTATGATAACTGTTTTGATAAGGAGAGCCCAAGGAAGGAGCAAATAGGTCAGGCTTGGGGACATCCCTGAGAATGTAGGATTTGCCTAGGACATAAACCTGTGCTGTGTAACACAGTGGCCACCAGCCACATGTGGCTATTGAGCACTGGAAGTGTGGTTCATGCAAATTGAAATGAGCTGCAGGTGAAAAATGTACTCCTAATTTCAATGTCTTGCTACAAAAAAAAGAATGCAAAATATCTCATTAGTCATTTTATACTGATCATATGTTGAAATGATTAGATTTTGAACATTTGGATTAAATAAAATATATTATCTAAATTAATTTCAACTGTTTCTCTTTGCTTTTTTAAATATGACTACTAGAACATTCTGAAGTACATTAAGTGACTCACATTTGTGGCTCACATCATATCTATTGGTAATGTACATGTCATTCAAGATACGCCTTCTTATGAGAGCCAGCCTAGTGATAACTAGTGCTGGCCTAATGATAACTAGAAATGTGCCAGGTGAGGGAGGATAGAGCACAGACCAGCAACTGAAGGTTTAGTAATAAAATCCACCCTACCAAGCAAAAGTCCAAAGTCTGGACCCCTGACAAATAAGCTGGGCTCCAGGAAGAGAAATGGAGGCAGAAGCTTCTCTGTCAGCTTGTGTAAGCATGTTGGATGTCTAGGACAGGCCAAAACTCAGGGAGTAAGCTGGTGCCTGAAGCATTCATCAGCATGGCGGGTCTCCGGCTGCACAACTCACTCCAGGTCCCACCTAAGGATTCTGTCTCAGTTTCATCTTGCCTTCTGGCTCCAGCACCTTGACTTTCCAGCTGCCCTACAAATTATAGGCTTACTCTCACCTGGAGCTCCTTCAATTCTGTACAGCAAGACCCCACAGTGTGGCTTGCCTTTCCTGCTAAAGAGTTTGAGAAGTTCTACTTGTTGGATATACAGTTTCCTTTTCAAACCACAGCAATGTGAGGACTTACCATGAGCCTGGCGCTGAGCTCTGTACTTCACTCACATGCTTGCTTAAGCCTCACATAGACCCTATTAGGTGCTCAGTGGCTGAGCAGACAATAGAAACAGTTTTTTCCTCATTAAGATATTTGAGTTTCTATTCCCATCCTTCATTTCTCAAATCCAAAGAGAGCCTACAGCAAGAATGGTCAATAGGTTTTATTTCATATGCCACTTCCAACAGATTGGTACTGACTGCCTAAAGCATGTGTTGAGAAGGATTCAGAGGTGTAGCAGAAAATCATGGCTTTGATAGATTAGTAATGTCTGCCATGGAAGTATGCATGTGTGGTGTTTGCCACTGTTAATCTTAATTTAGGTCAAATCCTATAATCACTAGTCAGACAACGTTCAAAGCAGATCTATATCCTGGAATTCAATCAACATGTTCAGCAGCTCATGCAAGTATGCAGGGGTTTCACTTGACAGCAAGAAGACATCATGGCATGTCCTCCCAAAAATATACTGGGATTTCAGGATCTCAGGCGGTATGAAGAGAGATTACAGCGGGAGGGTCCTGCTGCTCTGTGCCAATGAGACCACACCTAGACTACACTTTACAGGGACATAACTAACAGAAGTGCACTCAGAAAAAGGCAACCAGGGTGGAAAGGGGTCACAAAAATGCATTATCTGAAGGTTAATAGAATGAACAGAGAGCTGAACCTGGAGATCCAGATGGCATGACTACTCTCTTCAAATAGAATAAGAATTCACTTGTTCAACAAACATTTAATAAGCACCTATTATGTGCCAGATACAGTGCCAGGATCTGTGCATACGACAGCAAATGTGGAGTATCTTTCATCGGCCCCTTCAGATCCATGGGTGCCCTCTCCATCCCGCTCTGTACCCCAAAATGTTCACCTGATAAAACATATCAATGGACTCCCTTACTCCCTCACTTCCGACCAGGCTCAGACAATAGAAGATCAGAAGGCAAGAGGAGAGCGAGGTCAAGGTATTTGTCAAGTTGCTGCTGGTGGCCTCAACCAAAGGCTCCAGCCAGGGCTCCAGTACCACGCCTTTGGGAATGCAAAAACCCTCAGTTATTGGGTTAGTCACAGCTTTCTGGTGTGGCTAGTCCTGGGTAATATACTGTCCCTTGTGGATTACCCTAAGCCTGCCTACACCCTTGTGGGTTTGGGGGGAGTTTTATTGTTTGTTTTGAGACAGGGTTTCTCTCTGTCACCCATGCTGGAGTGCAGTGGTGCCATCATGGCTCACTGCAGCCTCGACCTCCCAGGCTTAAGTGATCCTCCCACCTTAGCCTCCCAAGTAGCTGTGACCAGAGGCGTAAGACACCACACCTGGCTGATTATTTTTTTTATTTTTTGTAGAGATGGGGTCTTGCTTTGTTACCCAGGCTGGTCTTGAACTCCTGGGCTCAAGTAATACTCCTCCTTTGACCTCCCAAAGTGCTGGGATTATAGATGTGAGCTACCATGCCCAGCCTATACCCTTATAAAAAGTCCCTTTATTAAACTCAAACTACAGAATTCAAGTGTGACATCTATTTCTTGCTAGGACCCTTATGAATCATGTGAATAAAGCAGGCTTGGTCCCTGCTCTTAGTAAAGCTTACAGTCTGGTGGGAAAGACAGGTGATAAACAGGCAAACAAACATAACATCGATTGTGGTATTTGTAATAAAGATAACAAGCTTAGTGTAGTAAGTAGCAGAAAGTGGGGGGTACCAAATAAAATGGAGTGGTCAGGGAGGCTCCTGAAAATGCAGCATTTAAGCTGAGATCTGTCTGAGAATTAGCTGGGTGAAGAATTGTTCTGTTGTTACTGAGAACCAAGAGGGGTAGTGATGAATTTGGTCCCCAAAACTTCTCAAATATGGAGTAAGCTGCCCAAAGAGATAGTAAGCTCCCCCTCCAAGACACTAACATAGAGTCTAGAGGGCTCTGGTGGTAGTAATGCCAGAACAAGGATTAATTTCCTGGGGAAGGGGGAGACCAGCGGTGTGCTAGGAGCCTGTCCTAGGAGGGTCACTCCATTCCTCTCTTGTCCAGCCTGAATCTTGGTGCACTACTGCACTCCTGCCTGCCACATCAACTGGGAGAACAGAGAAATAAGGGTGCTAAAATGTGCATGACAGAAAAAGATGGGCAAAATTATCACTGCTCTAGACCAATTTTACAGAGGTGAGAGGAAGAATTGAGGGCCAAGTCCATGAGTAACAAGTGGTTTTAATACATAGTAACTGTGTCTACTGCATACACGAGGCAACCAGGCTTCTAGGATCTGCCCCAATCATGAGGACGTAAGAGCAGAGAGCAAAGAGAATTCTACTCCTCTTGCAATAAGAAGTCCAAGGATTGCCTTCCTCCTCAGGAGCTGGAATCTCAGGAATTTCATGGCTCTCAGCCCTGGATCCCCATTCAAATCACCTGGAGGACTTTTAGAAGGCTCCACCCCCAAAACTCCTGGCATAATTGATCTGGGATCTAGTGTGAAGTCCATATTGAAAGCCACTGTAAAAAGAGCTAAATGGGCTGGAGCATGCAAAGAGAAATGCCAGGGCATCCTGGGAAACTGTTTAAATGAGGTTCTCTCTTAGGAACATTCTCTAGTTACTGTCAAAACTCAGAGTGAAACAGGGTCACTTGGGTGCTTGAAGCTCACAGGTACCCAGTCTCCACTCCCCCAGGGTCCGATTCCCTATGTCTTAGATGAGATCTGGGAATATGTACACTTAATATGCTCTTAAGTAGACTGGGGAAAATACCATTTTGGGGAAAAAAAAAAAAAAGTCCCAAATATTCAGGTTACTCCCAGGGATGACCTCTTAATACTTAACCCCTGCTTGAGAGTTTGGAGAAAGTCAGCACCCTGGGCAGAGGCAGCAGCGGGGGCCATCATACTGGATGCCATCCTTGGTTTTGGAAAATAAAAGCCTAAGGAGAGAGCTTGTATGGCTAGACTAAGATGTAGCCAGAAAACTGAAACAATTGATTAATTGGCAGGTGGGTGGCAGGGCAGAGAATAGGGAGGGGAAGAATTAGGGATTTGAGAATATAAAAATGAGGACTTCAGAGTGACAAAACTAGGCCCAGAGAAAGGGAACATAAAAATTCATGCTTTAACCCCACTGCAGTTGCCTACGGAAAGGGAGGGGGAAAAAAATGAAATAAACTTTGGACTTTGAAATTCAGAAGCAAACCAACTCTCAGCACTTGCATTTTCTGGGCATTTTAGATTCATTTAATCATGTAATCATCAGGATAAGATGTGAGGAAGTTCGTATTAAGGTTGGTGCAAAAGTAATTGTGGGTTTTGCCATTTGCAAAATTACCGCAATTACTTTTGCACCAATCCAATATTATTCCCATATGATATAAAAAACAAATGAGGCTCAGCAAATAGAAATGCCTTGCCCAACACCACACAGCCAGGATGCAGTGGTGCCTGCAGGACGTGGGCACAGGCCTGCCTAACTGCATAACCAACAACTCAATCACACTAGCCCCCTTCCAAAAACAGCTTAGGGACTTTGACACCATCACTCTAGGAAAGGAGACAGGAATCCAAACTCCAAAAAAGACCCAGTGAAGGGTGGACTAGGAACAGTCAAGAAAATAATAATTAGAAAAAACAATGGACAGATTTCTTCTTTCCACAAACATTTGAGCACTTCATGTACACCAGATTCTTTACTAAACGCAAAGGACACAAAAGTGAACTTTTGAAAGACTCAATCCTTACCTTCATAAAGTTTACGCCAAGACCAGGGATGGCAAAGTCGTGCAATTCTGGCCATCACTTCCTGCTCCTGCACCCCTGAGAGACATCACTAATCAACTCCCGCATCCTTTTTACTGAGCCCCAGTTTGGCCTCAAATTCCTTTCCAGGTGACCGCGGCCATTCACATGAAGGCTGGCATACGGAATGAAAACTCTTTGCCATCTTTGATTTGAACTTTAGAGTTTACACAAGAATTTTCTGAATACCTACCACATGCAAACACTGGGAATCTGTCAAGCATAATGTCCCCATGTTATAGATGAAGACACTGCCTTTCAGAGGGCATGCTAACAGAACTCTGTAATGAGCCAGGTCTGCTGTAGGGAGCCCTTCAACAGTGGTCACAGTACAAGAGAAGAAGTGAAGAGACAAATTTGAAAAGAACATTAGAGATCTGTTAGGAAGAATTATAAGGTTGGTGCAAAAGTCACTGTGGTTTGTGGTTTTTTATGTGGTTTTTTTTTGTTGTTGTTGTTGTTTGGGTTTTTTTTTGTTGTTTTTTTTTTTTTTGAGATGGAGTCTTTCTCTGTCGCCCAGGCTGGAGTGCAGTGGCACAATCTCAGCTCACTGCAACCTCTGCCTCCCAGATTCAAGCGATTCTCCTGCCTCAGCTTCCCAAGTAGCTGGGACTACAGGCATGTGCCACCATGTCCAGCTAATTTTTTGTATTTTTAGTAGTGATGGGGTTTCACCGTATTAGCCAGGATGGTCTTGATCTCCTGACCTCATGATCTGCCTGTCTCGGCCTCCCAAAGTGCTGAGATTACAGGCGTGAGCCACTGCGCCCAGCCCATTGCGGTTTTTTTTTTTTTTTTTTTGCTTATTCAATATAGAAAAAATTTTAATGCAAAAAGTTAAAGAAAAGTTAAAACACTTATATGCCATCATCCATGTTGACCATTTGATTGGTTTTCTCCTAGACTTTTTTTTTTTAAATACTTTAAGTTTTAGGGTACATGTGCACATTGTGCAGGTTAGTTACATATGTATACATGTGCCATGCTGGTGCGCTGCACCCACTAACTCGTCATCTAGCATTAGGTATATCTCCCAATGCTATCCCTCCCCACAACCCACAACAGGCCCCAGAGTGTGATATTCCCCTTCCTGTGTCCATGTGATCTCGTTATTCAATTCCCACCTATGAGTGAGAATATGTGGTGTTTGGTTTTTTGTTCTTGCGATAGTTTACTGAGAATGATGATTTCCAATTTCATCCATGTCCCTACAAAGGACATGAACTCATCATTTTTTATGGCTGCATAGTATTCCATGGTGTATATGTGCCACATTTTCTTAATCCAGTCTATCATTGTTGGACATTAGGGTTGGTTCCAAGTCTTTGCTATTGTGAATAATGCTGCAATAAACATACGTGTGCATGTGTCTTTATAGCAGCATGATTCATAGTCCTTTGGGTATATACCCAGTAATGGGATGGCTGGGTCAAATGGTATTTCCAGTTCTAGATCCCTGAGGAATCGCCACACTGACTTCCACAATGGTTGAACTAGTTTACGGTCCCACCAACAGTGTAAAAGTGTTCCTATTTCTCCACATCCTCTCCAGCACCTGTTGTTTCCTGACTTTTTAATGATTGCCATTCTAACTGTTGTGAGATGGTATCTCATTGTGGTTTTGATTTGCATTTCTCTGATGGCCAGTGATGGTGAGCATTTTTTCATGTGTTTTTTGGCTGCATAAATGTCTTCTTTTGAGAAGTGTCTGTTCATGTCCTTTGCCCACTTTTTGATGGGGTTGTTTGTTTTTTTCTTGTAAATTTGTTTGAGTTCATTGTAGATTCTGGATATTAGCCTTTTGTCAGATTGCGGTTTTTATCATTGAAAGCAATAGGAAAAACCACAACGACTTTTGCATCAACTTGATATTACACCTGGGGCTCAGCAGGAGCCCTAGGGCCACTGCTTCCAGTGCCAAGCTGTGTGTGCTTCCTCCTGCCTTCCAAGCCTCCCACCCAGCCCCTGGCTGAAGTCCTGCTTCTGTGGTCTGGCTCTCCTCTGATCATCTCCAGGAGGCATGATGGGAGAAGGAAAGGCAGGTTCCATTCCTGCTGCATCCGCCAACGGGGAGAAGAGGAGGGAGTGGGCCTTTGATCTGCCTGGGCATTAGGCATGCCTTGGGTAAGTGTCCATCTCTGGGTCACTCAGTTAGGCCTTTGGACCCATCTCAGTGCCTTCTGCCAAGCCTGCCATCCCTGGAGCAGTGTTTTTCAAACTGTGCACATTAGAGCCACCTGGGGAACGTGACAACTTCACTGTCCAGCCCCACCCCAGACCAATGACATCAGCATCAGCCTGAGGAGGACAGAGCTGCCAGCAACCTGCTCGAAGTCGAGTCAGCTCTGTGTGGAGATGTCCAAGGTGGAGACAGGCAGCCGGCCTGCCAGCTGCTCGCCCTCCAAACCCCATCCCCTGCCAGGCTCAGCACTGAGCCATGCCATGCCTGCTCCCCAAGGCGCCAGGTCCTCCAAATAAAAACAGGCGGCCAGAGTTCAGGGCCCGCTGGCGTTCTCCCGGTAAGCACCTTTTGTTCCAGGCTCAGAGCTGTTAATTAAAGAGCTGTGATTAATGAGGAAGCACTCCCGGTCCCCATCCAGGATGAGAGGTCCTGGGGATGCTGACTTTGCTGGAGGAATCTGCAGTCAGATTCCAACTGGAGCTATTTATAGTTTGAGCTCCAGTAGGGGTGGGAGAAAGGTGCCCCTCCTCCTCCTCGTCTTCTTCCCCCCTCCCTCCCCCTCACCACACCATGATGGAACATAGAGGTGCGAATATTTATTGAGGAAGAATTTTTAAAGGAGTAAATCTTAGCACATATGTGTTCATATTAACTTATCCGTCCATTCATTTCCCCGACATGTATTTATTGAATGCCTACTAAGTGCTGGGCGCCAGGCCAGTTGTTAGGGCTGCAGCTCTGATTGAGAGCAGTGTGGCCCCTATTCTGGTGGAGTTTGCCCTCCAGGAGAGGAGTTATTACCAAGGAAGTTGACAAGTATGTGGACAATTGTACATAGAGGCTGGAGCTCTGCAGGTAAGAACCACGACTGCATGGGAGTGTTGGAGAAAAAACTCAAGAAACCCTCCCAACATCATACCTCCTAGGAGATTATCACCATTTGCCCTTTAATGAGGAAACTGAGGCTCAGACATGTTAAGGAAGCTAAGGTCCCACAAATAGTGTGTGGCAAGGTCTAGATTCAAAACCAAGTGTGGCAGAGACTGATGTGGCTCTCCAAATCCATTTCCTCTTCTTCCTAGGCACAAAATTTCCCACTCTCCTTGAGATTACATAGCTATGAGGCTGAGTTCCAGCCAGTGAATCAAGAGGAATAATGTGCACCACTCCCAAGGGTGCCCCGCACCAGCCCTTCATGCTCTGTCCTGTCGCATCTAGCTTATGAAATCCAGAGGGACCTTGGAAGCCACATGTTGAAGGCATAGAGTCTCTGTCAGCCTGGATGCCTGAATGGCTTTGTGGAACAGAAAACCCCCACCCACCCTCAACCCTGCCACCAAGTAGACTTTCTGTAAGCAAGAAATACGCTTTGTTGAACCGAGTCCCTGGGATGTCAGAGTTTCCCTGTTACAGCAGCCAGCGTCTCCTAAACTAACACAGCAGATCTCCCTGCTCCAAGGTTATGCTTTATCTACTGCCCCTTAGGAAGATTCAATGACTCCCTAAAACATTTTATAAATAGACACCATTGGGAGCGAAGCACAGAGATGATCAGTGTCCTTCACAGATACCCTCTCAGTCAGGCCTTAGTTCATAGTCACTGTGAATCAGCCCTAAATTGTCCCCCAGCCGTGGCCCTACCCCCTCTCCCCTCTTGAGCTGGAACCAAGGTGCTCCATCTCTGCACTGGGGGATGGTGAAGGAGGGAGCAGAGGAGGTATCTTCCTTAACCAGCTCAAAACTGTGGCATTGCCTTTTCCATGGAGGTAGCGCCTGGTGGCATGGAGGAGGAAGGGGAGCCCTGGAATTCGAGTGAGAAGTCCTGCCACAAATCCTGGGGATACCACAGGTCAGTGCCTCGGGCTTCCATATCCTCCTCCATAAAGTAGGTAAATGAAACTACCTTGGCACAATGTCCAACACATGAACGACAAACAGCTTCAAACCTACCTGCAAATGGGAAGCTTCTCAGAGTGGGAATGTCCTGAAGAAAGATGGAAAGATCTGCCAGGCATCGTGGCTCATGTCTGTAATCCTAGTACTTTGGGAAGCCAAGGCAGGTGGATTGCCTGAGCTCAGGAGTTCAAGACCAGCCTGGGCAACACAGTGAAACCCTGTCTCTACTAAAAAATTACAAAAAAAAAAAAAAAAGCTGGGTGTGGCAGCATGCACCTGTAGTCCCAGCTACTTGGGAGGCTGAGGCAGGAGAATCGCTTGAAGCTAGGAGGTTTCAGTGAGCCGAGATCATGCCATTGCACTCCAGCCTGGGTGATAGGGTGAGACTCTATCAAGAAAGAAAGGAAAGGGAAAGGGAAAGGGAAAGGAGAAAAGACAAGACAAGACCCCAAGTCACTGAGTAGGTAGCTACTGTATTGACCAACCCTAGAACCACTTTACATCCAGAGTCTTCTATATCCAAGCTAATGAATCGTCCTCATTATTTAACACTATTTTCATTGAGGTTTTTGTTACTTATAACAAAAAACATTCTGTCTCATCAATAAGACAGGTGCATAACATCTCTGTGACCCTATATCTCAGCTGTAAAATGGGAACATCACTCACTTTTCAATGATGACTTAGCTAATGGGACAATCATAATCATCATACCCACCTTACCAGATTCCTGTGGGGACCAGGTGAGCCTGCATTTTAACGAGCTGTTTAAAATTGAAGAGCAATTTGCAAAGCTCTATGGAACTGGCAACGTCCTTACAGTTTACTTTACTCAAGTGGTTTTCCCATCTTTTGCAGATACTAAACCCTGTTTATGTAAAATGTTAGTGAAAGCCCAGTATCCGCTGTGGGAATAAGAAGATGACAGTTTTGCTCTTTCTAAGCCCAGCAGGCTTCTAAGGAGGCTGGCTCAAGAGGCAGCCCTGCCCAGCTTTGTTCAGCTAAGCTCTGTGATGGGGTTGGTTACTTGAGTCTATGGGAGCTGAACTGCTTGTCCTATTCAAGGGAGAGGAATTGAGACCGGAGGAAGAAGGGGAAGAGGGAAGCTGATGTTTGCTCCATGGCTGAAGGATGTGATCCTCTCCCCAGCATCCAAAATTTGGGTAGAATGGACCCATCTCCTTATTCTTGGTATGTGGGTGTTGTGGGGGATGCCAACAAGGAGGTCATGTGTCAGGGCAGACGCAGAAGCCAAAGGGGCCAGAGTCTCAGAGGCAGGGGAGGGCCAGAGAGGAGCAGTAACTTTCTTGAGGTCACATAGTGCTGCGAGGCAGGGCTGGGATTCAAATACAGGTGTAGCAGCCAGGTGCATTGGCTCACGCCTATAAGCCCAGCACTTTGGGAGCCCAAGGCAGGCGGATCATGAGGTCAGGAGATCAAGACCATCCTGGCCAACACGATGAAACCCCGTCTCTACTAAAAATACAAAAATTAGCTGGGTGTGATGGAGCATGCCTGTAGTCCCAGCTACTCAGGAGACTGAGGCAGGAGAATCGCTTGAACCAGGGAGTCAGAGGTTGCAGTGAGCCAAGATCGCACCGCTGCACTCCAGCCTGGTGACGAGCAATACTCCATCTCAAAAAAGCAAAACAAAACAAAACACAGGTGTACTTGATCCCAATGCACTGCATTGCATGCACCCCACTTGCTGTGGCTGCAGTCACCAGGACACTCCTGCCACTCACCTGATTTGCTTCCCTGCTGCACAGCCTTGTCCCCAAGGAGGCCTCTTAGCTTCATGTTTGAGAATCTAGAGTCCACAGAGCCATGAGGCTAAGCAAGGCTGAACCTTGCTTGGTGCCTGGAAACTGTGTGTGGTGTGTGGTGAGTCCATAGTGTGCATGCATAGTGTCTGTGCATGCACACATACACGGGTGCACACACTCCTCTCAGATGTGTTGGCCCTGCCCCTGGAAACCTCTGCTGAAATGAACCCCTCTGAGCTGGACTGCACTGCTCTAGGCACGGAGATTTTCCATAATACTCCTTTTCCTCCTTAGACTCCTCTAGCTCCTGTCTTCTGGGTAGGGAAGGCTGGCTATGGGCTTAGGAAGGGTGGTCATAGGACCCCCGTCTTAGGCCAGGATCCCCCAGAAGCAGACCCTGAGACCAGGATCTGAGAACAGCAGTATATTTAGGAGGTGGGTCCAGGTAAGGCACCAGGTGTAGGAGAGTGATATAGGAAATGAAGACAGCCAGTATGGGGTGTGTTCATGAGCTGGGGAACCCTGTAGGCAACTTGGCTTCAATCCACTGGAAACCCCTAGGAAACGGGGTAGAATATGCCTCAGAGCTATCCCAATAAAGGATAATTCCTGTCTTCATTGGCTGGGGCATCAACCTTCAGCGCTTATGGTCTGCCCTGCATGCAATCCAAGGGAAAGCCTCAGTTGAACAGAGAGTAAGATTCCATCAGCAGGAAGCAGAATTGGGGGAGGATGCATGGACAGGGCACTGGCAGAGTCCACTGGGCTCTCATGCTTCTGTCTACCCACCAACCTGGAGCTCCCTGAGAACTTATCTCCTCCCATCCTTTTACCTGCCCCAGGCCCTACCTTTAACTTTGTGGCTAAGAGCTTGGACTCTGAGACAGACTGCCTAGGTTCAAATGCTGCACTTAAAAACTGTGTGGCCTCCAACAGCATGCAGAACCTCCCGAAGCCTCAGAGAAGAAGCCTCCCTTCTCTGCAACACGGGGTTGATGTTTCCCAGGTTGTGCAGCTGTTGTGGGGGTAGAATAAGATAATCCATGTCCACTCTTAGCATAGTGCCTGCACACAGTAAGCACTTGCAGAACGCTAGCTATCACCCAGGGTTGTCATGCACTGCTGTGTAGGTTGACCCTTGTACCAAGGCACCTAGCCAAGGGGGAGCCAAGTGCAGCTGGAGTCCAGCCTGAGCTCCCCTTCCTCGCCAGGCTCCTCAGTGGGGCTGCCTCAGTTCAGAGGAAGGAGTGCCTCATTCTCAATGGCCATCAAAGGGGACAACTTGCTATCACCTATTTGCCTTGAGATGGTGCCTTGTTCTAAATCTCAGAGCTGCCACCTGGGCTACTGGTGGCCCTGAATATTATTATTGTCTTTATTATGACTCCTATTAATAAGTTAATTCATGGAAGGTATCTCTTAAAGAGTAGAAAACGTAGGCCAGTGTTTCAACAATTGCTCTGTCTAACCAGAAGCATTTCTCTAGCAGGTTAGGACAACTTAAGGGGTTATTTTGGTCAATGACCCTTCAGTCCTCTAGACAGCAAGGCCCATGGCATGTCCCCTGCTTCCCAGCCCCAAGGGAGCTGGCAGGGACGGGTGGCTCCAGGAGCACTTGGAGCTATGAGCTGTGTGCCATTCACAGGTCCCGACACTACCAGTTGAACAATCAAAGCAAAAGGTGATTTAATGAGCTTGCAAGGAAATACTTGACCCAGGACTTCTGGGGAAATATCTGTTTTTTTCTGGCACTGCACCCTTGGTTGCCAGTGGGGCATGGAGGGGAAGCTTCAGATTCCTTGTGAAATAATCAAAATAATGGGAGAGAGAGAAGGAAGGACACAAGATTCAGCTGGTCAGCATTTTCCATGTGCCAACTTCCCCACTCCTGCCCACTGTCCAGAGAGCTCTGTCCCTACATTCATGCTCCATAAGGATCCAGCCCAGATCCAGGCACACCAGCCCATCTCCTCTCCTTAGTCATGAAGGGGTCACCCATAGTTTCCCATGGTCCTCAGGGGCCTGCCCCAGCCCCTCCAATCTCTTTATGTCCACTCTGAGCCTCCTCCAAACCTCTTGTGTTCATGCTTCAGGGATTCAAACAGATCATGCTACCTCTGAGAGCAAACCAGGCTCAGACCCTGAACTTACCTGAAGTTTAAAACTTATGAATTTTGTTTTGCAGTTGAAAGAGACCTTTTTAATTTTCTTCTCCCCACACTCCAAACCCCTTCGTAAAACAATCTGAGTTCCCACCAGGAGAGCGTCCCGGAGTTCCCCTCGTGGTATGCACACGGAGATGCACATCCCTTTCCCCAGGGCCCAGCCCTGACTCTGTGTTGTCAAGGAGACCGGAGCTCACAGTGGGAAGCATACTGTTCAGCTTGGAAGGCTTACTCTGTCCACCTGGAACTATTCACCCCTGCCCAGAGCCAAACCTCCCACTCAATCCCTGGACAGTCTGTCTAGAACAACCTCCCACCTTGGTCCAACATGACTAAGCAGGGCATCAGGGCAGAGCTGAACCCCTCACTGCAAACCATCCACCTCACAGACCAGCCTTCCTTCACCTGCTCCCTAAAATCTCCGAATTCTCCCCTCCTTTGGGAAGAGCTTCCAAAAGCCCAGTGCAAACACAGATGTTACCTGCGGCTGGGGCCCTGTTTATAGAGCCATGTTCACACACACTGCACACACTCACAGTTGCAGAATGACCAGGGACACATACACATGCAACCCATAGAGTCGCTGAAGCTTCAATCATAGGAAAGGAAAAAAATCATAAGAACTTGCACACACCCACACCATTTGGGTACATATGTGTATTTACCCCCTTGCCCACATACATACACATGACCATGATGACGCACGTGTGCACATGTTCCCACCTGCACACACAGAGATGCACAAATAGAAATGCAAGCTATATACATGGTCACTCACCAATACATGTGCACATACATGCACAGGGCACACAAAGCACATGTCCAAGTGCATGCACACATACCAACATGCACAGACACGCACATATCCTGGACATGCACACGCACGCACGCACACGCGCGCGCACACACACACACACACACACACACATACACACTCAGGCATTGCTCTGAAAGCCCAGATTAGAGGGAGTCCTGCTCCAGACTGGCTGGGGGGCTGCAGATGTTCCCGTAGAGAGTCAGAGTAATTAGTTCTTTAATTAAAGTCCCCTCGCTGCTCACTGGCCATGAGGACCAGCACACACACCGGCACCTGGCTTGGATCCTGACCATCTTAGAAGCTGCAGATGGGCCAGGATGATGCTGCCCAGAGGCTTGGTCTGGGTGGTAATTAGGGACAAGGACTCAGCTGAACAACTCGCAGCCAACCAGCCGTTTCATTTTTCTCTTCCAGGAGAAAAGGTCCTGCTGGCTCCACAGCTCAGCTTCTCCATGTCCTCATTATGCCTCTGGCTCAAGCTCTCCTTCCTGCCTGCCACACCCTGCATCCCCAAAACACACACACACACGCGCGCGCACACACACACACACACACACACACACACACACATAGAAAGGCCCAGGCCAGCACCAACCACAGCTTCCATCACAGCCTCACCCAGGGCCAAAATAGGAGTTAGTGTAAGTGCCTCACCCTCAGTCACCTACAGCCCCAGCCCACTTCCCACCCATATACCTCCTTCCACAACCCCTCAAGACAAATTCATCCCTTCCATCCTGTGTGTATTAATGCCCTAGGGCTGCCCTAGCAAAATTCTACAGACTGGGTGGCTTCAACAATGGAAATTTGTATTCTCACAGTCCTGAAGCCCAGAGTCCAAGCTGGTTCCTGTTGAGGGCTATGAGAAGTCTGTTCCATAAGAAGATCCTTGTGATGCAGGAAAGGTATGGGCACATCCCTGAGGTCCCCAGAGCAAGTGGGATAGGATGAGACAGGTGGGAGGGCTGGGCAAAGATCAAACCATGGGGGGCTTCGTAGGCCTTATCAAGAAGTGTGGATTTTTGGCTCATGCCTGTAATCACAACACTTTGGGAGGCCGAGGCAGGTGGAACACGAGGTCAGGGGTTTGAGACCAGCCTGACCAACATGGTGAAACCCCAACTCTACTAAAAATACAAAAATTATCTGGGCGTGGTGGCGGGCGCCTGTAATCCCAGCTACTCAGGAAGCTGAGGCAGGAGAATTGCTTGAACCCGGGAGGCGGAGGTTGCAGTGAGCTGAGATCGTGCCAGTGCACTCCAGCCTGGGCGACAGAGCAAGACTCCGTCTCAGAAAAAAAAAAAAGAAGAAGTAGTATGGATTTTATCCTGAGAGCAGAGTGGAGTGCAATGATTCCTTTGTGTCCTGACTTTCCTGTGGAGCCTGTATTGGAAGGGACCAGGGTGGAAGTTAGGAGAAAACAAGCCATTTTGCAGGGCCCTGTATCTCAATGCAGCTGAGCAGGTGCACGTGTCACGGTGAGGTCATGCTCCACATTCCCAGCACATTTTAATCCACCAAGGATTTTGATGTTCAAATAAATACATTCCATTCCATTACTTTGAATGCCAATCCATTTCCAGCCCTGTGCCTGTAAGTAATAGATTGAACATGGCATTGAGGTGATTTCTTAGCTTTAAGTTTGAACCCTCTTGAGCCCCCAAGACTCTGGAGTCTACAGGAATTTCTGGGAATTCCAAAGAGCTGACATGGATTGTATCAATTGCTCAGCAAACTCCAGCCCCATGCCAGGCAGGGCAGGGTTGGCCCTCACTTTTCTTGCACCAGACAGGGGCTCCCTCTGCTTCCTGAACACACCAAGTTCACACTCATCTCAATGTCTCTGCATTTGCTGTTCCCAAAGCCAGGAACATTTTTCTGTTAGTTCTTCCAAGGCTGATTCCTCCTTCTCCTTCTGACCCTCACATCTGTCAGCTGCTCAGAGAGGCCTTCCCTGATCACCCCATCCAAGGGTGGTCCCCCCTGTAATTCTTCCTTACCGCATCCTGCATAGCATTTGTCATCATTACTTCACTGGTTTATGCCTATATTGTCTGAGATGTTCCTCTCAAGATAAATTCCCTGAGGGCCTGGGCATATATCTATCTTGTTTAGAAGGGAGGAGGTAGGAAAGAAAGAGAAGGAGGGAGGGGAAAAAAAAGAAAAGAGGAGAGGAGGGAAGAATGAAAGAAGAAAGGGAGACAGAGAGGGAAGGAGGGAGGGTAGATGTTTGGTGGTAAAGATTCAAATGATCTTAGATTTTAGATCAGGGTTTCTCAACCTCAGCACTGCTGACATTTTAAGCCAGATAATTCTTTACTCCGGGGGATTGTCTGGTACATTCTGATGTTTAGCACATCCCTGGCCTCTACCATTAGATGCCACTATCCTACCATCCCTCCCACCGACCCCCACCCAGTTGTGACAACCAAAAGTGTCTCCAGACATTGCCAAATGTACGCTGGAGAACAAAATTGCCTCCAGTTGAAAACCACTGTTGTAGAGGCTTTCAATCTGTTTTCAACAATCAAATTCTTATTTCAAACATGCTTATATAGAAACTCAATATATGAAACACATTCCACTGGAGCTGCTCTGGGGCTCTGTATTGGTCAGCTACTGCTACGCTAATGCTGCACAACAGGCATGCCAAAACTCAATGACTTCCCACCACAAGTACTGGTTCTCATGCTCCTGGGTCTGTAGGCGGACTGGGCTCAGCTCATCTAGGCTGGGGTCAAGGGATTGGCTTTGCCTCCCACTGAAAGTTGGCTGGAATTGGCTTCAGACCACAAACAAGGTTCAGGTCTGTTCCATGCATGGTCATGCTGGGACTAATTCGGATATGCTTATCATGACAGCAGTTCGCCAGTGTGCATGCAGGAGGGCATGAGCCAGATAGCACAAGTGTGT
This sequence comes from Homo sapiens, assembly GCF_000001405.40. Lineage (NCBI taxonomy): Eukaryota > Metazoa > Chordata > Mammalia > Primates > Hominidae > Homo > Homo sapiens. The sequence continues at coordinate 39,133,457 of NC_000020.11, read as the reverse complement.
TCACAGCTTCTTCTTGTTTGAAGTCTACTAATGTTTCACTGTCACATGAGCAAACACATAGGCAAGACCAACATCAATGGGGCAGGGAAATATGACTCCACCACTCTGCACAGGGAGGTGAGTGAAGCTTTCCTGAACAATAACCCATCTAGGCCAAGCCTAAGAACACACTGATCCAGACAGTTGAGGCTCATGGGAAAGGCCCAGCTATAGTCCTACACTGACTTTTCCCCAATACCAATCCCTCGACGAGCCCCTGACTGGGGCTACACGAGCGCGTCCCATGGCTCTGAACCAAGGGACAGTCCACAGCACACAATCAGGAGCTGGAACCTGTGAGGCTGCCCCAGGCCTGTGTGCTGGGCCACACTCACTGCTTTCACCTTCCTGAGCACCTGCAAGTGTGGCTTTCACTCAGCAAACATTTTCCCAGTGTCTGCTCAGTGCCAGACACTGTCCAGAGCACTGGAGATCCTGGGGTGAGAGTGGAACACACAGCCAAGTGGATGAATGCCCCACTCCCCAGGGGTGGCCCCAACAACCACACAGAAGGGTGCCACTGTCGCCCACAAATCTCCTCTTCTCTGACGAACACTCCTGGCATTAATCTCTTCAGAATCTGTGTTTGGGGCCTCGGAAGGACTCTTTTCCTGTGGCAGCTCCAGCCCCTCAAATAGGGATCCTTTGAGATGGGGACTTGTCTCGTCAAGATAGCATCATGTCTAAACTGAGGCTGTGTCAGCAGCCCCATGAAAATGAATAATGGCCTCAATTATGACCCATATAACAGCCCAATAAAATCTAATTAAAATGATCCATGTCCCATCTGCGAAGTGTAGGGCAAGGCAGCCAGGGAAAGTTGGAGGCCCAGTCAATTCAAGGAGAGCAAGTAACATGAATAATAATTATATTTATATTATTGTAAATAGATCCTATATAAGCATATAATATAATAATAGCACTATTATTATTATTATTATTATTATTATTATTATTGCAGCTAGCATTTATTATGTGCTTCCAGTGTGCCAGTCCTGGGCTAATAGAGGCTATCCCTCATACACTGGACAGGCATCATCCCATTTAATTCTCACTAGCTTGCCAAAAATTAAGTGCTAAGCATTATTCCCATTTTACAGATGAGAAAACTGAGGCACAGAGAGGTTAAGTAACTTGCTCAAAGTGACACTGCTAACATGTTAGTAATGGAACCAGAAGGTCAGGCCCAGCAGTGCCTGGTCTGCAAAAGTTGTTCAGTATGTATGTGTTGGATGCATGAACAGATTTGGCCAAGAGTCTGTCAGGCAACCCAAGATGCCACACAGACAACCAACAAATGTTTGTTTAGCATTAACTAAAACCTAGGTGTTCTATTAAAAATAAAGTGTGGAGAAAGACAAGCCAATCATTGAAATCTAATATGATTATTGCTATAATGAATGTATGTACAAACACAATGGGTAGATGGGGTAAGAGGGACTTAATTCTGCCTGGGAAATCAAGGAAGACTTATGATAGGAGGCGGCACTGAAGCTGGGCCTTAAGAGATGAGTGAGAATTTGCTGGACAGACAAGTAGAAGGCATTCCAGGCAGATGGAACAGTATATGTAAAGTTATAAAAGAGTCAGAGCCCAGCATTTTCTGGGACTTACAAAGCTACATAGTATGAAATAGCAGGCTCATAGTCTAGGCGGAGCATGACACGAGAGTCTGACAAGAAGGCTGGCAAAGTCAGCAGGTCAAGATCATCAAACACCTTTTAGACCAGACTCAGGAATTTTGATTTTGTCCCATAAGCAATAGGGAGCCATGGAAGATTTTAATCTGACCATAGAAGATATGGTCAGATTTGCTCGTTTGAAGGATTCCTTGGGTAGCTGGGCAGGGAATGTCTCAGGAAAGACAGAAAAAAACAAATCCTGGGACATTTGGACATAGCATCCCCTGCAGGAGCACAGATTGACAAATCTAAAATTTTTTTAGAGAAAAACCTTAAAACAGGTCCAGTATGGTCAGATGGGCGGCCTCAGGACCAACTCCTACCTGGCACAAAAGCCAGAGTTGGACCAACACCCGCTGTCTTTCCCTAAGTAATGAGTAGAATGCTCACAATATCTTTAAGAGGTTCTCCATAAGCCTCCCTTGCCTCCCGCCGGGGAAGATGACTTTTGAATCCTGGGTACCATCACAGGTCTCTACTTACCAACAGAATGGCAGGAGATGGTACACGCTGTCTCCTGCCTCAAGGCCTGAAGTTCAGGAAGCAGCTGACTCCTCCAAATGGATGGATCTTTAAAAAACCAAGAACACCAAGGTCACAGGCATGTGAGACAGATTGGTTAAAAAAACGGTCTCTGTCGTTGCTTTTGTCATTCAAATGCTCTTTGACCCAGGAAGAGGTTCCAAATGCATAAATAGAGCAATAAGCTCAGCATCGGTGTTTTGATAAAATGAGAGAGGAGGGAAATACGTATTATAAACACCACCTCCGGGAAGCACAGTCAGAAAAAGTTATTAAACATTCTGTCGCAAGCTTGGCAGCCAGCACTGTCCACCCACCCCGCACTGAGTTCCTAATAAAGGCGGCATCTTGGAATTTGTCACTCTCGAATGCATAATTTACTAGTGAAAAAGCAGCGGTAATACATTGCATTTTCATAAGGGGCTCTGAAGCTGTCTAATTTCCCTGAGCTGCAGGACGACAGGAGGCTATGGCCACTTGCGGGGGCCTCTTTATGCATTATGAATAGACGCTTTGCAATTCAAAGTGACAGCTCAGCCTCCCTGTCGCCCACCCTCCAAAATCCCAGATCATATTGGAAGGCCCAGAACTAAAGCATGGGTCTTCCCCCAAAGCCTACAGCCCTTTGGTGCCTAGAAGTGAGTGAGTGAGAGAGAGAGAGAGAGAGAGAGTGTGTTTGTGTGTGTGTGTGTGTGTGTGTGAAGGTAGAGAAAGAAACAGAAATCATTATCTGGGTCTTAACAAACATAATCAGATAACAGCCTGACCTATCACTTGATTACATATTTGTGAGATGGGGCAAAGGACAAGTAGGCAATGATTGGATAGGACCAATCAGCCCCATGCCCCAGACAAGCCCTCAGTGTCCTCTTCAGCCCCAAAAGTTAGACAAACACTGACTTCTCTGCAACCTGAATTACAAAGTCTGTAGGTGCATAACACTAACAGTCATGGCAACTGGATTGGAAAGGTCTTGGTGAGTCTTTGCAGCGCCCTTATAGGGGAGGCAGAAGCAGAGAATGAAAATCAGGCAAAGAGATGGGCGCAGCCTTGGGCAGAGGCAGCTCAATGTGGTGGAAAGAGTTTTAGACCAGGATGCAGGAGATCTCTACTCTAATCTCACCTCTCACAGCAAAATCTTGGGACCCCAGGCAAGTCCCTCCACTTTATCCAGGGATGGCCTAATAAAAAGTAAAACAGGTTGGTGTATTAGAAAGAGTATAGGACAAGGAGTGGAGAGAATTGGGTCCAAATACAGCTCTGCCAACTGACTCACCTGTGGCAGTGACCACCACAACACCTGGGGTTTTCCTCTACTCAGACACATTTGGCCCCAGTGGTCAAATGTGAACAACTCTTCCTTCCTCGGGGCCAAAGGCCCAGTCCATTTTATTACAGCCTGTCTTACCTTTTATGAAGAGAATGCAGAGCTAAACTGCCTGGGTTTGTCTCAGCTCTTCACTAACATCTCTAGGCCTCAGTTTCTCTATCTCTAAAATGGGAATAAAAATGTTACCCACTTCCAAGAGCTATTAATGCCTGACTCAGGGCAGAGGTGCTGGAGAGGAAGATCACAAGAAAAGTGTGGCACTGAGATGGAGCTCAGAAGTGTCAGGCAAACGAAGGGAGCAAGGGAGATTGTCATGTATGGGCTGAGTCAGGACAAGACAAAATAGCTCCTGGCAGTGCCTATGTTGACAGGGTCTTTCCAAATCCTGCACAGCCAGAGATGTCATGTCCAGCTTTCTGCTCCCAAACACATGTCATCTTGGCTCTCTGATCCCCTTCTTGAGGGTAAGTTGTCAGTGAGCAAGGCCACAAAAGCCAGAGGAACATCCAGCCTCAGTAACAGCTGGTTCTACACAGTGGCAAGTGTGATCAACCCAGTCAATATGAAGATGAGTGAAAAGTAACAATAACAATATCTAATAAGAAGAAGGAGGAGGAAAAGATTGCATTTCATCCTTACAACTATTCCCACAAGAATGAAGCTAGTTCTCTTCATCTTCTCTATCCTCCAGGGCTTCCTAGGCCCTTGGTGATGATAGACAAGCACCCAAGAGTAACAGAGGTGAGTATCTCTTAATAGCTAGTACCAGAATACCCCTGGGAGTAGGGGCAGACTGTCTTGATAGAAATGCCTCAATAAGCCACTGAGGCAAGGAGTCAACAAAGGAAAACAAGCAAACTTCTCTGCATATAACAAGGAGGGGAATATTTGTTACTGAGAAGAGGGGGCAGGGAGGTTTAAAGAGGGAAAATGGTGAGATGGAAGAAGACAAAAAGCTAGAAAAAATGGTGCCCAGTGATACTGACTGAAGCCCTGATGGTAGAGTGGATTGGAGGCTATTAGGGAAGAGACTATTTCCCTGTGGTGCTAACCTCTCATCCCCAAAATACATCTTCACTTGAGTTCTACTACACTCGGTGCACTCATAAATGCTTGGAAGATGTGGTGTTGTTCATGGACCTCAAAGAAAAGACTGAGTTTTCCAGTCTTAATCAAGACTTAAATTCTGATGGCAGTAGGCCCAAGGTGGAGGAGTCACTGAAAATATAACACTTGGAAGAAGAGGCAGAGAATTTGGGAGGGTTTGGGGTAAATTTTAGATATAAAATGGGAGCACCAACCGAGCTTATCCAGAACTCAAAGGACCAGGAGGTGCCAGACATCTGGAATCCATGGATAATTTCTGTCCAAAGTGTATTCCTAGGATATATACAAACTGCAATGAGAGCAACAGGGAAGGGTAGATAACTGCCAATGTGGGCCTTGGCAAGCAAATGAAAGTTTCTCAGTCCGTAAGGCCATTTATTCCAAGAAAAGGAAATGACATGTTCAAAAACACATAGTTATAAACAGGTATTGTGTTTGAGCATGGCAGCTGGTGCAGAGAACTTCGAAGGTTAGGGGAACACACAAGCAGGTGGAAAGTTGAGCATGGAGAGGCAGAGGGGTAGGCCCGGACAGATCAACATAAGTCTCACGGCGAATCAGAACTTTGTCCTGAAGAGTGAGGATCACTTAAAGGACTTTCGTGAGTGTCCTGTCATGGCCAGATCTATGATAGAAGTTCAGAAGAGAGGAGAGCCTAGAGTCACAAAGACAACAGGCCCAGGGAAAAGAAATGAGGCTTGACCCAAGATTGTGACAGCCTAACAAATAAACAGACAAACAATAATAACAAAAACAAAAATAGACAAGAGCAAGATAGTGGAATAGAAGACTCCACCGATTGTCTCCTCCCACCCCAAAAGGACACCAATTTAACAACTATATACAAAAAAAAAAAAAAAAAAAAGCACCTTCATACGAACCAAACACTAAGTGAGCACTCACAGTACCTGGTTTGAATTTCACATCGCTGATGAAGGCCCTAAAGAGGTAAGAAAAACAGTTTTAAATCATTGATGCCACCCCTTTCCCAACCGCCAGCAGTGACAGTGTGGTATGGAGAATCTCACTGTGCACTGGGGAGAGGGAGATCACAGCAATTGTGAGACATTGAATTCAGTGCTGCCCTATTATAGCAGAAAGAAAAATGGATCCAAACTTAGCTGACCCCACCCACAGAGGGAGCATCTAAACCAGCCCTAGCCAGAAATGTATTGCCAATCCCAGTGATCCCAACTTGAGTTTCCACAAGCCTCGCCACTGCAGGCTAAAGTGCTCTGGGGCCCTAAATTGGAAGGGCAGTCTAGGCCACAAGGACTACAACTCTTAGGTGAGTCCTAGTGCTGAACTGGGCCCAGAGCCAGTGGACTGGGTGAGTATATGACCTACTGAGACACTAGCCAGGGTGGTTGAGGGAGTACTGGCATCACTCCTCCCCTAACCCCAGGCTACAGAGCTTGTGGATCCAAAAGACACCCTTCCTTCCACTTGAGGAGAGGAGAGGGAAAAGTGGGGAGGACTTCGTTTTGCATGTTGGATACCAGCTCAGCCACAGCAGGACAGGACACCTATCAGAGTCAATGAGGCCCCCTTTCCAGGCCCTAGCTCCCAGACAATATGTCTAGACATACCCAGGGCCATATGGGAACCCACTGCCTTGAAGGGAAGAACCCAGTCCTGGGAGGATTCAATAACTACCAGCTGAAGAGCCCTTTGGCCCTGAATAGCCAGCAGCAATACCCAGGTACTACACTGAGGGCCTTGGGTGGGAATCCAAGACTTGCTGGCTTCAGATGAGACTCAGCACATTGCCAGCTGTGGTGGCTATCGAGCGTCCTTAACTCCTGCTTGAGAAAAGCAGAGGGAAAAGTAAAGGGAGGGGACTTTGTCTTGCACTTCAGGAACCAGCTCAGCCACAGGGTGGGTAGAGCACCAAGCAGGCTGTTGGGGTCCCCGATTCCAAGACTTGGCTCTTGGATGGCATTTCTGGACCTGCCCTGGACCAGAGAGGAGTCCACTGCCCTGAAGGTCAAGTCCTAGGCCAGGCAGCATTCATCACAAGCTGACTGAAGAGCCCTTGGGCCTTAAGGGAATATTCCAGTAGTCTGGCAGTACTTTCCATGGGCCTGTGGTGCCTGTGACCCCAGGGTGAGGCTCTTCTGCCTTTGGAAAGGGGAGGGAAGAGTGGGAAGGATAGCATCTTATGGTTTGAGTGCCAGCTCAGCTGCAGTACAACAGAACATGAGGTAGACTTCTAAGGTTTTTGACTCTAGTCCCTGGCTCCTGGACAGCACCTCTGGACATTCATTCGGTTCTATGTCCTTCCACCGTGTGATATTTTTTTCTGCTAAGCAGTCATCAGATTTAGCAGCCCCTGTAAGCTGTTTGGCTTAACCAGGGCTTCTCTTTCTCCAAAGTCTGGAGAAGGTCAAATCTCTGAATCAAAAAAGACTGTGGTGACCATGGTGTTCTTCACGTCCCATCAAGATTTCTGCTTCACTGTGGATGTCAAGATAGACACAGATGGGAAGACATCCCTCTGCTGGATTAAATCTTCTTTGAGAGGAGGTGGTTACAACACTGTAGTCTGGGGGGTTGCTGGCCCAGCTACCTCACTCACAACTGCAAACATTGTGTCTACAGGGCACATCCACCCAGACTTTGTGAATCCAAAGGGTAATCGATTAAAGTGATTGCCTTTGCTGTGCATGGTTGGTGATAGATGGGTTTCTTAGGCTGGGTTCCCCAGAAGCAGACCCTGAGAGGAGGATTCAAGGCCAAGTAGTTTATTTAGAGGCAATCCCAGGAATCAACAGTTAGAAGAGTGGAGAAGTGAGACAGGAAGGAAAGAAAAGCAACAGAGTGTGTTGCTGAGTAGTTTGTTGCCATGGACAACTGAGGCTCAATCTCTCTGAGGAATTTTAGGAGAGAGGAGAGTGTAGAACAGCTCTCGGTGTTACCTTACCCAAGAGGCAAGGAAATTGGAGTATTTACCCTCCAACCTTTTACATATCAGGCTGGACAATGGCCTCCAATGATATCATATTCTGATCCCTAGAACCAGCGAATGTGACCTTATATGGCAAAAAAAAAAAAAAAAAAAAAAAGGATTTTACAGATGTAATTAAGGACTTTGAGATGTGAAAATTTTCCTGAATTATCCAGGTGGACCCTAAATGCAATCACAAGTATCCTTATAAGAGGGAAGCGGAGCAAAATTTGACACAAACAGAAGGGAGAAGGCAACATGACCACGGAGGCAGAGATTGGAGTGATGTGGCCATGAGTCAAGGAATGCCAGCAGCCACCAGAAGCTAGAAGAGGCAAGGATCAGACTTTCCCCTAGAGCCTCCAGGTGGAGCATGGTCCTTCTAATATCTTGCTTTCTGCCCAGTAATATTGATTTTGGATTTCTGTCCTCCAGACTTAGAGAGAATAAATTTTTGTTGTTTTAAGCCATCATGTCTGTGATATTTTGTTATAGCAGCCACAGGAAACTAATACACCCCATCAGGTAGTGGGTGAGGGCTCCTCCCAGGGGCATTAATTGTCTGCACGTCCAGCATTCCCCAGAAACAGAGAAAAATATCTCTTGCAGAGTCACAAATGCTTACAATGGAATGCCAGTGTGCACCTCCTGCAACAATAAATGCTAAGGGGCTATGGGCAGGCCACAAACATCAGTCTCAGTAGGCATGACCTGGGTTGGGCTGTGACACTGCATTAACCCCTGAGTTGTACAAAGCAAGGGGCTCTGGTTAAGCTTGTCTGGGTGGCTCCAAGTTTAAATTCTCACCTTTCTCCGCAAGGGAACAGCCTAATCTGCCCAGGTGCTGGGAGCTAAAGCCCCAGGGAGTTAGCGTGTCAGAATACTCAAGAGATAGGCATGGGAGAAAGATGCCTACAGCTTAGGACTAGAGTGGGGAAAACCTGCATCCACAAAACCCAGCCTCCCCAGCTGGCCAGATCTACCCAGATGCCACTAGGCATACCTTCTGGGTTAAGGCTTTGGAGAAGAAGCATGTCAGCTGGCTCCCATCTCCTGACACCCCAGTTATTAATAAATGTTATGCCCAAGAAAAAGGTTCTATGGCCAAACAAGTTTGAGTCAAGCAGAATCAAGTAAAGTTAGACTAACTCTTCAAGAAAGGAATATTATGCAATTTTCCCAATTTTTTGTTACAGATTTTTCTGTGTGAATATCTCATGAGATTTGTTTCATGAAGCACACCTGGAAGTGATGAGCTAGAAGACAGCCGGAAAGAGAAGGCAATGCAAAGGCATGATTGCTACCAGGGTTGGGGGATGTTTACAGTGGACTGAGACCCTGACCTGGGTGCTTTTGAGGGTTGGCTCCTCTACCTTCCCCACTCCGTGAAGAAGGTATTGGGGTCCCCGTTTCACCCGTTTCACAGGTGAACAAATACAGGTTCGACAAATAAATGGTGGTTGGATGTGCAGGGCTAATCCTGCCCATGGGATGATAAAGGCAGCTCCCCCTGGCTGGGTGGGGGTCATCTGAGGATTATCCAGAGAGAAGATGAGCTACACTCAGGTGAATCATAAACTTGCCTTGGGGCTTTCATAGGCTGACTCACGGCTGGAATTTGAGGGCCAGGATGAGTTTGACAACCGGGCTAATCATGAGGAAGAACAGAATGTCAGGGCTTGGGTCAGCTTGGCTCCCTAACTTGTCTGCTCCCTTCATCCCCATGTGACCACACCTGAGACTGTCCACCTGAACGCTGAGCCAGGGGGATCATAATGGAGGGGCATGGCTGGCATTGTGGGGCTTCCTGTCCTGGTTTCTGCTGGACTAGTCTCATCTCTGCTTCATCATCAAAAGGAGTGAAGTGAGCTGATGGGTACTAGAAGTGAGCAGGTTAAGATCGATGGCTGGTGTGTGTGCCTTCAGGCCCCTCAAACTCCTGGCTGTGCAGGGAAGCCCCTCGCTGCCCCTCCAGCATCCACTGCCTTTGACCCCTAGCTCTTGCTCAGCCCAATCAGAGCCTACAGATGTCTTTGCTGCCACTGAGCCCACCTGCCCCTCAACCAGGTCACCCAGGCACAGCATCTTCATATCCAATGATGGACTTTATTAAAGATGCAGAGACCAGGTAGGAACAACCATACTTTACAAACACAGCCAAGGGAAAGCCAAATTCTCCAAGCCTGGTCCAGAGAGGATGTGTATGCTGCATTTGGCTGAGGTACCTTGGGATATTAGACCCATGGAGTCAGCTGAGGTTGGAAAACCAGGTAACAGCCAAGTTCTGGGGCTGGCAGGAAAGGGATGACTGTTGTGAAGCCTCAGACAAGGGCCACAGAGGAGGGGGCAGAACCTGACTTTCTGCTGCCTCTGCAACATCTTGCTACTCTAAGTGTGACCCCTGGAGCAGCAGCAGCAGCGCCTGCAGGCTTAATGGAATTGGCCAGTCTCAGCCCCACCCTATACCCACTGATCAGAATCTGCATTCCAACCAGATCTCCAGGTCATTAGGGCACATTCAAGTTTGAGAAGCTCTGTCTGCGCATATCTGAGCTTCTCTTTCACCAGAACTGGAGGCATGAAGGAAGCAGGAGGAAATGAATTATCTCCCTGCCTCCCTCCCCTTACACTCGTAGGCTTTCTGAGCTGCCTGGTGAGCCCACACCTTCCTCCCACCTGGTAAGTGTGGGGACCAACTACCGGGACCCCTGAGGGGTCCCTTTGCCTCCCTCTTCATCATCGCTCGACTCAATGATCCCAGGCCTAAGGCGGCCTGAGTGGGAAACCGGCTCACCTCCATAGCTAGCCCACACTCTGCACCAGCCCTGTTTGGCCTGTGGGCTTCTCAGGGGGACCCCTGCCTCCATCTGGAAAGAACATGGAGCGATCCCTCCACCCCACACTTTTGTGTCTTTGTAAAATGTTTAGTGAAAAACTGCCGACTATGTAAATCAGAGATCATTAGAGGTTGGGTTTTTCCTTAAAGAATGGATTCAGCGAAATGCTGTTTTCTCCCTGGCTCTGGGTCTCTATTTAGGGGATTGGAGCTCTGCTTATTTATTTATTTATTTATTCATTAGCTGGGCCCACAGTCAAGGAGAAGAGAGCAGGGCTATTAATCTTTCCTGTCATCCATTCACAGATGTGGAGTTCACACCACAGCAAATGTGAAGTCAGCAGTACACAACCACAAGGTGGAAATTTCAAGAGAAACAAGCTTAGAGGAACAAAAAAAAAAAATAGGAAGGGAATGGGGGTGGGGTGGGGGAGACGGAGATGCAGAAACAGAGCACATTTAAAATACAGTGTCTGAGCTTCCCTGGGCGCTTGTGTGTACTGAGGGTAATCTTGTTCTCAGCATGGAGGTGCCATTGATATGTTAATAATAATTTTCTTTTCTCTTCATCCTAAGGAAATGAAGTTTGCAAACTGATTCTGATGAAGGAGGTCTGACTCCGTGTGTGTGTGTGTGTGTGTGTGTGTGTGTGTGTGTGTTCATAGACTGAGACAGACACACACACACTCCCTTCTCTACCTATTTATGGCATCAACTGAGTAGATTCTGGAAATCTCCATAGAAAGGCAAATAGTTGAAGGCTTTAGGTGCCCCTTTTGGGATTGATGTGATTGCCAGATCCTGGGGTGGAGAGATGTCTCAGCGGCTAAAGAAAAAACCTGGCAAAGTCATAAGCAGCTCTCACACTGAGTCCTAACATGGGGAGAACCCACTCTCCAGCGTCCCTAAACCAGTGCTGGTCAGGGTGCAGTAGATCAGAAAAATCAGCCCTCAAGCCTCCTAGAGCTGCTGTCTTCCTAAGCCTGGTGATCTGCACGACTCCTGATGCATGTGTGCCCAATCCTGCTGTGGAGTCGGGCTGGCTACTCCCCTGCCTCAGTTTCCTTCTTGCTCTGTTTCTGCTTTGGAGGCTGAGGTCCTGATACTGTAGCTTTGTGCTTGTCAGCTCTTTCCCCCACTGGGCCTGGAGAGAATGGGTGGCCAGAGTCCCAAAGTGTACCAGCTTATCTGAAGATTCCAGAAACCCTAGTGCTGTACCCACTGCTCAGGCCAGGCTCACTGTTCATTGATCCTAACCTGGTGCAAACCTGACCTCATCCTTTACTTTGAGCTGCTGCCATTCCAGTGGGGTCCTCTCCCCCTCCTCATCTGCATCTTCTGCCCTCTGGTCTGAGATGCAGAAGTCCTAGCCACGCAGCCCCACCCAGGCATAGCCACATCTCAGATGGGGAAGCCTGAGTCCAGTTCTGCAGGGCGTGCGGTCAGCACAACCCTGAGAAAAAGCAGAGAAAGGCTGCCACTTCAGTGGTTGCTCAAGTCAATAACGTCTCTCATCAGAATGTGAGCTCCTTAGGGCATTGAGACCATGTTTATTCATCTCTGCTCCTTGACACTTAGTGGATTCTCGGTGAACATTTGTTGAATTGTGTTGAGTCCCGGGTCAAAATCAGAGTTGACAAAAAGGCTGGCTACCTGCGAGCAGTGACTAGGTTTGTGCAGAAAGTACTGCGTGAGCTCAAGCTTTCCCTCTGGGTTAAGGAAAGGATGGCAAGTATGCTGGGTGATCAGTGGAGGGCTGTGTTGAGCAGGATTCTGAGGCTGTGTCTGGATTCAATGGGAAGGTTTGGTGATCCCTTAGCAAGTCTGCTCTGAGCACAAGAAGGGGCAGGATGATGCTTGCGCCTCACACTAAGCATTAAAGGGTAGCTGCCCTGAGTCATGGAGCTTTGCCCCAAGTGTGGATTTGCAGGTCCTGTTGGAGCCTGAGAGCAAAAGGCACAGGTTTGATGGGAAAAGGAGGAAGAACCAGACATGGAGCTCAACCCACAACTCAAGGAGCCCTGTCTTAGGTGGGGGCCCCAGTAGGAGGCTGAGTGTGGGCACAGGACACTCTGGGACTGGAACAAGTCTTGAAATGCATAGCACAGGGACCACAAGTTAATGAGGCAAGGCCAGGCTACACCCCCACCATTCTAACCACAACCCATCCCAGCACTCATAGGATGTGGCAAACACACGTGAATCGTCCATCCAGAAAATCCCTGCCTCCAGAAATTCCAGCTCCTTTATTGCCATGTTCATTTCACATCTGTAAAGTAGAAATATTAAAATCCAGTCCTAGAAGGAATTGAGAACACATTCATATCAATAGCACAGTGCCAAGCACAGCCCACCGCTGATGGATGCCACCTTCCTGAATGGCGACGAGATGCCCAACATGCTACCAGCACTCTTCCCAGCCTCTTCTCTCAGCTCCCACCACCCAAAACCCCATGTTCTCTCTTACCTCTGGCCTCTGTTCATGCTTTCCTCTGTTGGCAATCTCTCCCCACACCTTTGCCAAAATTTCTGAACTCACTATTTAGGTCTTGGTATAGACATTGCCTACTCCAGGAAGCCTTCCCTGATCCTACTTCCCACCAAAGCCAAGCACTTACTTCTGTCACAGTATTGTCACGCTACATTGTCATTGCCTATTTATCTGTTCATCTGTTTATGTTTCTCTTTTCCACTAGACAACAGACTGGCAAACTTTTTCTACAACAAGCCAATAGTAAATAGTTTAGGCAGTACGGGCCATAGAGTCTCTGTCACAACTACTCAGTGCTGCCATCATAGTGTTAAAATAGCTATAGACAATATGTAAACAAATGAGCATGGCTGCATTCCAATAAAACTTTATTTACAAAAACAGATGGTGGGTCATATTTGGCCCACAGGAAATAGTTTACCCAACTTTGCACTAAGAGGAAGAGCTTTGCAAAGCAGAAAATGTTTCCTATTCAACCATCCCTTACATAGTACCTAGCACAGAGAAGGTACTTGATACTTAATGAACAAAGGAACAGTGTTAAAAAGGTTGTTTGCAAACCCTGTCATGGCCTGATAGGAATAAATGAACCCATCACATTCCTGAAGTATAGAAGGGCTGCCTAAGCATTATGCCTTAGCCTGAATATGGCTGGGACCACTGCATGTGCTAGAGAGTGTGCTGAGCCTGGAGTGTGCCCAGGGTACAGGCCACATCTCCAAGCAGGACACCCTTCCCTGTTCCTCAATCTTGCCTCTCCCTACCTGTCCAGATCCCTGCCATTCCTGATAGGTGGGCACCAATATTGCTTCCCCTGGTACAATTGCTTCTCTTGGACACCGCTTCTGCCACCACTGAGTATGCCACCTCCTACCCGCTGCCAGCCACAGTCACTGCAGATGTCTAGGGCCACAGGGGTTCAAAGCCCCAAGGTGAAGAATTGTGATTTGGGGGGAAAAAAAAAACCCTCTTCCATGTTTAATTCCCCCAGAAGGGACTCATAGCAATGGTGCTTAGGCCCCAACATCTCGCAATGTTTTATTGGAATAATCAACTCTCCCCAGGGACCAGTCATGAGTCAATGGTGGGGATAGGGGTCATACAGGGAAAAAAAACAGAGACTTCCATCATGGAGTACTCAGAAATGCCCCTCTCTTCAAGGACTGGGATTGTGTTATTTGGATAAGCTCCTTGGCCCAGTTCTCTATTACCCCAAAGGAGCTCACTCTCCTAAGAATCCTCAGTTCCTCATTTCAATAGCCCCTGCTGATTCAGCCCAGCCATCTTTCAGACATTCCTAGATAAATACAAAACTTCACTTGCACACAACATAGGTTTAACCTCAATACCTCAACCTCCAACCCCCTCTGGGTAAATATGGTAGATTCTGTTTTCAGTCTCAATTCTTACTCCACCATACTAAGATTATACATCTCAACTTTTGCCACGTAACTTGCAGTGCTTGCACTGCTCTCCCACTGGGAGAGAAGCTTATGTCTCTACCCCCATGGATGTTTTGCTTGGCCACGTGACTCACACTGGCTGATAGGATGATAGTACGCATGACCAGGCAGAAGCCTCATGTGGGCACAGATGGTTTACTTGCCCTCTGAGCTCCTCCTATTCTCCATGGGAAGCTCATGCTCTGGAGAGCCACTGCTCCAAGGAGAACAAAGCTCTGTGGAACAGATCTGAATCCCACATCCTCCCTGGAGTCCAGCCTGGCCCAGCCAAAATCCCCTGAACCCCAGCCAACCCACAGACCCATAAGAAAGAAAAATAAATGCTTGTTGTTTACCACTGACTTTGAGGTGTTTTGTTATGCAGCATTACAGTAGCAGTGACTAAAATAACGAAGTAGGAAACTTGCTCCAAACCTTCCCAGTGGGCTTCCAGGGACTGATTTACCAGGTTAATAAAATGCTTGGAGGTACCTACTTCCCTTTACTTCCCTGGCAACAGTTCCAACCATTTGGATCTGGCTGTACTCTCCATTAGTCCAGTTACTGGGAAAGCTCTGAGCTTTAGAAGTCTTTCACTTTCAGTTGGTTTTTACTTTCTGAACATCTAAGCAGGCTATGGAGCTCCGTGGAGGCTCCCCTGTTCACTGTGGGCTTTGAGGAGGAGTCTGGCTTGGCATCTTCTAAAGGTGATGGAAAAGTTAATTGTATAATGGCACTCATTAATAGACAGGGCTAGACAGTCAGAGCTGTCCTTGAGTCAACTGCTTATGGCAAATGAATGGAGAATTGAAGCTCTTGCCTCCATGATTCGTGACTGAAAGAACAATTTATTCAGAAATATCCACTGATTTTAGAAGGAAAAAATTCTCATTTGAAATTATCAGGCATTAGCCTTGATTCCACAATTCCCAGCATAGTCTAGTTTTGCAGGTGTGAACCACAGCCTTTGAAACTCATGAATTGGGTGAGCCCATTGGAGCAAATCTCAAATGCAAATTCCTTCTGTCTGACATGAAAGCTTGTTGAAAAGTTGTTATGCTAGATTTTGCAAAAAAAAAAAAAATTGGTTGTAATTATTCACTTCTCATATCCACATCCCTTTGCAATTTGCCTTTGCAGACCCTCCTATCAAGAGACAGAGATTTCCCCACACTTTAAATCTGGGCTGGCCTGGTGATTTGCTTTGACCAGTGGAATTCAGAGGAAGTAATGTTGTGCCACTTCCACTGAATGCTTTAGTTTGTTCTCTTGGAACTCTGCCCAGCCTTCATGTGAGCAAGCCTGGCTTTCTGGTGAGAGATGGCATGAAGCACCAATGAGTCATCCCAGCTGAAGTCTTCCTAGACAAGTCAACACAAAGCTTGCCCTAGACACATGGGTAAGTCTGGCCAAGACCAGAAGAGCCACTCAGCTGAGCTCAGTCCATATTCCTAACTCAAGAGAATCATGACCTGAGTAAATAGTGGTTGTTTTAAGCCTCTGATTTTAAAGTAGTTTTTATGGAGCAAAACTGATACAATTGTCATTACTAAGAATGCATTAGGACTACCTCACACCCATCAGGATGTCTACTAGCAAAAAAAAAAAAAAAAAAAAAAAAGGCATTAGTGAGGATGTGGAGAAATTAGAACCCTCATACACTGTTGGTGGGAATGTAAAATATGTAAAATGGCATAGTCACTGTGGAAAACAGTATGGCAGTTCCTCAAAAAATTAAAACTAGAATTACCACATGATCTAGCAATCCCATTTCTGGATATACAGCCGAAGTAATTTCAATCAGTATGCCAAAGAGATATCTGCACACCCATGTTCACTGCAGCATTATTGACAATAGCTATCACACAGAAGCAATCCAAGTGTTTATCAATGGATAAACAAAATATGGTATATACATACAATGGAACATTATTTAGCCTTAAAAAAGAAGGAAATTCTGATACATGTTACAACATGGACAAACCTTGGGGACATTATGTTAAGTGAGATAAGCCAGTCACCAAAGGACAAATATTATATGATTCCACTTATATGAGTTGCTTAGAATGGTCAAATTTACACAGATAGAAACTAGAATGGTAGTAACCAGGGGCTGGAGAGAGGAGGGTAGGCAGGGGATGGGAGTTATTGTTTAATGGGTACAGAGCTTTAGTTTTGTAAGATGAAATGAATTTTGGAGATGGATGAGGATTTGGTGATGATTTGCATAACAGTATGAATAAACTTAATACCACTGAAATATACTTAAAAGTGGTTAAGATGATAAATGTTGTGTGTGTATTCTACCATAATTTTTAAAAGATAAATGCATTCAGGTGGTGTTGGGAACTTTCTGGGAGTGAATAGTGTTCAGAGAATCCTCAGCCAATCTGTGAAAAGGCATGAACTGCAGGGGA
This sequence comes from Homo sapiens, assembly GCF_000001405.40. Lineage (NCBI taxonomy): Eukaryota > Metazoa > Chordata > Mammalia > Primates > Hominidae > Homo > Homo sapiens. The sequence goes on along the minus strand of NC_000020.11, from coordinate 39,116,644 downwards.
GGAGAAAGGAGGCACAAACACCACTGTGAAATGCCAGCGGGATGGCGGGTGGTTCAGACAGGGCTCAGAGTAGAGGGACTGTGATGTTAATGTTGGATGCTGAATTCATCAGGATTCTTTGGTTGCAAGTGACAGAAAACTAACTCAAACTAGCCTAAAGTAAAAAATGAAAACTATTTTCTGCCACAGCTGACAGCAATACATGCTCAGGCACCTCATAGAACTGAAGAAGGACCTGCCAACAAGACTGGGTCACCAGCTTCCTCTTCTTTGTTCTCTCCTAGAGCTCTGGCTGTGAGCAACCCCTCACCTCCTTCCAGATCAGTGACCCCAGAGGCAAGTCAGCTTCTCCAGCTCCTAACTGGAAATCCTGGGGAGGCATCTGATTGGTCTGACTTAGACCCCGTGTCTACTCCCAGACTAATCACGGTCTAGGGCAATGGAGGATTCTGATTGGCCAGACCTGGATCAAGTGATCCTGTGGCCAGGGTGGGAGTGAGATTTGCTTCAGAGAAGCAGATGAGGATGCTTGCTGGGCAAACATACACAGTGACTACAGTCCATAATGGATGCTATTATATTAGTGAGGGTCATTTAGGAACATCATCCCCCATGCTAAGGAAGGGCCGTATACCTATCCTCAGTACAGCAGAAAGGTAAAGAGCTCAAGCCATGGAGAATATTAGGCATCACGACTAGCAGTGTGAATTTGGACGAGACTTTCACCTTTCAAAGCTTTCGTTTCCCCATTTACAAATTGAACTATTACATGGCTGATGCAAAGGTGAAAGATGAGAATGTTTATAAATTGTTTCCCACTGTGTCTTGTACCTTACAAGCATCAAAAAATAAATTCCTAACAATAGCAGTAATAAAAATGACTATGAATATTGCCTACAACCTGTTTTCTTTGCTGTCTGTCCCATGGGACACCAGGAGGCAGATCTCTATGGCTTTCATTCATTCTTTCAAGCCCCATCTGAGCACTTCTGTATGCAGCCAAACCCCAGAGTGTAGCTGGGTGTTGGTTTTCACATGGTTAGTACCTGGGCCAGAACCAGAGTGAGGCCAGTGAGGGGCCTACAGTATAAAATTTCAGGAGGCTTCACTCTCAAGGCCGTGTAAGTGCAGTTCCAAGCACTTGCTGGCCTCACCCTAGTTCCAGCCTAGCCTACTGGGTTAGAATCATTTGGGGCTCTCGTTAAAAGTACATTCTTGGGTGAAATCCAGATCTAGGAAATCTGAATGTTCATAGGTGGGCCTGGGACTTTGAGAAGGTCTCATTCCCAGGGATTCTTCTGTTGTCCATGCTGGGCTGGCGACTAGCTTTTAAGGACAGGGCTGTCCAGTGTACTAATGCAGTGGTTTTCAAAGCACGTCTACAAAGTAAGAGGATTTCTGCAGAAACGCCTCTGGGTACCATGGCAGGGAGTGCTTAGGGGGCAAGTGAGAGGCACCCTGCACTGACCACTTCAACTGTGTTTAAACTTCATATATACTACACTTTCACTGAAATAAGATGTCACTTGATAAAACAGTTCCATTGATTTAAAAGAAAGTTTGAAAACTTCTGGGCTAGAAGCGTTAGAGAACTTGAGGTGCCTTTTTTTTTTTTTAAATGAGATGGAGTCTTGCTCTGTTGCCCAGGCTGGAGTGCAGTGGCTTGATCACAGTTCACTACAATCTCTGCTTCCTGGGTTCAAGCAATTCTCCTGCCTCAGCCTCCTGAGTAGCTGGGATTGCAGGTGTGTGCCACCACACCCAGCTAATTTTTGTATTTTTAGTAGAGATGGGGTTTCACCATGTTGGCCAGGATGGTCTCCATCTCCTGACCTCGTGATCCACCCACCTCAGCCTCCCAAAGTGTTGGGATTACAGGCGTGAGCCACCACATCCAGCCGAGAGGCTCTTTAATATGCAAATGGCTGGCCTCTTCAAGCTGTTCCCTCACTCACCTGGACTCTCCTCTTCACTCTCACCTTTCTTTCTCTCCTTTACCCCTGGATAAACCCTGACTGGGATCTGGAGGGCTGCCCCTGCCCAGAAAGAACAAGGTGGAAGGAGAGGGGTAGCTGAGCCTCATGGCATCCATGCCAGCCCCCATGTGGCTAGAGCCAGATCCCCGCACGCTACCCTGCAGGACTGACCCCTGAGGCTGCCAGAGCTCAGCCTCCCCACTGCTGGCCTCACTCAAAGTTCTTTTCTGGGCTGGGTTGGGAGTTAGGGCAGGGAGAAATCTCAATTTGTTGCACCTTTACCTTCCCCTCCCACCCCAGAAAATCTAGGTCTGCCTGTTCCCATGGGGAGTTCTGCTTCCACCAACGCACTGAGTACAACAGGAGGACAAATTCTGGGGACCGGGGGGGTTCCATTCTGGGTCTGATGGGGCCCAATTCAGCCAGGGTCCTCCTGCGGGTCCCCTCTCCTCTGACTTAAAAAGCCAGGATGCTAACTCAACTTCACCATTCCACAATGTATACATATCATGTTGTACATGATAAATATATATAATTTTATCAATTTAAAAAAAATTAAGCTCAGGTTTATATGTGATTTTATAAATACACATAGTTGTCTCATATAATTAGAAAATTATCCAATTTTTTTGAATAAAAATATATTAAGATATGTTATTTCAATGCTTCTAGACTGTGACTAGGAAAATCATATATTCTTTCAAGCACACCATTCCTGATTTCAATGCTGCTTAATTGAAGCAGCATTAATGGAGAACTTAATTTCATTTCCACAACTCAGTTTAGCTGCCTTGGAGATAAATATCTAAGGGTTTTATGATGGAGGTTAGAGTTATTGTTGTGTTGTTTTGTTTTCTAGAAAATTAATGCCCAAAAAAGCAAAGAATCGCAGAGAAATGGCCCCTTCATGAATGATCAATGAGGAATGGATCAGGAGTTCCAGGCTGTCACAGGGATCCAGGCTGCAAACTCCAAAAAAGGAAACATCAGCTTTAGAAGTGCTCAGAAGCCACCCCGTAACCCCTGCCGGCCACAGCTTCTAACACTTAGATGGAATCCTTTTAGATACTAAAACAAAAATAGATTATATCTCAGAAAGAGACACGAAAATGATTTGACACTATGTGTATAATCTAATTCAAACCATAGACCCCCTAATCGACATTTAATTGATGCAATAATGTTTGTTCATGACGGTAAATAAACAAAATATATAAACAGAAACATCTTCTTTGATGTTTAATGACTGCTTAGCAGCTATTTGGGTCAGAGCTACTGAGTCCTAATAAACAAATGCTTAATAATCAATTGAAATGCATTTCTCTGGTTATTGCCTTATTAAATCAGATCCAACTTCAGCTGAGGAATATTCCTTCCAACAGGAAGAAAATGGTTGGAAATGAAAAAGGTTGTGATGGCAAGTCCCTGTGTACCCTGCAAGTGAAATGGACGAGTTTCTCTCTCCATCCCTGCAATCACCTGGAGCCCATGAGAAAGCCACACTCCAGCCTGCAGGTACCCTGGGTCTTGTTGTGCTAAAACAAAGTGTCTCCTTTTCAGGTTTGACTGTCATTATAAATCCCCTTCTATTACCTCCCCTATGGGGTAATCCATGTAAACAAAACAACCCATGTAAAAAAAAGCAGTGTCTGACATGTTCCATAAATCCTCAAAAAGATGGTTATTTGCTACTGTCATTATTATTGTTATAACATTATTATTGTTATAACATTATTATTATAATCCTAACTTGCCACTGCTTTCTGAGCATGCGTGAAACTCTGGTCACCTGAGTTTTTGTTTGTTTTTCATAAAAGCCAGCCTTGTTTTTCAGTGCCCGAGTCAAGCCACATCCTGCTGTCCCAAACAGCAGCTCCATCAGCTCCAAGCCATGTCCGGGAAGGGCCACCACTGGCCATGGCCAAGTCTGCAGTCCGGGCCACCTCCAGCTGGAACTCTGAGCTCTTGCTCCTCAGGTGTCTGGAAGTTCACGCCAGCCTTTTCTGTGTCACCTCCAGTCCTCATGCTTCCAGGAAGTGAGCCTTGTGTTTGGGGCCCTGGAATGGACATCCAGGCTCTGTTTCTCACTCCTAAAGATTCCCCAGAGCCCAGCTCCTGGTGGCTGAGCCCATCAGTAACTCCACGAAGTCCCTTCCTACAGCTGCTCAGCCACTAGCCCCCTGGCAAGCCCCTCACTTCTCTTTCTGCTCCCCTCCTGCTCTTCTCCCCACTCCACTCCTCTCTAACGCAAGCCCCAGTGACTGGGATCTCTCTACCCAGGGTGAGCAGGAAACCCAGAAGTTGGCTGCCCAGCTACAGAGATAAGGAAGAGGTGCGTGTGGAACATTTAAGGGAAAGAATAATCACCAGGGCGACCAGAGGCCCACTGAAGAGACTGGGCAGGTGCTTGACGGTCCCAGGGAGCCATCGTGTGGCCAGTCTACATAATGACAAAAGGGTCCCTCTCCAGTGACCATCCGGTCTGGGCTCCTAAAGTCCCTATCCAGGACCCTTCTTTAGACCTCAGAAGTCCCACGGTTCACCTTCTTGGAAGGATGGGAAGAGAGGGAGAACAGAGAGGAGAGACTGACAGTAGAGGCCAGAGCAAGGAGAAGGAAAGGGTGCCCAGGGCAGTCTGTGAGGCTTCTTAGACAAAAGCTGTTCAGACAAGACCAAGAGCTCCTGAAAGAAAGGGGGTCAAGGGAAGAAAAGTCCCAGAGGAACAGAAAAAGCACAGCTACAAGGATGGAAACCCAGGCAGCCTCCACTGGAAAGCTGGATTTCCAACACCTCAGTGCAGGGAACTGGAAAAGAGGGACAGAATCAGATTCGGGAGTAGGGTCAGAGAGTTCCTCCTCCTCCTTCCCTTCCCCTCCCTCCTTCCCTTCCTTCCCTTCCCCTCTTCCTCCCCCTGCCCCTCCTCCTCCTCCCCTTTTCCTCCTCCCTTTCCCCTCCTCCCGTTTTCTATCCTCCCACTCTTCCTCCCCCTCCTCTCCCTCCCCTCCCCCTTCCTCCTCCCCTTCCTCCTCCCCTTTCCCTCCTCCTCTCCTCTCTATCCTCCTCCTCCCCCCTCCTTCCTCCCCTCTCCCTCCTCCCTCTCCTCCTCTTCCTGCTCCCTCCAATGCACCCTCCTCCCTCGCTCTTCCTCCCCCTTCTTCCTCCTGCTCCACTGCCCATCCTCCTTTTTCCTGCACCAACCAGACACAGGCTAAGACAGTACAATTGGTGGGACCCTGAGAAGCCATAAAAATCAAAAGTGCATCCCCCATGGCCCCTCCAGCTCTGGAGAGTTATCCCTGTCATCCTGCCAGGTTTGTGCAACCTCATTTTACAGAGCAGGCACCTGATGTGTTAGTTTTATTCCAAGTGTATGTGCTGACTTTGGAGAGATTGTTATTAAACACTCGGGCTTGGGAATCAGGCTGCCTACATTTGTGTCTTCAATCTACCTGGCTGTGTGAACTTGGACAGGCTGCTCAACTTCTCTGAGCCACCATTTCCAGAACTGTAAAATTAAGATATAATTGTACCCGGCCCCCCAGGTTGACATGAGGGTAAAATGTGATAAGACACATAGTGCTAGATATTTTCAGATGCAAGAGCTAATTCTGTTCCCCAAACATCCCAGGGCATCATGAGTACTAACATACCCCATTTTACAGATGAGAAGCTGAGAGAGGCTGAAATGATTGGGCAGAGGTTATACTGACAGTGGCTCAAGCCTAGGCTTGTCCAATTCCAAATTTGCATAAGAATTCATTGACCATGTCCCCCTACTTTGTGCAAGCTCTTCCCTCTGCCTACAATGCCCCTTTCTTTTGACTCAGCCAGAGAAACTATCAGACCCAGGCCAGAGGTCTCCTGCTCTGTGAGGGCTTTCTCTACCCCTCCAGACCCAGCAAAGCTCCCAGGAGACCAGCCCAGATCTTCATTAGCATGTGGATCACGTGACAGGATCATCACCTGTCCACCTGCCTGGCTCCCACTAGGTGGAAGCTCCTGGGGGCCAGGGCTGAGGCTATTTCCCTGCAGCTGTGTCCAGCTTGGAGCATTGAGTGGCATGGTGCGAGCAGGGAGGAAGGAAGAGGAGAGAGGAAGAAGGGGAAGAGAAAGGAAAGAGACAAGAAAAGAGGAGGGAGGACAGGAGGGAGAGCACAGGGGAAGCAGGGATGCAAATGAGGAAAACAGGAAGGAAGGGAGGTGGGAGAGAAGGAAGAGGGGGAAAGGAGGAAGGGAGAGAATAGGAGAGAGGGAAAGGAAGAGAAGAGGAGAGAAGGAAAGGAAGGGGAGGAGGGGGAGTGCAGAAATGAACAAAAAAGGAAGGACCGAAGGGAAAAAGGACAGAGGGCAAAAAGGAAGGAAGAGAGGGAGAGAAAGGGGGAAGGAAGGAAGGGAGGGAGGGAGGGAGGGAGGGAGGAAAGGAAAAAAGGAATGGAAATAGGGAGGGGGAAAATGGGAGGAAACGAGGGAAGGAAGAAAGGAAAAAAAGGGAAAGAGGGAAAGAGGGAGGGAGGGAGGGAGGGAGACAGTGCCCTACTTCTCACAGTTACCTTAGTGGGGGGTCTCTCTTCCTGGCAGAGGAAGCAGGCGTGGGTACCTCAGTACCAGCCACCTGGCCTTCTCCCAACACTTCCTTTCGACCAACTCTCTCCTGCCCCCAAGGCTAGTGCCAGCGCCTGACTCTGATTCTCTCCGAGTCGGCATTTTTCTTCCCATGCTGGGGCACAGGCGCAGGCTCCGGGAGTTAACACACCTGCCACTCCTGTGCTGACACACAGCTTTTAAGAAAACGGGGAGACAGGAAGCGAGCCTAGACGCTGCTGGGGTGGGAACAGACCCTGGAGGCTCCCCCAGCTGGGGAGGGGGCTGCCGGGGTGGAACCGGCCCTGGAGGCTCCCCCAGCTGAGGAGGGGGCTGCTGGGGTGCGAACATACCCTGGAGGCTCCCGCAGCTGGGGAGGGGGCTGCTGGGGTGGGAACAGGCCCTGGAGCCTCCCCCAGCTGGGGAGGGGGCTGCTGGGGTGGGAACGGGCCCTGGAGGCTCCCCAAGCTGGGGAGGGGGACTTCTGGGTTGTTCTAACAGAGGACTCTGTGGGGGGGACTCCTCCCACTGGCCCCTCTACCCATGCCCCCACCTCACCCTCCTCCTCCCGCACATTGAACCGGGTGAAAAAATGTCTCCCCCACTGCAGGCGGGGCACTGGCTGGAACGCGCAGGAAGGAAGCCTCCAGCCCCCTCACCTGTACAAGATGTCAGGGCAGCCCTTCCTCTCATCACCTGCGAACAAGATGTCCAGAAACACTGCCAAGAAACAGCCACCAAAGTTCAGCAGCCCCAGAGCAATTTGACAAAATAAAATGCCCCTTTTCAGAACATCATATTAGCCTGCTGGCCCCTCAGTGGATCACTTATATGGGTCTTGTTTCTGCTAAAACACACTTGGTGTCACATCTTCCTTGAAGAGATGAGGGAGAGCTTAGTTCCAGAAGCTTTGGGGAAAGAAAAAGAGAAGGCACAAGTCCCCAACCAGCACCCCAAAGCCTGACCCTCACACCCCAGCCCAAACCACCAGGCACAAAGGTAACAAGAAACAATACTAGTATTCACCCGAGTGTTTAGCCACACCATGCGCTATTGAGCTAAGCATTTAAATCACCTCATCCTCTCAAAATTCCAGCAGGAAGCTGTTAGTTAGGGAGGACAATTTAGAGAAGTGAGTAACGTGCCCAAGGTCACACAGAGAGTAGGTGATGACTCAGGAGGTAAATCCAGCCCAGGCCTTCATTCTGAGTCTTCTTGCCTTTTTCTCTTTCCCTTTGGAAAAAAGTCCATTGGTGGGAATGCCAAAGTCGAGGGACAAGGGTTTGGCAGTAATTACGAAGGCTGTGGAGGAACTAGGTAAAAAGGAAACCAATTATCTCACATTAGGAAGAGAAAGGCAATTCCTGGCTGGAAGAGCTTTTCCTTTAGGGGTAGCCGATCCCCTCCCCAGTCCAGCCTGGCCAAAACTGGCAGCCCCATGACTCTCTGCCACCCTGGGCCTGATTGAAAGTAAGGGGTGGGCACAAAGCTAGCAAATAATTGTTTTTAGAACCCATGAAGTCAGGATGCATCATGAAATCAGAGCAGAGTGGAACCCACAGACTGGGAGTCAGGAGAGGCAGGCTTGGGGTGCCACATTCCAAAGGAAGCTGGGGTCAGGAGGTTGTAACACCCAAGCGAGTTGTCTTCCCGCTCTGCCCCAAGACTAGCATCCCAAGAATGAATGGCAGCCTTTGAGTTTCTGCAAGATCCGTAGCAGTGGGCCCCCAGGATGGGCAACTCTTTGTCCCTGGGACATGGAATCCTCAGCTGCTTTGGGCTGAGAGACAGATAGTGTCATTTAAATTGCACACACATTGCCTTGAAAGAGGTGTCATATGGACCCTGGAACAGAAGTAAATTGTATTTCACATATCATCTGTGATCTGTTAGTAATGACTGCCCGGAACAGGAAATATAAAGGGTCCAGGGAGCTGCCCCTGAGCTCCATAAGAACTTGCACAGAGATCAGTTAGTGATGTCTGCCAAGGATGAAGTAGAAGGGCTCACGTTTGCCATCCCTGCCCTCATCTGCTCTTGCGCATCATATCAGAAGGACGGAAGGAAAGAGATGTTTTGAAGAGACCGAGTAAGAGGTTATCTAAAGGCCAGCCACATCCACCCAGTGGTTGAAGGGTGACTTGTATGAGTCCCTGTGTCACAGTGTCACTGGCTTACCCAATAATAAATTCCTCTGCTGCTTAGTCAGAATCCATTTTTCCATTTTTCCCTGCCTGAAGCTAAATAAGAACTCTAACTTGCACACTTCTTCCTTCCTTCAGTCCTTCAAGACTTCATTAATACAAGGCTGTTGTACATAGGAGACTTATTAAACGTTTATGGGTAGGAAAACAATTATAGAACAAAGAACAACTTCAAATTTAATGCTGGACACGATACTTCCTAGGAGTATATTGGTCATTCCTGCCACAGGGAATTTCTCATTGTCCCCTCTTTCCATGAGCCATGACTGCTTACCATAGACTCAATCTCTCTGTCTCTCACTCGCTCTTGCTCTCTGTCTCCCTACCCCCGACCCACTCTCTGACATCTTCCTTCTACTCTTTTAACATGGAACACTTACCTTCTCTTTCTCACATTATTTCCTGGGAATCTCATAATTCTACCCAAGCTGAACAATGGAGTTATCTATTTCTCCTGCTCTCACCATCTAGACCTGCCAAGGTAAGGTTCACCTGTCTCAACCATGAGGAGCCATTAAAGTTGTTGCCCACTGCCAAAGAGCCTCCCACATTTGAGATGAAGGCAGCCCCTGCCCTAGAATGCGGAAGACCGACCATTTTATTTGTAAATAACTTCTTTTGTCTTCCTTCCTGCCACTCTAGCCTGTCACCTGGTAAGAAGATAATAAGGCATAATGATGATTATTGAGCAGGAAGAAGGATGGGCCCAGCTGTGACTGCTGTCCCAGAAGCTCCTCTCTCCACCATTCAGGGTGGTCCTGAACCTCAGCTGTGTGCTGCAACGTCCTGGGGTGCTTTCAACAATACAGATGCCCAGGCCCCATTCCCGGGGAATCTGATTTAATCAGTTGGGATAGGAGGCTGGCAGCCGCCCAAGTGGCTTGAATGTGAAGCCACAGCACAAAGCTTCTGGTCCATACTGTTGCTGTCACTCAAAGAGAGGCCTGGGGCAGAGATGACTGTGTGTTCACCAGCACCCAATTCCTCTACCTGGAGGGCATCCATGTAGATTCTGTTTCCCAGTAATTCAGTAACTGGATTACTTGGCCACACCCAAATGCAAGTCATAGACACATCTAAACCCAGTCCACAAAAACCTCCTGTGCAAAGCTCTACATGCTGTTTTCACTGCTCGCCAGATGGAAGGGAAGGACTCCAAGATCCTAAGAGATGGCAGAGCTAAAAGATGGCGGGTGCCTGGGTCCCTGCATCACCACAGAGAAAGTCACCTGCCAAACACCAAAGTGGACTTAATGTGAGAATTAGACTTCTAGGATATTAAGTGACTGAGATCTGGCGGGGGGTTCTGTTACAGGAAATAGAATTACCTTAACTAATGTTAAGGTAGCTTCCCTTCTGGAATATACTTTTGGAGACGGCCCAGAATCTCCTCAGCTCAGTGGGAGACATTTGGTAATTCCCTGGAAATGTTAAGAGCCCTCCTCTCTAGGCTCCCTCTAACACTCTGCTAACCCCTAACTCCTCACACTCGGTTCCACTGGTAGGGATTCAGAGACAGAGCACGAGGGTTCATCTGGATGCCTGCATCCACCTGACTGCAGCCTCATCTGGATGTCTTCTGAAGCTTCAGGCCCTCCTACCCATGACCCTCCAACCATAATGGGCTTCCTGTGGCTCCTTGGACATGCAATGCCCTCTTCTGTCCCAGGGCCTTGGCACTCACTGTTCCTTCTGCTTAGGACACTCTTACCTACCTCTTCTCATGCAATCACCTCATCCCTCAGATCTCAGCTCAAAGGTCACCTTCCAGAGAGGCCTCCCCTAATGCCTCTGTCTCAGTTGTCACCCCCACCCCTTGTCTCTATGTCAGCACTCTATTTGTTTTCTTCATAGCATTGGTCACAAATCTTAATCACACATTTATTCGTGTTCTTCCTCATAGTCTGTTTCTCCCAGTAGATTAGATGCTCCTTCGGGAGGGAGGGATCTTTTCTTCTTGTGATAAGCACAATGCCAGCACACAGTAAGGCGCTCAGTATTTATTACGGGCATGAACTCATGAATGCTCAAGTCAGACCAGGGATGCAGGCTCCCCAAAACTTGTTCCCAGTTCTGGAGCTCCTGATGGCATCACAAGACTGAGAGCTTACAGACCACAACTACCCTGCCACTAGAGGGAGCACCAAGCCTGGGGACCCCGGGGTGCACAGTCAAAGCTAGAGGCAGATCCAGGACCAGCACACTTCACATCTCTTGGTGGTGCAGTTCACATTGCTGACATGTGAAGGGGAACCCCAGGGGCTATTAGGGCATGGCCTTTGTAACTATATGTGACCACACTGGATAGGCCCTAGGTCTGCCTGGGGTCACGCAGGAAAAATAAGTATTCCCAGACAGATCATTATCATGCTGTACTCTGGAAACTTTGTTCATCTCTTGTCTTAAATAAATTCTTATGTGAAAACCAACACATAAAGGTAGAGACGTTTCAGCTGAAACGAAAGTCTGCAGTCTGCTGTGGTAGGCATCAGAATCCTTGAAGACAAGGCGAATACAGCATCACCCCCTGGACAAGGTCACTATGCCCCACGGACAGGGTGCCTGTGTCCCACAGACAGGACTCCTATGCCCCATGGACAGGGTGCCTGTGTCCCACGGACAGGGCTCCTATGCCCCATGGACAGAGTGCCTGTGTTCCATGGACAGGGCACCCATGCCTCATGGACAAGGCACATATGCCCCATGGCATTGACATCTTATTTCCCCAAAGGCGGAACTGAGTCTCTAGGGAGACACCCAGAAGAGATCACACCTGCCCTGGGCATAAGACAGGCGTGAGCTCCTTCTTGAACCATCCCAAGATGTTATAAACCCAGCTCTCTCCTTTCCTTCTCAAGCTGAGGTTTCCAGCCCCAGAGGGAAGAAGTGTGGACAGCTTTCAACATGTCTAAGTTGACTCTGCCCACCCTGCCCCCATAAGATCTCACAGGAGACAGGTAAGTATTCACAGGAAGCTACTGTGAGTAAATGTGAGCAATGTCCCACAGAGCAAATGAATATTGCTGTTCTTTACCCCCAAAATATGCCTCTTTACCTGTTTCTGTAAATTTTAGCATCCTTTCATGTGATCCAGGTAGGTGCTCTGTTATAGAAAGAATTTATAAATGACACATGGGTAGATATCTACTTACTTCCTCATACATTATGGATTCTTTGTCCACTGCTTTTAGACCAAATTGACTCATTTTTATCCCTTCCCCATTTTCCATCTCGATTTCTATAATCTGCTCTCCTCTAAGCCATCTCTCATCTGGGCTTGGTGACATGATCATACACTCTGTAATTCTGCTCCCTAAGAAGTCCCCCAAATCATGGATCTGCCCTTTCTCTAACTACCCCCACCCCCCGAACCCCTACCTCCTCTGCTTGTGACCTGCTGGCTCTAAACCTTGGAGCCTGTTACCTAAGACCAAATCCAGCCCTCCTACATCACATGGCCTTGAAGAGCTTGACATGGCCTTGAAGCACCTCCTCTCCCCCACACACAGATGGGAGGTAAATGTTCCACACAGCCTCTCTTCTTTACCCTGTCTCCATAAGGATGAAGTCCCAAGGCTCTAGAGTCAGATTCAGATTCTTTCTTTGCCATTTGATCATTGTACAACTTTTACCTAGTTTAAAGAATCTGACATCCAGCTTCCTTGCCTATAAAATGGGATACAGTGGGTTGAACAGTGACCCCTCAAAAAAAAGATATGTCCATGTCCCTGGAACCTGTGAATATTATCTTATTTTTGGAGAAAAGACCTTGGCAGATGAAATTAAGCTAAAGATATTGAGATGAGATCACCACAGACTACTTGAATAAGCTCTAAATCCAGAGACAAATGTCCTTATATAAGTCAGAAGAGGACATACACAAAGGAGAAGGCAGTGTGAAAAGGGAGACTGAAATTGAAGTGATGTGGCCACAAGCCAAGGAAGCCAAGGAATGTTGGCAGCCACCAGAAGCTGAAGAGGCAAGGAAGCATTCTTCCCTACAGCCTCCAGAGGGAGTGCAGCCCAGAGTTGATTTCAGACTTCTGGTCTCCAGAACTATAAGAGAATAAATTGCTGTTGTCTTACATCACCTAGTTTGTGGTAATTTGTTGCAGCGGCTTCAGGAATATAATACATGGGGTTAAGTCTTAAATAAGATAATCCATGGAGTACAGTACCTATTACCCAGTAGGAGCTCAACAAAGGTCAGACATCATCACCATCACCATTGCCATCATCAGCATTGCCACTGTCATCTCCAGCACCATCATTAACACCATCACCATCTCCATGATCATCACCATCAGCACCATCACCATCGCCATCTCCAGCACCATCATCACCACAGCCACCAACATCTTCATCGCCATAATTACCACCACCATTTCCATCTTCATCACCATCATCATCACCATGTCCACCTTCATCATCACCACCCCATCTTCATCATCATCGTCCTTACCATCATCACCTCCATCATCCTCATCCTCATCATCATCATCATCGTTTCTGCACACACTGAAAATTTCTTCCTCCAATCTATACATTTTATTTAGGGGCATTTGATATTTCTCTGTTGAATACTTTAGCAATTTCTCTTTTGCTCTAACATCTTCTCCACAATATAGATGATATTCACATTTGTGCACCATTGCTCCCTCTCCTTTCTTGGGAGAAGCTTAATTCTGAGACCATATCTTTCTCCCAGTTTTTACTATTAAACTATTCTTTCTTTTGTGAAATAGTAATAATAAAAGAAGACAGCTGTTTTATACATCATTACTTAGAAAAGATATGGCCTGCTCTTTACATAAGGGTATCTCCTCTGGGTATTTCATTTGTTTTATTTTACTTGCCTATGGAATGTAGAAAACTGGAAATCAAAGTTCTAGTGTCTTTTGATGCCCCCCATCCCACCCCGCCATTTCAGAGTATGGTACTTGAGTGTCACCAAGATATGGAGGGAACTTGGGAGCTTCAGGTGCAGGGCTAATATCTGCTTGGGATGCTCAGGGAAAGGAAACAACATATTTGAATGTAGACTTCAAGCCAGACAAGAAGTGAGTCAGTGGTGGAAGAAGTCCAGACCTGAGGTCTCCGTGCCTCAAACTGTTAATGAAGGGCCCAAGCTCCCAGGGAACCCCAGGCCAGCTCACCCAGCAGGTGACCCCCCATCCCTCCTCCTCAGGGCCTTGCTGCCTCCTGACATCACCCTCCTCTTCCTTCCCACAGGCAAGGGCTCAGCACTTCTTCCCTGCCTCCATCCCGCATACCCACCCTGGAGATCAGGGCTGGGATAAGTACACCGAAAAGCCCCATGCCGTGATAGGTATGTAATTATGTACTGAGCAACTTAGCAGGCAGGATCAGTTCACCTTCCCTTGGTGAGGGGTGCATCAAGTCTCAGTAGGGGAGGAAGAGACGGAGGGTACAGGATGCTGTGTGTCTCCTGCTAAAAACTCTGGCAAGAAGCCAGAGGGTCAACTGATCAGTCCCAGCCCATCCCAGGCCTGAAGGCAACAAGCAAATAACCACAGCACAGCACAATCCAGGAGTGACAAGGAGAGGTTTGGGCAACTGTCATCTGCTTCAGGATGCTCAGGGAAAAGAGGTGACATTTGAATCCAGGCCTCAAGGGATCTGGAGAAGCTGTCAGGGTGAGAAGGAAGCTTCAGGAAGGGGACAACCTGACCGATGGCCTGGAGGCACAAAAAGGCATGTGAAGCTGGAGTCTGGCTGTTGAGCAGGCTGGAGGGATGGCTGCCAGGGAAGGAGTCACCCTTTTCCTGATTTGAGGGCTAGGTGCCTCTGGTCCCCACCCGAATGATGCATGGAGAAACGGGAGACTATGAAATGGGCAGTGACACAAAAAGGAGTTAAATGACTTATCCAATACTATAATCAAAACCAGAATTTGAACCCAGAGACTGGGATTCCACTCTTAACCCCTAAACCTCATACTAGTTAGAGACAGAGGTGATTCTAGACCACGAGCCACAGTGCTACAGTGGGCTCAGCCCAGGGAGTCATGAAGGTACGGAGAAGTCCCTGTGCTCCTCAGATTTCTGTTTCATAATGCTGCATAACAAACAGCCCCAAGTGGCTCAACGGTATACAATACTCGTGGGTCTGCAGTCAGCAGGACTGGCTTTGCTCCTGACTGCAGGTCACTTTCAGGTATGTTCCATGGGGCTCACACTCTGGGACCAGTGACTAATTGGAGGATCTTCTTTTCATGGTGAATGGGAAAAGCCCAGGAGAGTTGAGCTGAATAAAACAATTTCCACAATCCACCCCAACCCCACCCCTAGTGCCCAAGCCCCCTTTTCCTACTCCTGGGTGGTCTGCTCAGATCCTTTCTCTTGGCCACCCAAATTCCTCCTAAATATGCTCAGGAAAGATGCCCTATGCCCTCTGTCCAGATCATTCCTGACATCCCTCCCAGGGACCCCTGCTCTTCTTACTGAACCAAAGTCCTGCCCCGAAGGCAACCTCAGGAGAAAGCAATGCCCAATAGGCTGATTCTGCTCAATAAAAAATCCCTGGGTCCAAGTGACGGAAATGGAAAAGCAGTTTTTATCATTTCCACAACACTCAAGGAAGTCTTAAACAAGCCCGAGCTCCATAGAGAGGGTGGCCCCCACCCACGTATCCTGACCCTAGTTCCTAAGCCCCAGGTGTCAGTCTCTCCCAGAATTAGGGCTCCAGGACAGGGGAGGGGAGGCTGAGAGCTGAAGAATACACTAAAGAATATATCAAGCAGGAAAACTTCTTGATTTGGGTACAATTGGAGGAGGGGAGGGAGGAGAAAGGGACCTGCTGGCTTCCCAGGTTCTTAATTTGAGGCTCCAAAAGGAAGAAATAATAACAATAACCATCCCTGCTGCAGCCACAGCACTTCCTGCCCGTTAAGGCATCCGAGAAAGTGCTGACGGGGACGGCTGACAAGCGTGTGCATTGTAATTCACACCATAACAGCATCTCCAGGGCTCATGGATTTCTCATTGAAAAATTATGTGATGTCTTTTTGGAAATCCAATACTGAGTTATTGATATCGTGAAGGCAGCAGGCTCACCACTTGCAGCCTATTAGCTTTATACTTTCTGAAGGACTTTTTTTTTCCCCTCTAATTTTCAACTTGGTTTTCCCTTTTCAGTTTAAATTGGATCATTGGGCTTGAGTGAGTGCCTGTGAGTGTATACTGGGGGAGGGGCTGTTCTGTATACCTGGGGGCAGGCGTTCTTAGAAGTGTGTCAAGATTGTGTGTGTGTGTGTGTGTGTGTGTGTTTCTGCAGGAGTTAAATATCTGGGTATACAAGCCTCACTATATGCTTGTGTGTGTGGTAGGAGGGGGGACTTTCAACTCTGCATATTTGTGGTCATGTCCAAGTGCAAATATGTGTAGTGTGTGCATGTGTGTATACCTTTATGTCAGAGTAGCCATGTGTATATTTGTATATGAGGTGTATGCATAGGTATGTGCATAGTATACATGGAGGTATGAATGTGGGTACATGGATAGGAGTATTTTTATATCTGAGTAGCCATGGGAACGTGGGTATGTCCATATATGTCTGTCCGCATATCTATATGGATCTCTGCATTTTATATATGCATGTTCATCTATGTATACCTATGTCTTTGTATTTCCATGTGTCTTTGGGTCTGTACATGTGTACCTGTGAGAAGCAGAATTGCTATATTGTGGTTCTAGGGTCACACAACTTGAGGACCAATACTAGTTTTGCCTCTTGCCAGCTGTGTGACTTCAGCCAGTTTTTTATAACCTCTCGGGAGCTCAATTTCTCATCTGCAAAGTGAGGATCATTGTAGCCTTACCAAGTACAGTTGTTGAGAAGATAATGTGAGCACATGTGTATAAAGCATGCAGCACAGAGCCCAGTGGGTGCAAGATTCCCTTGAATCACCACATAGGTGTCCCTCAGCATGTGTGTCAGAGGCAGAGGACCTGTACTAAGACATGGAAACTTCTGCCACCAGCTCCTACCTGCTTGGGGGCTCCAGGATGTGATTTAAATCAGTTTCATACCTGGCACCTCCATGCAGGGCCTTTGCAAAAATGCCTCTGCAGAACTGACAACCTCAATTCACTTTGAACCACACCACTGGGTGTGAGACTTGTGCCTGGCCCAGGGAGGCACAAAAGTGCATCGGGCAGTGTGCAGCCATCCAGGGGCTCAGGCCAAGAAGGGCAGTGGGCAAAAAGTCTGGAATGAAACACACAGGGTCTGTCAAGTGCTCTGAGATTCCACGGAAGAAGCCCTCGATCCCCATCCCTGGCTCTTCAGCTGGGCATCAGGGGATGGAAAGGGTTTCCCTAGAAGTCCTGGGACCTAGGAAGAGGGAGAGGGTGTGCATGTTCCCTTTTGAAGCCCCCTCTGCTCCTTGGAAGTGAAGAGGCTCTGGTGTTACAGGGCTGGCAATCAGAATCCCAACTCTGGGAGTCTGGTGAGGATATATCCAAGTTTATGGATTTACATGGCTCAAACAGGGGAAGGGATCATCCTATGTAACTGATATTGGGCCAATCTAGTGCCCAGCCACCCCGAATCAAATCCAAGAAAATAAAATAAAGAGGTGTGACACTCAGCTGCTTGCACCCCAAGGGCACTAGAGCCTTCAAATTCCATGTGTGTTTTACACTACAGCACACCCCAATTCACATTGCAAGTGCTCGGGACCCACATACAGTTAGTGGCTACCAAATCGGACAGTGGAGTTCTAGACTCCAAACACTCAGAGGCCTATTTACCATGCCTGCTTGGCAACTTCTCTAGGCAGCCCCAAAATGCAAAAATCCCAGATCCGAGGCTGGTACAGCACCAGGGCAGGCACCCAAAGGGCAGAGCTCTCCTCCTAAAAAGGAAGGAAATAACTGACCTTCCCGCCAAGGTTCAGTGACAGGGCAGGGCCTGGGTCATGCTGGGGCCGGTGGCTGGGGTGGCAGAATGTCCACAGCTGCTGAGCCCACGTGCAGGGACTGCAGCCAGGCGCAGGTCTGCGAGGACAGGGGAGCAGAGGGAGGTGGAGGCAGGAGGAGGGAGCTGACTGACAGCCTGGCTGGGTAGCAGCAGGGTCAATGGCTCAAAATGATGCTCAGAGCAGATTTGTGGGGCTGGAGGAAGGAGAAAGGGAGAGAGGCAAGGGAAAGGGAGATGTCAAAGGAAGCATGACAAGCCTCCTGTGCACCAGGCTGTTCACAGCGCCTTCCTGCAGCTTGTCCTGTTGAGTCCTCCCAGCAGCCCTACAAAGCCTCTGTTTCCATTCGAGGAGGGTATCTGGGAGCATTTAGGAATCTCCCCATGATCAGAGAACACCACGTGTGTGGGAGGGTGGGGAAGTGCCATTCAGACCGAGGAGTAAGATTGTTCCATTCAAAACACCAACAGTGCGCCTTGTCAAGAAATACTTTGAAGGATTCACCTTGTTTTACAAGTGAGGAAATTCAAGCTGCAAAAGGTCAGGTGAGTCCTAGGCATCTGATAGATGTTCAGTAAATAATCACTGAACAAATGAATACAAATGGTTTGGGCATTTCCTTTGACCCCTGGGATAACTATATACCCTATCCCTGGTCACCTCCCTCAGGGATCGCCATGCCTGGAAGACCCCTAGGCCTATGTGTCCCCTGGCCTCCCACGCTAATGGCCCTCATCTTCCCCCTGCCCCAAAGCCCCTTTTCTTTTTATTTTTTTTTAAGAGACAGGGTCTCAATCTGTCACCAAGGCTAGAGTGCAGTGGCACGATCAAAGCTCACTGTAACCTTGAACTCCTGCCAAACTCCTTTTCCTATCCACAGCTTCCTCCCTCCTGCTGAGGGTACATAGGGTAGCAGAAAGTTTTTTGTTTTTATGTTTTGTTTTTAAGACAGTCTTGCTCCTGTTGCCCAGGCTGGTGTGCAATGGCACAATCCTCCACACTACAGCCTCAACCTCCTGGGCTCAAGTGATGCTCCCTCCTCAGTCTTCCAAGTAGCTAGAATTACAGGCACCTGCCACCATGCCTGGCTAATTTTTGTATTTTGGGTAGAGACGGGGTTTTGCCATGTTGCCCAGGCTGGTCTCAAACTCCTGGGCTCAAGTGATCTGCACACCTCAGCCTCCCAAAGTACTGAGATTACAGGTGTGAGCCACTGTGCCCAGCCCAGAAAGAAGTTCTTAACTTGGAATCAAAAAATTTGAATTCAAATCCCAGCCCCTTGGTTTGGTAACCTTCAGAAAGGCCAGCCCTCCTGTCATTCATACTTAACATTATTCTTTCATTCACTGCATACATTGGTGTGGTTAAGAGCAAGTACTTGGGAGTGAGATAGTCATGGGTTAGGTCTCAGCCCTGCCACTTAACAGATGAGTGAACTTCAGAAAGTTCCCTAACTTGTCTGAGCCAATGTGTCCCCTCCTATTAAACAAGGTAGTCGTGGTACCCACCTTCTCATGGTATTGGAGTGAGAGTTAAGCAGACATTTACATAATGTATTTAACCCAGGGTTTATCTGCCACTCTGCAGTCAAAAAGTATCTAATGAGTGTATATGGTATACTGTGGGGCTGGGGATCGGTATGAACAAGACAGGAAATGTACTCCATCCTCAAGAGCTGACATTCTAGTGGCAGGGTGGGAGCGCAACAAAGCAGTGGCCACTGTGCCCAACTCACCCTAGGAGCTCGGTCAGGGCCTGCCTGCCTCACCTCCCTCCCTGCCTCCCCCTCCCTCCCTGCCCTCGTTTCTCTTCCAGTCATCCTCTTTGCGAAAAGAGGGACGTTCTTGCCTTAATTCAAAATTGGGAGCAATGGCAAGTGAAAATCAGGCCCTTGGACTTGAAAGAGAGAGAGATGCATTGGACCCAGGAGGCTCACAGGGTTCCAAATCCAGCAAGTGTGGCCAATTCCTCCGGAGGGATGCCCAGTCTGCCCACACCCCCTCAGAGTCCAGGGGGGACCAACCTCGACACAGCTCCAAGGCCATTTTCTCCTCCCCACCCACCAGGGTCTTTCCATCTAGGGCTTAGCAGGCTGGGGCAGCCAACACCCTCTAACATTCCAGAATCAAAGGCTGATTTCTATAACACAGCACAAACACCAATATGGCAAAAGAAAAATGTCCTTTTTATTAGATTCTCACTGATACTCCAAATGGCAACACACACACACACACACACACACACACACACACACACAGAGAGAGAGAGAGACAGAGAGACAGAGAGACAGACACAGACAGACCACTTTTCCTTTTTTGCCTTACAGAAAAAGAGAAAGGCCCCAAGCATTTCATTCCAAACCCTTTCCATGGAAAAGGTGTTCCGCCCTGTGCCCCAGTAGGTCTGTATGACTGAGTTGAAATGTGTTCTTTTTTATTAGATGAATTGCATCATTAAATTACATTATAAAAGCTAAAAATGCACCATTAATTTTCAAAAACAATAGTAAATACATCTCATTTCTAATACATGATTCGGCATTTAATTTTTGCCCGCGGCCTTGCCTTTTTTTTTTCTCCTAGCCTCACTGTCTCCCTTTATGCAGACTATATAAATGGAGCTAAATTGCCAAAGAAATTTTTGCCAAATGTCCATAATGTGAAAATAAATGAATTTCTAATTGGCTGTTGCAAAAAGAAAAATTACTTTTTGATCTCAGCTCAGCCAAGCAAAAATCTACCTAGCTTGGGTAATAAGATGCAAGCACATTTCAGGCAATGAACAGAGAGACAAAAGGCCTGGCCAAGTGATGCTCAGAATGACATCCCTCCTCTCCCCTCCCTGCCTTCTTCCAGCAGGCTAAGAAGCCTGCCCTGGGAAAAATCCAGGGGAGGGGACAAGCAGGGTCCAGCTTCAGCAGGAATCCAGCTCTCTGCCTCCACAGGGGCCCTGGGACCCACCCAGCTGCAGCACAGCTCAGCAGACCAGAGTTTAAGTCCCATCTATTCCTCGCTGGCTTTGAAACCCTGAGCAAGTTGCCTGACCTCTCTCAACCTGGAACTCCTCATTTATAAAATAGTCATCACTTCTGCATTTTGTAGGCTTGTTTGGAGGTCCTATGAGTTGAATGGCATCCCCCAAAATTCATAGGTTGAAGTCCTAACCTCCAGTACCTCAGAATGTGATCTTATTTAGAGAGAAAATCTTTACAGAAGTTGAGGCCGAACTCGGTGGCTCACACCTGTAATCTCAGCACTTTGGGAGGCCAAGGCAGGAGGATTGCTTGCATCCAGGAGTTCGAGACCAGCCCGGGTAACATAGCGAGACCTCGTCTCTACAAAAAATCAAAAATTGACTGGGGGTGGTGGTGCATGCCTTTAGTCCCAGCTACTCAGGAGAGTGAGGCAGGGGGATCACTTGAGCCCAGGAGGCCAAGGCTGCAGAGAGCCATGATAGCACCACTGTACTCAGCCTGGGCAACAGAAACCCTGTCTCGAAAAAAAAATAAAATAAAATAAAATAAAATAGTCAGGCACGGTGGGGCTCATGCCTGTAATCCCAGCACTTTGGGAGGCTGAGGTGGGCGGATCACCTGAGGTCAGTAGTTGGAGACCAGCCTGGCCAACATGGTGAAACCCCGTCTCTACTAAAAATTCAAAAAAAAAAAAAAAAGTAGCCAGGTGTGGTGGTGCACACCTGTAATCTCAGCTACTCAGGGGTCTGAGGCATGAGAATCACTCAAACCTGGGAGGTGGTTGTGTCAGTGAGCACAGATCACGCCATTGCACTCCAGCCTGATTGACAGAGCGAGACTCTGTCTCAAAAAAAAAAAAAAAAAAAAAAGGAAAGAAAAGAAAAAATTATTCACAGAGGTCACCATGCTAAAATGAGGTCATTGCTGTGGGCTCTAATCCAATATGACTGGTGTCCTTCTAAGAGGAAGAAACATGGACACAGACATGCACAGAGGAAAGCCTAGGTGAAGAGACACAGGGGGAGGACGGCCATTTACAAGCCAAGCAGAGAAGCCTGGAACTGAACAGATCCTTCCCTCCTGGCCCTCGGAAGGAACCAACCCTGCTGACAACCTTGATTTTGGACTCCAGAAATGTGAGACAAATACATTTCTCTGGTCAGCCACCCAGGCTCTTGTACTTGATTAGAACAGCCCTAGCAAGCTAATACAGGAGATTTGAGACATCAACACATATTGCAGATACAGAATGGCAAAAGTAGCCTCTGGGTATCTCTATTATTCCAGCATTCTCCCAGGATAATCCCAAGAGAAAGACAGAGGGATTTAGGATTTAGCTTCAAGAGCTTTGACCTTAAGCCCTGGCTTTGTCTTTGCCCCAGAGATCAACAGTCTCAGAGACTATAATATCCCGAAGCCACTAAAATGATCCTTCCAGAATCTTCTTCAGCTCCACCTCTAAGCCCCATATCTGACCACATGGTTCCCCTAGCTGGGTCAAGTCCTCACTGCTAGATAGCCTGACTTTTAAACCCCTGCAGATTGAGGCTTCAGCTATCATGCCCTGCTCAGTTGCTATGTTGTAGTCCATTTGGGCTGCTATAACAACATCCCACAGACCGGGTGGCTTATAAGCAAGAGAAATTCATTTCCCAGTTGTGGAGGCTAGGGAGTACAAATCAAGGCACTGGCAGATTTGGAGTCAGGCATGAGCCAGGAAATGGGGCCCTTAGGTGGCATCTTCTCATTGTGTCCTCACATGGTAAAAGGGGCAAGACAGCTCTCTGGGACCTCTTTTATACTAATCCCATTCATGAGGGCTCCACCCTCATGACCTAATCACCTCCCAAAGGCCTCATCTCCTCATACCATCACATTGGGGATTAGGGTTCAACATATGAATTTAGGGGAATGCCAGCATTCAGACCACGGCACTCATCCTCCTGCATCATACCATGGCAGCATAATTTGTTTTTTGTTTCTTGAGACAGAGTCTCACTGTGTCACCCAGGCTGGAGTGCAGTGGTACGATCTCTGCTCACTGCAGCCTCCGCCTCCCAGCTTCAAGTGATTCTCCTGCCTCAGCCTCCCCAGTAGCTGAGTTTACAGGCCCACCACCACACCCGGCTAGTTTTTGTATTTTTAGTAGAGACAAGGTTTCGCCATGTTGGCCAGGCTGGTCTCAAACACCTGACCTCAGATGATCCATCTGCCTTGGCCTCCCAAAGTGCTGGGATTACAGGCGTGAGCCACCATGCCCAGCCAATTTTTTTAGAGATTGATTTTTGTGCATGTTCCCTCTTCTTTCTCCACATTTTGAACGGGTACCCAGAGCCTTTTGAATGCCCTTGCTCTTGGGATCTTGTAGAACAAAAAATAGCATTTGCCCATTTTCTTCCTGGCTTTTATAGTAAGCTCAGAGCCACTGAAAAGACTTGGAGGGGTGACCCAGAGCCAGAGGGTCAGGAAAAGAGGGCCTAGGCCAAAAAGGAGGAATTATTCCCAGGCTACACAGACAAGACAGGAGTGAGGACTCATCACAACTCATTGTCCTCCCCAGACACCCAAGAGGCAGCCACACCATGCACTGAGCAAGACCCCAGGCCCTGGCATGTCCCGCCTGGACACAGATGTTGGGCCTCGTGGGAGAGGGTCATGGGCTTCAGGAACCTCTGTGCACTCAGATAAACAGGATGGCAGCTGTGGCAGCTGCATGGAGTACAGATGAGAAGATTTGCCAGATGCACCTGGATTTGGGACCCCAGAAGGGTCAGGGCCTTGGTAGTGACTGAAATTGAATTTCCTGCTAATTCAATGGATGGGGGATAGGGGTTAGTCTGATTTAATTGATTTAAGGAAAAGATCTAATTAGATACTTCTGTCATATTTGAACTAACACATCCCTCTAGGGCCTCTCACTGACTCCAAGTCATTCCCTGAACACATAGTATGCTCTTTCTCTACTACTTTGCATGAGCTGTTCTCTGCCAGGAATAATGTCCTTTCTCCCTGGCTCTACCTGAAGAACTCCTATTCACCCACAACACCCCATCTTCTATGTCCTCTCTTCCATGAGTGCTTCTCTAGCTGCCCCAGGATGGATCAGCCACTCTCCAGACTTCCTAAGGAGCTTCTAGAAGCAGGGGCTGAATCCAAGTTAGCCAGTTATCCTGTCTTTCTAGTAAGGCTTCAAGGATCAGAGACACTCCCACTTCCGCTCCTTCACCATTCCCTTCTCCTTCTTCCAAGGCATAGGCCTAAAATCCATCTCACTTACACTTTAAAAAAACAGGCAAGCTGGGCACTGCTGTCATCTTCATCTCATAGAGGAGGAAGAAACCAAGCCTCCAAGAGGTGAAAGGATTTGGCCAGGATCAGACAGCGAGGAAGCAGTGAGCTGGGATTCAAAGCCAGGCATGCGAGCTCCAGGGCCCAAGCTCATAATCACTGTACTTCCACTGCCTCTCAGGAAAACAGGGCGGTTGAATTTGAGTTTGGACAGATTGCTCTAGCTGCTGTCCTATGAGGGTCTAGTGAGAAGCCCCTTAGGACCTCAACTGCCCAGGCCCTCCCTAGGGAGTGGAGAGGAGAACGGGACCAGACAGAACAGAAACAGGCAGAGGGGATCAGATCTTGCTTCGAATCAGAAGTCCAGTGTCCAAATGCCCCTCCAAGGAGGCCCCACCTGAGTGTAGCTCAGATCCCAGGATTCAGGGGGAATCCATTGGGAACAATACTGCAGGCAGTAGCTGGAGTCACAGGGTCAGGGTTCCCAGGGAGCGGTCCGACCAGGGCTGGGGAGGGATCCTGGGCTGCAACACTGGGGCTGGAGAGCTGGGCAAGCTCTGTGAGCAGAAGACAGGTCACCTGGGCATAGGGACAAAATGGCAGGCAGTGGTGCCAGTAGTGGGGATGGTATAAGGTGAGTGGCTTCCTTGAGAGGAGGGGGAGGCCTTCTGGCCAGGATGAGCTTGAAGTGGGGTCTGGAAGGGCTGGGCCCCTCCAGGGTGCCTCAGGAATAACCACCACCCCCTTTATCCCATGTGAGGGAGACTAGAGAATGTAAGAGGGTTTTGCACTTTGACCTTCCATCTAGGAGAACTTTGGCGTCAACTCTGGAAGAACAAAGAGAAACAGAGATGAGAGAGAAAGAGAGGAAAGAGAACAAGAGAGAAAGACTTGGTGGTCCCGAGTCTCCATTCCAATCCCTGGGGCCCGGGGTTCCTGGAACACTTCCTTCAGTCCTAGGAGTTCAGCTGTCTTGGGTTTCTGTCACTTGCAACCAATGTATTCAGTATAACATTACCACACTTGAGTTTCATGAATGTCTTACTCACCCCCTTGCCCTCATATCAAACCCTACTACTCAAGCCAGCGTGAGGAGGTTCCGTTACCTGCAACGCAAGAGTCTCAGGTCACACCCCAGACCACCCTCTCCCTGCCTCAAGCCCCTTCCCAACTGCTCCCAGCTCTCTGTCCTGAAAGAGGCTGGCCATTGACCTGAAGACTCCAGAAGGACTCCAAATCTTGAGCCACAGGCGAGGCAGTTTGTAAAAACAACCTCTTTTCCCTTTAGTGTGCATATTAATTACCCTGAAACAGGTGCAAAATCAACCTCATTTATTATTATTTCTTTGAGCCTGTAATGGCAGTTGCTGTGAATAAATCCCATTAACTCAGGGAAAGGATTTATGACCCCAAATTTACACCGGCCGTTTAATCATAGCACCTTTGCTGCAGACAGTTTCTCGAGAACAATTTGCCCCACAATTTGTCAGTGGGAAAATGGCCTCATATAAACGTTTGGAGGAAATAAATGCTAATCCAAAGCTCAGTCTTTCATTCTCCTAATTGCCCAGGGAATTTAAAGGAGACAAACTTATTTACTCACAGCAGGAAGTGAGCTGTAATAAACCATCTCCATTGTGGGCTGAAATCGGTTCCTGACAAGGAAGGGGAGGGGGACTGGGGATTTATACAGGGGGGTGGGTGGGGGAGGACACTGGGCAATGAGAGAGTTTGGTGGCTCCAACACTCTCCTGCATTTTAAAGAGCCACACTCTTAGGGATAAGTCAATTCAAAGCAGATAAATGGCTGGGCAGACATTAACCTTTAACCACCCTGAGCTACCTTAACTCTCAAGTTGGTTGCAGGAAGGATTCTGGGAAATGGGCAAGTTAGGGCCCCAAGCTGTCCCCAGAAGAAGCCATCCAGGAGAGCGGACAGAGAAGCTACTCACAGTACTGGACTGGAGGCAGGGCCCTGAAAGCCGGCATCCCTGCAGGGAGGGTGAGCTCCAGCTCCAATTCCAGGGTTGGGTGTGCAGGGACCTCAGCCTCATGTATGGGGAGCAGAGGGTGAGACCACCAGGTGTGTCTGAATAGGGTAAAGAGACCCAGAAAAGCTGGCTAGGAGAGACAGTGCCCATATCTCCCATCTCATTCTTCCCAGTAGACTCAATGGCCTGCTGTGGACTGTCCCTTTCTGATCTTTCTCCCCAGCAGGAGCCCAGGGACCCTGTTCTAAGGTGAGAAAGGTTCTCCCTGTCCCCGCAGCATTCTAGCCAGTACCGCTTAGAAGTCCTCTTATGACACAGGATGCAAAATGCATGTCCCTACAGGGTACCTAAACAGTCTATTCTCATTGACAACAGTGTGAATGGTGTCATCTAGAGCTGTGGAGTCCACAACGTGGGCAACTGTTCACAGTGGACTTCTCAGGTACTGTCTTGGAACTGAAACATTCAAGAGGTCTCCCAGAAATTCTCTTCTCCATCCCCTCCTGTCTTCCCCTAAAGATAACAGGAACTTCTCAAAAGAGGCTGAGGACAGCAACACCAGGGTCTTGTCTCTGGACTCTTACCATCTCTAGCCAGCCTCTGGACTTCTCTCCTTTGTCCTCATCCCATGCTCCATCTTCCCAACTCTGATTCAGGCATGTTATTACAGAACACCCTCAGAATGGCAACAGGTGTCCAGGTTTGAATTCAAACACAGCCACCAACCGTGTGGCTGTGGCACTTTAACCAACCTCTTTGTTTCTCCATTTTCTTCTCTGTAAAATGAGAATTATAATATTGTCAGGGCTGCTGTGAGATTCAAAGAGTTCATGAGGGTAAAGTGCCCTGGCATAGCATCATGCTTAATGGATGGTTATTGCTACTCTGAATGATAGTGAATGAGGGGTCCCTGGGAGCCTCCCCCATGCTCTGGTTTAGCAAGGAAGATTTAAAAAAAAAAAAAAAAATCCTAGAAAGAATGGAATTAATTCCCCACCAAGAAACAGAACAGGCCAGGTGCAATGGCTCATGCCTGTAATCCCAGCACTTTCAGAGGTTGAGGGGGGTGGATTGTTTGAGCTCAGGAGTTTGAGACCAGCCCGGGAAACATGGCAAAACCATGTCTCTATAAAAAAAATACCACGATTAGCTGAGCATGATGGCACAAACCTGTAGTACCAGCTACTGGGGAGCTGAGGTGGGAGGATCGCTTGAACCCAGGAGACAGAGATTGCAGTGAGCTGAAATGGCACCACTGCACTCCAGCCTGAGCAACAGAATGGGACCTAGTCTTAAGAAAAAGAAGGAAGGAAAAAGGAGGGGGGAGGGGAGAGGAAAACAGGACAGCCCAAGGCAAAGGATAATGAAAGTTTGAGATGAAGCTTCGGCATCTTGGCTGCTCAGACAGCAGCAGTGCTCTGGCCTTTGGGACAGTCTACCTCTTCTGAGAAATCACACAGGACAATATAGAAGATGCCAGAGCATTGCTGAGCTGAGCCCCACAGGCAGGGTGGTGGAAGTGAGCTCTCTGCTGGGGCTCCAGTAGTGGTTTCATGCAGCCCAGTTGTGGCTGGGACTGCAGTAGGTGATGGGTGGCTGCCTTCCTGAAGCACCTACTGGGTACAACATATTTTATTGCTTCAACTCCAAGCTCATGACAATTATCGATACAGTCATTTGTTTTATTTCTCTTTCTCACTAGGCAATCGTCAACATCAAATCACAGACTTCATCAGTCTCATCCGTCACTATATCCCTAATGCTTAGCATGATGCCCAGCCCGTACTAGGTCCTTGATAAATATTTGCTCAATGAATGAATGAACATTGTAGGGGAGATGTCATTATCACCATTTGACAGGTATGGTTCAGAAAGGTTAAGTGACTTGCCCAAAGCCACACAGCTATGAAGGGATTTACAGCCACACTGGAATTAGGGGCAGAAAGGGAAAATCCTTTTGCAAGCACCTGCAGCACGCCTGCCATTGCATGGGGCACTTTACCTGCATTATCACATTTGCTCCCTAGGAGCAAGACACTCCTGTCCCCATTTCATAAAAAGCAAGATTTGCTGGGGAATATTAAGTGGCTGGCCTGAGGTTGCACAGCTAGCTGTAGGGCCATAAAAAGGGCCAATCCTATTATTCTGTTCCCCTCTGCATTGCACTGGCTCCTCACAAGAACGGCTCAGGACAAGACAATGTGACATTTTAGTGACACAATGGCAAGAAGCTCCTAAGGAATGGAGGCCTAGGCTGACGCTGAAGTCCTGCCAATGACGGATAGCAGGGACCCACACACGCCACAGCTTGGGAGCACCTGTGCCTTCTGGATCAACGAGAATGATCTTCCAGCTGCAGAGGGAGAAGGGACAGTAAGGAGAAGGAACTGGCAGCCATGGTGGCAGGAAGAACCAATGACAGCACCCAGGGCCATAAAGGAATCACCCTAGACTCAAGGGAAGCACCCTCAGAGGAGAAGAAGCTGTGGTTTCCACTAACCAAGGGCCAGGGAGAATAATGTCAACCCCAGGCCAGATTCTGGAAGGGGTTATTGAGTAGAACTTATTATTTTATTCTAATGATCTTACGCACACACGAGTGTATGTGTGCAGGCACAAACATAAAAACACACACACTCACTATGTACAGGAAAATACAGTCAGCCTTCCATATCTTTGGACTCCACACCCATGGATTCGACCAGCCACTGACTGAATAAATTCAGAAAAAATACAAAATAACAATGCAAAATTAAAATATAAATCATATAAATATAAATAATAAAAATTATAAATAATATAAATAGTATAACAATTATTTATATAGAATTTACATTGTATTAGGTATTATAAGTAACCTAGAAATTATTAAAAGTATACAAAAGGGCTGGGCACGGTAGCTCATGCCTGTAATCCCAGCACCTTGGGAGGCCAAGGCAGGCAGATCACCTGAGGTCAGGAGTTCAAGACCAGCCTGGCAACATGGTGAAACCCCAGTCTCTACTAAAAATACAAAAATTAGCCAGGCATGACGGCACACATCTGTAATCCCAGCTACTCAGGAGGCTGAGGCAGGAGAATCGCTTGAATCCGGGAGGCAGAAGATGCAGTGAGCCGAGATTGTACCACTGCACTCCGGCCTGGGCAACAGAGCAAGACTCTGTCTCAAAAAAAAAAAAAAAAAAAAAGTACACAAAAGGATGTTCATATGTTGTATGCAAATACTATGCCATTTTATATCAGAGACTTCAGCATCCATTGATTTTAGAATCCAAGGGGTATCCTGGAGCCAATACCCTGTGGATACCAAGGGACAACTATATATGGTATCTTTTCATGAACTTATATTTTAACATAAATGGTATCTTACTTGAAGTTATCATTCAGCAACTTGTTTTCATAACTTGACCATATGTCTTGGAGATACTACCATCTTGATAGAAACAGATCCACTTCATTGTTTTTAATGCTCTGAGGCATTGTTTTAGTGCTGAGGCATTCCAGATATAGATGCATCATTGTTTATTTAGCCAGCCCCCTGATGATGGCCATTTGGGTTGTTTTTAACATTTTGCCACACTCTAGAGCTTACTGATATCACTTCCACCACATTCTGCATGTCAATGCAGATGACAAGGCAGCTTAGGAAAGTAGACTATTTTTTAATGGAAGGGACTAAAAAATATTGTGGCCATGTTTTTAAGCTTATTTTGGTCCACTCTCTGCTACAATTACTTTCATTTCTTCCACATTCAAAATATGCTCATTCTCCCCTCCCACAAAATGTCTCATGCCATTATAGCTTCATGTTCAGAACCTTGAGTTCTTGTCTTAGCTCAGGCTGCCGTAACAAAATACCATAGACTGGGGGGCTTAAACAAGAGAAATTTATTTTCTCAGTTCTGGAGCTTGCAGTCCAAGATCCAGGTGCCAGCATGGTCAGGTTCTAGTGAGGGCTCATTTCCTGGCTTGCAGACAGCCACCTTCTTGCTGTGTCCTCACATGGCCCTCCTTGGTTCGTGTCCATGAAGCAAGGGAGAGATTTCTCTCTTCCTCTTCTAAGGCCACCAATACTATTAGATTAAGACCCCACTATTATGACCTTATTAACCTCAACTACCTCCTAAAAGGCCTAACTCCAAATACAGTCACATTGAGGGTTACAGCTTCAACCTATGACTTTGGGAAGAGACAATTCAGTTGATAGCACTTCTGAATCAGGGACAGAGGCAGATGGGCTTCATAAGGTGCAGCTCCTACTACTCACCCCCATACTCAACATATAAAGATGAAAAAGAGGGCCGGATGCAGTGTGGCTCCTGCCTGTAATCCTAGCACTTTGGAAGGCCAAGGTGGGTGGATCGCTTGAGGCCAGGAGTACAAGACCAGTCTGGCCAACATGGAGAAAACTCTACTGAAAACACAAAAATTAGCTGGGCGTGCTGGTGCCTGCCTGTAATCCCAGCTACTGAGGAGGCTGAGGCACAAGAACCACTGTAACCCAGGAGGCAGAGGTTATAGTGAACTGAGATTGCACTACTGCACTCCAGCCTTGGCAACAGAGCGAAACTCTGTCTCAAACATAAATAAATAAAGATGAAAAAGGGACAGGATATTCGCAATAGGCATTCCCAGACAAAAAGGGGAGGAACCGGAGGTACTTAGTGGTCCCTGGTTCATAGAAACATCAAAATCCAGCAAAGCACAGGTTGTCAATTCCCTCTGCTTCCAGGGGCAGGGAACAGCCCTTGATTCGGGTCCAATTCTGCTTCCTTGGAGTGATTCCCTAGTCCATTGTTCTCTATGGCTCTTAACTTTCCTCTCTGGACTCTTGGTTCTCCTCTCCTAATCATCCTTCTGTTTGCATAAGAAATGGCTGATATTTATAGCTACATAGTTTTTTTCAGCCTTTCTGCTCTTAGAAAATTGGAGACTCAGAGGCCTGTTTTTATTTTGAAAAGTTGCAGTCACTTTTTGTACACACTTACAGTGTTTTCACTGATACAGATATCTTGAAAATGTTATGGGTTTTCTATGCATCTGACTGAGGTTCATTTCAGTTGAAACAGGCTTCTCTTTCTCTTCTTCCCTCCTGTTGGACCCTTAAGAGTCTTAGAAACCACAGTGTCTAGCTAAAGGGTCTGCTAGTACCACCTTAAGTCTTTCAGAGGGTTTAACAAGGGGTCTTACAGCAACATCCTTAATTTTATCCTTAGACCCAGGTCTTATCTTACTTTGAGAATTTGTTACTGGCTGGATGAATGGAGATATGAGGCAGTTTTCTTTTCCAACCTCAACAAGTCCCAGGCCTTCTAGACTTCTCTAAAATATGGGCATTGGCTGATGCACATTGTCTTGCATAATCCTCACAGGGGCTCTGGGAAGAAGGACAGTCCCCCTCCCTTTGCAAATGAGGACGCTGAGGCTCAGGAGATGGTTCAAACTCACAAAGCCAGGAAGCATCAAAACTGGAGTTAGAACCCTTTCATTCATGCATGCAACAAGTATTTGTTGAGCCCATCTGAGTGCTATTCTAAGCTCTGGAAATAGAGCAGCAAAGAGAAGAGACAACGCCCTGTCCTCATGGAATCTACAATCTAGTGGAAGAGACAGACCTTAGACAGTAAACAAATAAATGACATTTCAGATGGTGGCTGTTACAAAATAATTTTAAAATAACAAGGCAGAGGTGGAGTGATAATGTATACCAGATGGAGACGGGGTCATGGGGCAGGGAGACATTGCTGTTTATAAGGAGTGCCCAGGGAAGGCTGCCCTGACACCTGACCTTCAGGACATAAGAATACTGTGCAGATATCCTCCCAAGCGTGGTGCCTCACAACTGTAATCCCAGCACTTTGGGAGCCCGAGGTGGGTGGATCACTTGAGGCCAGGAGTTCAAGACCAGCCTGGCCAGCATGGTGAAACCCCATCTCTACAAAAAATACAAAAATTAACCAGGTGTGATGGCCCACGCCTGTAATCCCAGCTACTCAAGAGGCTGAGGCATGAGAATCGCTTGAACCCAGGAGGTAGATGTTTCAGTGAGCCAAGACTGCTCCACTGCACTCCAGCCTGGGTGACACAGTGAGATTCTGTCTCAAAAAATAAATACTGTGCCGATATCTGGGGAAAGAGCATTCCAGGTAGAGGGGACTGCTGGGGCAAAGGCCTAGAGACCTTTAAGAACAAGAAAGTAAATTGTCTTGAGAGGCATGAGCGAGGAGGGTAATGAGAGGTGAGGTCAGGGAGGAAAAGGAGAAGGTGAGGAAGACCGTGGAGGGTCTTAAAGGAGAATCATGCAAGGATAGGACTTCACCCTGAATGAGACCCAGGTGAGAGCATGATCTAGTTTCCATTTTTACAGGATGCCCCTGGATCTTCCACTCAACATGTCAGGACCCTCTTGGCTAGGACTGAAGAGCTCTAGTTAAAGGTAGGTAGGAAAAACCTTTCTCCCAATCCCATCCCATCCAGGGCACCCTCAGGCCCCATCCTCCCAGCCCTGCTGGGCTTTGGCTCCGGTTGCTTTCTCTCCACCCTGGAGCCCAACAGCCACCCTCCCTTCTCCTCCTCCCTGGAGTCACTCACTTCCAAGACAAATGGCAGCTTCTTTCTGCCCATCCGTCACTGCTCTCAGGCCCATCCATTAGCGGCCGCTCCCCACCCTGCCCCCAGCCCCACTGTCCTTGCTTGGGGATGGGGTCCATTGATCAGAGGCCCATCTGCCACTTGTCACATTCTGGTGGCCTGACAGCAGGAGACAGAGCTGTTGCTGGCCAGGCCAGCCAGGGGCCAAGGGAAAGACAAAACTACCCACCCCCGGGGTTGGGGCTGGGGCGAAAGCCCTGACTGGGAAAAGGGAGCAGGTGGTTGGGGTCAGGGTAAGCCTTTCCCAGCCAGCAGCTGCTCCTCCCGGGCAAAATGGAAAGTGAGTTTTACAGAACAGACTTGCAAAGGCTCCCAAGCCCCCCTCCACATCTGGGTCTGCTCCAACCTGGGTGTGCAAGGCTGGTAGGGACCCGACCAAAATGCTGAAGGCCCTCCCATCCTGACTCCAGCTTTTCCCAGACTTCTCCATGCACCTCGAATCACCAGGCCAGGCCTAAACTGGGCACGTCCCCCCAACCTGACTCTCTTCAGAATTTTCCACCCCCACCAGTAGCCCCCTGGCCCCTCCAGGTCCACTCAAGAGCCTCCTCCCACTGCTAGGTGGCCGGAGAGGATGACCTATGGACCGCCTGCCCTCTGGCTCCTGGTTGAACTAGACAGCACTGGCAGGAGACCTGAAGGAGGGAGGATGAGGCTGAGGACTCATCCTCTGGCTCCTGCTCTGCAGGGTCCCTGTGGGTGACCATGGGTTGGCTGTGTCCCTCTACCCAAGGAGCTCTCTCCACACAACTCCCGCTCTGAGTGCTGGTAACCACCAGCCCCTTGCCTCTTTGCCTGGAGATGCTAAAGGCTCCCTACAGCTGCTAGCTCGGGACACCACCTCATCCCTTGTGACTCCCTCCCTCTGCCTACATGAATATAAATGGCCCCTTCATTAAACTGCTCTCAATTACCCAGTTTTAAAGTGTGCATCATTCAGTCAATAGGAAAAAAAGTGTGCATCAGAACAGGACCAAGTGGCAGGGGGTGAGGGTGTGGGTGCCTGCCCTGGGGAGGCAATGACAGGCAGAGGCACACACTCTCCATTGTAACACAAATTCAAGTATAAAATCGTGAAGAATTTCAAGACAGCGACCATGAAGCACGGGGCTCTTCCAAGCCTGTGGGACTGCCCTGGCAGCACGCCCATGCAGCTGGCCCCATCTACCACCCTTCTCTCCTTGTCTCTCCCAGCCTCTGACCTCCTGGCCACATCCCCTCACACACTGAAGACTTTGGCCACTGCTCAGGCTCCTGTTCACCCAATAGCCAGCATCGTCCTAAGAGAGTCGCCTTGCACCTAGACAACCCATCCATCATCCTGGCTGTCAGGCATCCCCTACCTCCCCATCTCCAGGGACCTCCACCTTCATCCATCTCAGCTACTCCCTCCCATGGTCAAATCCCTACACAACCCAGCCTAGCCCTGGGCAAGAATGCTTTTTAGAAATCTCTTCTCAGTATCAGCTAATATCTGCCTCCTGTAAGATCCTCGAATTCTTCTCAGCAAGGCTCTCCAGGGCTCCAGGAAGGGGCTGCCTCCCTCAGACACGCAGCCCACATAGGTCTGAAGACATGACTGCGGAAGCAGAGGTTGGAATGATGTGCTTTGAAGATGGATGGAGGGGCATGGGCAAAGGAAGGCTCTAGACACTAAAATAGAGAAGGAAACAGATTCTTCTCTAGAGCCTCCAGAAGGAACACAGCCCTATGACACCCTGATTTTAGCCCATAAGACCCACTTTGGAATTCTGACCTCCAGAACTGTAAGATAATACATTGGTGTTGTTCTAAGCTACTAAGTTTACTGTGATTTTTTTACAACGTTAGGAAACTAATATAGATTTTGGTCTCCAGACACCCTCTACTCCAGACTAAGCTCCATCAATTTCTCTAAGCATGGGAACATCCCAGGAAAGTATGACCTCTCCAGCTTCAGTTTTTTTTTGTTTGTTTGTTTTTTGAGACAGAATCTCACTCTGCCACCAAGGCTGGAGTGCAGTGGCGCAATCTGGTCTCACTGCAACCTCCACCTCATGGGCTCAAGCGATTCTCCTGCCTTAGCCTCCTGAGTAGGTGGGATTCCAGGCATGCACCACCATACCCAGCTAATTTTTGTATTTTTAGTGGAGACAAGGTTTCTTGGCCAGGCTCTCAAACTCCTGACCTCAGGTGATCCACCCACCTCGGCCTCCCAGAGTGCTGGGATTACAGGCATGAGCCACCATGCCCGGCCAGCTTCCTCAAATTGGAGATGGGGAGATGTTGTGAGGATCAAAGAAATCAATAGATGTAAAGTGGTTAGCATGTTAGGCAAAGCACTAGAAATATTAAGCACTCAAAAACTGCTAGAAGATATTATTATTGTTGTTATTGTTGTTGTTTGACGTTTTCTATAGCACCCTGGTTTTCAACCAGGAGGAATTCTGCCCCTGGGAAGGGATATTTGGCAACGTCTGGGGACATTTTTGGTTGTCACAGCTGCAGGGGAGGGGTGTGGCTAGTGGGAAAAGGCTATAGATGCGGCTAAATAGCCTACCATGCACAAAACATCCCCCAAAAAAGAATTATTTTGCCCAAAATATCAACAGTGCAGAGGGTGAGAAACCCTGCTAGGCTTGGTACGATTTAAGTCTACTCATTTTAAGCCTCTGGCTCCCACTCCTGCAACTCAAGTTTCCACCACAAGGTGGCGATTCAGCCAGTGCCTCTCTTTCCTGTACTGGTGGATACTTCCCACCCTAGATTCACAAATTATTCTCCACTATCCCTTTCTATCAAAAGCTGTGCCCTGTAAAGTAGCAAACCACGTTCAAAGAGCTATATGGAGCTGCCTCTCTATACAGCACATAACAAAGCAAATCTATCCACATCTTCTCCTCTGTTCCTCAAAACATTTCTTAGTCACAGGTGTTATTATTCCCATTTAACAGAGAAGGAAACAGGCTTAATGAAGCCATTCTCTCAAACCAAGTGCCTCCTTAGCGGTTGTTGGCTGGGACCCTCCTGGCTTGGAGTTCTGGTTCCACTTGAATTCGAATCCTGATTTCATAAGCTTAGAGTCCAGAACATTCTCTGCATTTGGGGAATTCCTGCAATGCCTCACACTGGCTTCTCTCTGCCTTTGCACCCTGCATTCATCTGCCTGGGTTGCAGGAGGCTCATCTGAACCCAGGGGTTCCCAAACATGCCTGCATGTTGGAATCTGCAGGTGAGCTTCAGCAAGTTCTGGGGCCTGTGTCCTACCCTGAGATTTTGAGCTAATTTGGAATTTTTGTAAGAACTTAAAAGCAATTAAAATCTGCAAGTATGCCTGGGAACTGCTACTGCTTTCACTGGCATCCTTTAAAATAAATTCCATTATTTTCAAGCATTTCACTATTTAACTTTCTGAAGATTTAAGGGGAAGGAGCAGGAGGCCTTCCTCCATTTATTACCCACCAGCTTGCGGCTCTGTTTCCACCTTCCCTCTTCTCCCTAAGGTAGGCAGAGCCCTATCACTACCTTGTCTTTGCAGAAGAGTTCTTCCCACTTTCAGGCCCTGCTGTGACTCAGGCAAGCTTGTCAAGGAAATTTCCTTTGTCATAAAAATGCAATGCTCTTCATGAAAAGAATTCTGACAAGTCAAATGTCTTTATTTGATCACAATTATGTATGAAGTAAAACACTGTCCAGAGCAGGGGTCCTCAAACTTGGCTGCACTAATGTGCACTTTAAAAAATAAAAACAATAACCAGGCCATACCCTAGACCAATTACATCAGAATTTCTAGGTAAAGGTCCCAGGTAATTCCAATATGCAGCCAAATTTGAGAACCAGGCCCTTGCTTCTTTACATGTGACCCCCTAAAGCAGCCAACACTATCAGCATCACCTGAGTGCTGGTTAGAAATGCCAAATCTAAGCCACACTCCAGACCTACTGCATCAGAATCTGCATCTTAACAAGATCCCAAGTGATTGCCCGTGCATGTTAGAGTTCGCAAAGCATCAATCTAGAACCAAAAATAAGCCAATGTTAGCCAGGTGCAGTGGTTCACACCTGTAATCCCAGCACTTTGGGAGGCCGAGGCAGTTGGATCACCTGCGGTCAGGAGTTTGAGACCAGCCTGTCCAACACAGTGAAACCCCATCTCTACTAAAAATACAAAACTTAGCCGGGCGTGGTGGCTCACACCTGTAGTCCCGGCTACTCGGGAAGCTGAGGCACTAGAATCGCTTGAGCTGGGAGGCAGAGGTTGCAGTGAGCCGAGATCAAGCCACTACACTCAAGCCTGGGCAACAGAGTGAGACTCAGTCTCAATAAATAAATAAATAAATAAATAAGCGAATGTAAACAGGCTGCCCCCTTCTTCACAAATCTACAGCTGCTACCAGTCTCAGCCAGATAAGTTCCCACTTGTTATCCTTCCACCTCTCTGGGAAACAGTGCTGTTTGTTCAGTGGGACAGAGGGGAGAATTTGGTGGATAGTTCTCCATTCTAAGTGTCTTCTATGTCCCAAGCATTGTGCTTGGGGCTGGGCACACCACAACACTCAGGGAAGGGAGCTCCTGTCCTCGTGGAGCTTAGCTTCTAATGGACAAGAGCCAAAGCAAGCAGCAAATCAACTTTTAAACATTGCAAGTTGGTCAGGCATGGTGACTCACGCCTGTAATTCCAGCACTTTGGGAGGCCAAGGTGGGTGCATCATTTGAGGCCAGGAGTTCAAGACCAGCCTGGCTAACATAGTGAAACCAGATCTCTACCACAAATACAAAACTTAGCCAACGTGATGGCTCATGCCTGTAACCCCACCTACTTGGGAATCCGAGGCAGAATTGCTTGAACCTGGGAGATGGAGGCTGCAGTGAGCTGAAATCACGCCACTGCACTCCAGCCTGGGTGACAGCAGAAGACTGTCTCAGAATAAAACGAAATAAATAAAATAAGAAAACTGCAAGCTATGAAAAGTGCTGAAAAGGAAACCAACAAAAGACTGGTGTATTAGTCCGTTCTCACACTGCTATGAAGAAACACCCGAGACTGGGTAATTTACAAAGGAAGGAGGTCGAATTGACTCACAGTTCTGCACTGCTGAGGAGGCCTCAGGAAACTTACAATAATGACAGAAGGCAAAGAAGAAGCAGACACCTTCCTCACAAGGCAGCAAACTGAAGCGAGTGCAACAGGGGAAATGTCGGACATTTATAAAACCAACAGATCTCGTGAGACTCACTCACTATCGCGAGAACAGTATGCGGGAAACTGCCCCAGTGATTCAATTACCTCCACCTGGTCCCGCCCTTGACACGTGAGGATTGTGGGGATTATAATTCAAGATGAGATTTTGGGTAGGGACACAGCCAGACCATATCAACTGGGATAACCAATAAAAGGGGCACTCACTGGCTCCTTAAACTGTGGCCAGGGGTGGCCTCTCTGATGAGGTGGGGGTTAATCTGAAGCCTAACCAGAAGGAACAGCAGGAACCAGCCACAGGAAACCCAGCAGGGAGGAGCTGACAGGGCAGAAGGCACGGCTCAGCCGAAGGTCCTGACATGAGCAAGTGCTGAGTGTTCTAGAAACATAAATGAGGCGGGGCGCGGTGGCTCACGCCTGTAATCCCAGCACTTTGGGAGGCCCAGGCGGGCGGATCACAAGGTCAGGAGATCGAGAGCATCCTGGCTAACACGGTGAAAGCCCATCTCTACTAAAAATACAAAAAAAAAAAAATTAGCCGGGCGTGGTAGCGGGCTCCTGTAGTCCCAGCTACTCGGGAGGCTGAGGCAGGAGAATGGCGTGAACCCAAGAGGCCGTGCTTGCAGTGAGCCGAGATCGCGCCACTGCACTCCAGCCTGGGCGACAGAGCGAGACTCCGTCTCAAGAAAAAAAGAAACATAAATGAGGTCACTGTGGTTAAACCAAAGTGATCGAAGGAACAGGTGGGAAAGAAAGGCTGGAGAGACAGGCGGGGGCCAGGCAAGACTTTTATTGTATATGCAAATAGAAGCCTTTGAAGGCTTCTATTATACTGGGAGAGTGATAGAATTTTAGTCTTAGAATGTTCTCTTTGGCTGCTGGGGGGAGAACAGGCTAGAGGCAACCAGCATCCAGGACATAAATGACAAATTGTGAAGCCAGGACACCTGGGTTCAAATGACAGCTCCTATACCTTTTCCTATGTGCCAGATGCTACGATTTGCACATTAACAATACAGCGAATTCACTTTAGGAGACCGAGGCAAGAGGATCGTTTGAAGCTAGGAGTTCAAGACCAGCCTGAGCAAACATAGTGAGACCCCCATCTCTACAAAAAATAAGAAAAATTAGCCGGGCATGAAGGCACATGTCTGTAGTCCTAGCTACTCAGGAGGCTGAGGCAGGAGGACCATTTGAGCCCAGGAGTTTGAAGCTGCAGTGAGCTATGATA
This sequence comes from Homo sapiens, assembly GCF_000001405.40. NCBI lineage: Eukaryota > Metazoa > Chordata > Mammalia > Primates > Hominidae > Homo > Homo sapiens. The sequence continues at coordinate 39,077,629 of NC_000020.11, read as the reverse complement.
GCATCACTGCACTCCATCCTGGGCAACAGAGCGAGACCCCATCACAAAAAATAATAATAATAAGGCAAGCTAAGGTGGGTGGGTAGAAAGAACTAGTAAGACTTGTTCAGATTTTCAGGGTTAACGGAGTATCTGTTACATTTTTAAACACAAAGTTAAATAAAATGAAAAGGATGACTCTTTGGAGCTTGTTTTTCCTACCTGAGATAGCAAGGAAATAGCATGTACTCATTTACTTCCAAAGAGTGGGGCAGAAATGCGGGTTAAAAACTCCGTGGAAGGCTCTCTTCTCTTCTCCTCCCATAAACCTCACCTCTACCAGCCTCGGGTCAAATGTACCTGAAAGCTCTGATAAGGAAAGGGCTGCAAGCTCCCAGGGATCTGCAGCAGGGCAGCTGTACTGCACAGCAGGGCATCACCCCCATCAAAGTCCTGCAAACGGCGCCCCTGGAGTGGTGGACAGGCAGACCCTGATGAGGACCCAGACATGAGGTTCCGCAGGAGAGACAGGTGGGAAGCCACGTGGAAGGGTTTGACGACTGGATGGCAAGAGAGGAAGAGGCAGGTCTTGAGAGCAGTTTAAAGAAAGTGGGCTGTGAGAGGGACAAGAGGAGCTAATGATTTGACACAGCTGTGGGAATAAAGAGAGATCATTTTTTAAGTTGGGAGACACTTAAGAATGTCCAGATCAGGGATAGCCAATCTTTTGGCTTTCCTGGGCCACATTGGAAGAATAAGAACAGTCTTGAGGCTGAGCAGTGGCTCACGGCTGTAATCCCAGCACTTTGGGAGACTGAGGCGGGCAGATCACCCGAGGTCAGGAGTTCAAGACCAGCCTGGCCAATATGGTGAAACCCTGTCTCTACTAAAAAAAGAAAAAACTACAAAAATTAGCCAGGTATGATGGTGCGCGCCTGTAATCCCAGCTACTCGGGAGGCTGAGGCAGGAGAATCGCTTGAACCCGGGAGGCGGAGGTTGCAGTGAGCTGAGATTGAGCCATTGCATTCCGGCCTGGGTGACAGAGTGAGACTCCATCTCAAAAAAAAAGAACTGTCTTGAGCCACACATAAATACACTAATACTAACAATAGCTGATGAACATATATATATATATATATATAGCAAAAAAACTCATAATGTTTTAAGAAAGTTTATGAATTTTCATTGAGCCACATTTAAAGCTGTCTTGGGCTGCATGCAGCCCACAGGCCACACATTGGATAAGCTTTGTCTAGATTCTGATCAGGAGAATCCCAGAGAATTCTCAAAAAATCAAGAGGCATGAGAAAAACTAGCATATCAGTGGGATTTTAATTTGTATATCCTTGATGCCCAGCGCATTAGTCACAGTTCTCGAAAGAAACAGCACCAAGAGGAGAGATGGATAGATAGAGATGATATTGATATGCAAAGAGATTCAGTAGAGGGAACTGGCATGTGCGATTTTAGAAGCTAAGTTCCAAAATCTGCAGTTGGGCAAGCTAGATACTCAGGAGAGCCAATGGTGTTGTTCTAGTCCAAATGCCAGCAGGCTTGAGACCCAGGAAGAGCCAATGTTTCCATTTGAGTCCAAACCCAGGGGAAAAAAAACCTGATGTCCCAGCTTGAAGATAGTCAGGCAGGAGGAGCTCCTCTATTCGCAGGAGGGCCAGCCTTTTTGTTCTATTCAAGCCTTCAACTGATTGGATGAGACCCACCTTCATGAGGAAGGGGAATCTGCTTTACTTGGTCTACCCAAATTCAAATGTCAATCTCATCCAGAAGTAGACACACCCAGAATAATGTTTGGCCACATGTCTGGGCACAAGCTGACATATAAAATGAACCATCACAGCTAGTATGGTGGGAAATGTTTTCCTACGCTTAGGAGATATTTGTTTTTTCTTCAATGAATTGTAGGGTTGTATCCTCTGCCCATTCCATTAAGTCCTAGTGATTTTCTTTATCAAGAGATTTCCCTTTTGCTGTCATGTATGTCAAAAAGATTTGGTCAGCTTATCTTTCAGCATTTTTTTTTTTTTTTTTTTGTGACAGGGTCTCGCTCTGTTGCCCAGGATGGAGTGCAGTGGTGCAAACACGGCCCACTGCAGCCTCAATCTCCTAGGTTCAAGCGATCCTCCTACCTTACCCTCCCAGCTAGAATCACAAGCTTATGCCACCATGTCCGGCTAATTTTTTCTTATTATTTTTTGTAGAGACAGAGTCTTGCCACATTGCCCAGGCTGATATTAGACTCCTGGGCTCAAGCAATCCTCCTGCCTTGGCCTCCCAAAGTGCCGAGATTACAGGCATGAGCCACCATGCCCAGCCTCTTTTGGCCTCTAGGTGGGGGATATGTCTTGAAATGCAGGCATGTAAACATATTGCAAGCTAAATCTGTTGGTCTTTTTTCTTAGCGGTTCTACCCAAAGTCATGGATAAAAGCCTCCTCATCTGGAAATCAAATACTTTTTTAATACTTTCTTCCAGCATTTTATTGTTTAATTTTTTAGTTTCAAATGTTTCATCTGTCTAGTTTTTATTTTTTGGACTCTTGAATGAGATAAATATCTAAATTGACTGTTTTCCAAATTACCACATTTACAGATAGCACTTACTGAATAATCCATCCCTCTTCTATTGATATGTGATCTTTCATTTTTCATGGACTGAGTTTTATTTAGGACTATTTCATTCCATTGATTTGTCTGTCTAGTCGTATGCCAGTAACATGCTGCTTTTATTATTGTAGCTTTATAATGCATTTTAATACCTGGTAAGGCAAACCTTCTTTCACATCAATTTAGCTCTTCTCCTCTTGTTGGATTGGATTGTTGGTTTTTCTTTTCCCATGTGCTTTAGAGTCAGTTTTATCCCTTTTTCCACTGACATCAGAGATATGACCTTGACATTCATATAGAGGGTTGTGTTTTGTGCCAACATCACGGGGATTCTTGGCTTCCCTGAGATGGTCCCTAACCTGGTTACCCTCCTGGCTATGAGCTGCTGGAGTTAGGCTCACACTGACCCACAGGGAAATACAGGCTCTTGTGGCTAAGAAAGAGGAGATTAGGACCATGTGTTCCTTCTCCCCAACTACTTTAGTGTTTCTGCTAAATAAAAGTCCATTTTTATTCTTATAGGAGCTGAGCAGGGAGATGTTTTACACCCCAGTTTTCACCCGCCATGATCTATGTCCCTTTTACAAACTTATCTCTGGGTTTTTGCTCAGTTTATAAGCTAGGGGCGATCTTTCTTCCCTAAAGCCTCCTTCCACCACAGTCTGGAGGAACCTTGAGATTTCCTGCCGATGATTTAAAGGGCTATAACACTCGCAGGCTAGATTTGTTTTAGTGTCCATAAAACTCAAAAATTTCATAAAACAATTGGTGAAAATAAAATTACCAAAAAATGATATAGTGCCAGCAGACTGTATAATAGTTACGGGAGAAATGGAGACTATGATTCACTGGGGGATAAAAATGACAATGTATTTATTGCAGTGCACTGACAAGAAACTAATTTGTCCCTTTTACTTTTGAGACAGGGAAAGAATTCCGATTTTTCTCCTCTTGCGCTGACTCTGACAGGGGAGCAGGAAGTGATGGCAAATGATTCTCAGCTTTGGGGCTTGTGTGCATGTGTGTTCATGTGTGCACTATCACGAGGGGTTTCAGTAAAAACACAACTGTGTTCTGTCTCACCATGGCCTAGATCTTTTTGAGCCTTGAAAAAGTTTCCTTAACCTATATTTGTATGCATATATGTAAGTTTGTGTAATGCATGTATGTGTGTAAGTGTGAATGTGCATATGTGAGAGGATTGTGTGTGTACATAGGTACACGTATGTGCACGCGTCTGTGTTTGTGTTCATGTATTTTATCTGGCCATTACTGGCAATGGTTGAAAAAGATAGGTTATAGGAAAATGAATATTGTTTTACCAAGGAGACATGTGCTCTCCTTGTGTAAAACACGGCTGGGTGTGGTGGCTCATATCTATAATCCCAGCACCTTGGGAGACTGAGGTGGGAGGCTCACTTGAGCCCAGGCCTGGGCAACATAGCAAGACCTCATCTTTATAAAAAATTTAGAAATTAGCCAGTAGTGGTGCACACCTGTAGTCCCTGTTACTCTGGAGGCTGACGTGGGAGGGTTGCTTGAGTCTGGGAGGTCAAGGCTGCAGTGAGCTGTGATCACACCACTTCACTCCAGCCTGGGCAACAGAGCAATACCCCATCTCAAAAAAAAAGAAAAAAAGAAAGGGAAGGGAAAGGGAAAGGGTACAACAGGCAAAATGAAAGCAAATGAAAATTTCAACTGAGAGATAGTGATGGAAACTGGATCAGACGTGGCTTGATGGTGAGGGGGGTGGGTGGCAGGTGACTGCAACAAAACTCCAGGGAACTTTCCAGACTCATGGAAATGGTCTATGTCTTGGTCGGGGTGCAGATTACACAGGTGTATACATTTGTCAAAGATGGTTGATCTATAAACCTGAAATATACAAATTTTATGTAAATTATACCTCGATAAAGTCAACTTTTTAAAAAAAAAATCTTTATGAAGGAGAAAGGGAGAGAAGGGAGAGAAGTTGCTTCTGACCTGAAGGGTAGGGGTCCAACCCAGCCTCTAGCATGCTGTGAAGTCCAGGGGGCAGTCCCTGAATGTATGAACAAATGAATGAATGAAATTGGGGCCAAACTTAATTCTCCCCAAAGACAAAGTCCACTGTGCAGGATGAAATAAGCTATGGAGAGTGGCCTTGGGGGAGGTCTTAGTATACCCATTTTACAGATGAGGCAATTGAGGCTTAGAAAGCTCACCTGACTTGACTTTCTATGGGTCACACAATGAATGAGAGGCGATAAAAGAAAGTGACCCAGGCTCAGTTAACTGCCCAAATTCATCATACCAATGATGGAGGGTAGGATTCGCTTAGGATAACCCTGTTGACTGCTCTGAGCCTTCTCTGGACACAAAGCCTTAGATAGACTTGGTAGTGCCCACAGGGTAGGACGGTCCCCCCAACACAGCCTCTCAGGGCCGAGCTGGCCCCCGCTCCCCCTGGGTAGCTCCCACAGGAACACTACTCTCAACACAGCCTGCTGGGATTCTGCAGAGATAAAATGAGGGGACTGTCAGAGGTGTGGGCACGGTCGAGAGCCCCAACAGGGGAGGGGAGCCCCCTGGAACCAGGACCAGCAGGAGCAGCCATGTCCCTGTACCTGAGGGTGAGAGGAAGAAGGGCAGTGTCATTGAGCCTGTGCCGGGGGAGCCGCAGGGAGGGCCGCCTCCAGGGAAGAGGGACACACCTGTGGCAGGAGCAGGGGAACCGACCCCTGGCAGCTCTCCCCCATTTCTCCGATCCCAAGGGGGCTCCTAGGACCCACCCCGCCTGGAGCCCAGAAGCCCCGGCCCCCAGGAGTCAGGCTTCCCGGGGCACAGGACAGTGTGGAGATAATAGAGTGGACCCCGTCCTGACAGAGTTGGAGCCTATGGAGGGAACTTGGCAACAGACCTCGCCTGGGTCCCCCGCCCTGATGGTAACCAAGGAAGATAATATTTTGGAATGAGGTACAGGCAGATGAAATACACAACCTGCTCCAAGGTAGGCAAAAAGGTCATTCGGGGCACAGAGAGGATGCCCTGTCAGAGTTCCAACTCAGCCCAGTCCTCTGACCAGCTCTCTGACCCGGCCTTAGAGAGGGTCAGAGATGACCTACTTGGTGCTTGCGATGGTTAATTTTATGTGCCAACTTGAGTGGGCCATGGAGTGCCCAGATATTTGTTCAAACATTATTCTGGGTGTGTCTGTGAGGGTGTTTGGGGATGAGATTAACATTTAAATGGACAGAGTAAAGTAGACTGTCCCCCACCACATATAATATGGGTGGGCCTCACTAGTCAGTAGAAGGGCTGAATAGAAGAAAAAAGGCTGACCCTCCCTGCTGTAAAAGTGAATCTTTCCTCCTACCTAACCTCTTTCCAACTGGGACATTGACCTATTTTCCTGCGCTCTTCCTAGAATGGAAACATCAGCTCTTCCTGGGTCTCTCCCAGCATTCAGGCAGGAGCTCCAGTACCAGCTCTCTGGGATCTCCAGCTTGCCAACTCACCCTGCAGACCTTGGGACTTGTCAGCCTCCATCATCGCAGGAGTCATGCCCCTAGAATCAATCTGTTTCCACGTGTACATGTACATCCTATTGGTCCTGCTTCTCTGGAGGACCCTTATACACTGCTTCCTCTTCAGTGGTTAGGAAAAGAACAAGGTTTGGTGAGTCCAGAGCAAAATTTCCTACCCCAGGTGACCAAAGCAGTGTCAGAGCCAAACCTGGGGTTGGATGAGTGAGTGAGTTCCCAATACTGGAAGTCAAAGATGCCAGGAAGGAGACAGAGACAAGGTAGGGTCTGAGGTCAGTCTCCATGGGTCCTCTCTGCCTGGCCTCCATTCCTCTTTGCTCTGCTTTTAGTACCCCAATTTCATTCTGAGGACCACCCCTCTCCCACGTTCAGGCTGTGTGGTTTGAGCTGGGCTGGGCCAACCCTCAGAGTGAGCACCCATACATGCCCAGCCAGGCAAATTGCCACGTCCTGCTGGGCCAGTGACTGGTTCATACCAGTGAGTCAGTCCTGAGGCTTTTGCTGGAACTGTCCTGAAAATAAAGGTCTTCTTTGCTCTGAGGTTGTTCAGCATGAAAGTGAAAATCTAGGGTTGCTGCAGCTGTGTAGACTGAGACTCAAGAACACAGAGCCAGGAGCAGTGGCTCAGTCTGTAATCCCAGAGACTTGGTAGGCTGAGGTGAGAGGATCCCTTAAACCCAGGAGTTGGAGGCCTCAGTGAGCTATGATCGCATGACTGCACTCCAGCATGGGTGACAGGGTGAGACCTCGTGTCAAAAAAAAATTTTTTCATAAAAAACTTTTCAAAGAACATGAAAAGGAAAGGAGCATTGAAAGACAAAGCACAGCTGACACCTGACACCACTGGCCAATCTCCTGGATCCAGCGCTTCCTGAAAGCGGATGTATCTCTAAGTGTCTCATTACACAAGTCAATAAAGTCCTGACAAATACAGAGTCCAGAGCTCAGAGAACAAAAACAGAAACAGGGCTGGATTGAAGCAAAGGGTAGGGGTAAGGAGAAAAGGCACGGAGGAACCAGTCCTGAGGGATGACCTTGAGTGGGTAGGGGCTTGGAGGGGAGGGGTGGACATGGACTGTCCTTGCAGAGTCTCAGGATGCCCAACTTCCAACTTCCTACGGAAACACAGCCTTCAGGGAATACACTCTGCCTCTTTTCCCAGAAAGCGACCTCTTGTAGCTAAGTTTCTACCTGCCCTTCTGGAAGTTCTGCATGCAGATATCATTAGGTATCATTAGTGCCTCAGAGCCAATCCCGGACAGGAGACTAAAGCTGCTGTATTTGTTACTCAAATGCCAGAGGCACTCATTATCCCCAGTGAACTTTACAGAAAACATGCTGTGTGTCATTCTTCCTCCTCCCCCTCCCTCCTGCACCATCTCCTCACCCAGCCGCCATATCTACATCCTCTGAGCTTGTCAGCCCGACTGCTTAAATGTCTCTTAAACCCACCCACACTTCTCTCCATCCCCACCGCCTCCCCCCGAGTCCAAACTCCATCATCCCTCCCTGGACCATGTCAAGACCCTCACGCACACGTTTGTTCAAAGCAGAGGGACTGGGACCCTACACAAGGGGCTCAAAAACTCTCCAGTTCAAGAGCTCTGAGCTGGGAAACGTGACTTCACCCTTAGCCCAAGTTTGTCCTGGGGGTGGACAGTCTGGCCCCCTGGGCAGTGCAGTAAGCAGCTCTAAGCAGGGAGAGGGGTGAATACCTGCAGGGCAGTGGGTCCCAGCTTTGGGCTGGAGCCCCACATAGACTCTGGGAGGACACATTGCCCTCCACTCTCCTAACAGAAGGTTTCAACATGAGGCTGGTTCACAGGGCAGGACATCTACCCTTCTTTTTTTTTTTTTTTTAACAAAAACGGGATCTTGCTGTGTTGCACAGGCAGGTCTCGAACTACTGGGCTCAAGCGATCTTCCCACCTGTGCCTCCATAAGTGCTGGGATTACAGGCGTGAGCCACCACTCCTGACTTCATCTGCCTATTTTGATCTGCAGCAGGCTTCATATGGGGACTGAAATCCACCCCCCCCACCTCAGTCCCACCACCCTCACACACACGCACACATGTGCACACACACACACAGCTGCGCATTGCCCAGTGCTGCTGCAGTGTACAGGGTCCCAGGTCATCAATATCCAGCTCTGGGTGTGGGGAGGGGACAAAGGGACCTGAAATTGCAGGTTGGGAAGGGAGTGGAAAGGGCAGGTGAGCTCTAAGGAGGAAGAGGTTGGGCTTGCCCATCTCGGGGAAGTGTAGGCTGGGTCTGCGATGTTCATAGACAGCCCAGCCCTGAGACCACAGAGGAGAAAGGGCTTGGAAGGAAAATCAGATCCCACAGGGAGACCACATTACTCCAGGTCAGATGCCCAAAAAGGAGAAAGCTCTCAGCATCTGCCCCTCTAGAGGGTCTCAAGCATCTCCACCTCCAGCCACACCCTAAGTAAAGGCTCCTCCTCTCTGAGAACCTGAGGATTCCTGTCCCTCCTCAAGCTTCAGGATGTGAATGTCTGGAATCCTGGTTGGAAGGTCTGGAGTGAAGTGTTCCTCCCCCATCCCACAGCAGAGAGAGCTTCCTTTCTAGGCAAAATAGCCTTAGCTCCAATGACAGGACCAAGAGAATAGAATACCTGGGTCTTTAGAACCTGCAAAACCCACTTTCTCTGACACTCAGTGTCTTTGGCTGAGCAAAAGCCATGAAAAAAAGGCTGATCTTGTACAGCTAGTCCAGCTGAATGTGAGCCTATTTATTTGTACACCCTGTGTGGTAGGCAGCCTCTGAGACAGTCCCCAGTGATCCCCCCACTCCTTTCACACTTCATGTAATCCCCTCTCCTTTTTCCTTGAGTGTGGGCTGGATGTCGTGACTTTTTCTAACAAATATGGCAAAAATGATGGGATGTCACTTCTGCAATAAGGTTACAAAAAAACCATTGCTTCTCTCTGTCTCTCTCTCTCTCTCTCTGTCTCTCTCTCTCTCTGTCTCACTCTGCAATGTTGTAAGCTTGCCATGTGGAAAACCCCACATGGCAAGGAATTGAGGGAGACCCTGCCCCAACCAATCACCATCAAGGAACAGAATCCTGACAACAACCTGTGAGTGAAAATGGAAGTGGATACTCCCTCAGTTGAGTCTTCAGATGAGACTGCAGCCCCAATAATAAGACAGTAACCTCATGAAAGACCTTGAGCCAAAGACATTCAGCTAAGCCATGCCCTGATTCCTGAGACACAGAAACTATGAGGTAATAAATGTTTGTGTGTTAAGCTCCTAAATTTTGGAGTAATTTGTAACAGCAACAGATAACTAACTAATACTTTTAGTACACAGAGCCAACAATCCTATGTGTATGTCAATGGTATATGCTTTTGCTGTGTGTGTACATCATCTGTGTGTATGCTGAGTATTTAGTTAGTAATGAGTTATGCACTGCAACAATAATGCTGCATAACAAATCACCCCAATACTCACGAGACTTAAAAACAACTGTAATTGCTCACATGTCTGTGAGTCAGCAGGGCTCACGTATGTGTCTGTGGTCAACTAAAGGTTAGGAAGGGCAGCTCTGCTGGTCTTGGCCGGACTCTCTCATGTATTTGCAAGTCAGTTGGCTCTAAGATGGTGTAGGATGGCTGCAGCCAGGATAACTGGGGCTGTTCTCCCCCTAGTCTCTAATGGTCCCTCATCCTCCAGCAGCCTAGCTGAGCCTTGTTCATGTGCAGCTGGGCACAGTTCTAAGAGAGCTAGTGGAAGCTGCCAGCTGTCTTGAGGCCTAGGCTCAGAACTGACTCATTGTCCCTTCCACTTCATTCTATTGCCCAAAGCAAGTTTCAAGTCCAGTCCAGGTCAAGACGGTAGGGGAATAGACTTTATCTTCTATTAGGAGGAACTGCAAAGTCACATTGAAAGGGCAAGGATTCGGGCAGGGACAAATGAGTGGGGATGTTTTTGCAATCTACCCCAGCTACTAAAATGTGCAGTGTGCATATCTTCCATACTATCCAAACCCTATGCCTTCATCTCAGGTGTCTCTGGCTTAGGTCAGCACCCTGATTTTACGGTCTATTTTTTGGTTCTCATAACAATGTGTACAATGTTCACATGCAGGCCTGCTCAGAAGTTGGCTACACATGTGCTCAGGCCCTACACACAGAGCCCCATGAAGACAAACACATTTGATAGCTACATATTCAATCTGTACCCACCCAGCTTTTCCTTGCTTTGTCTACAATGTGCACACACAGCCACATGTTATCACATGAGTGCATGCAAGCAGGCACACCTAGGTTGCCTAGTCTAGTCAAAGTGTGCACACACATTCAGACACATGCAGACGTGTGCACATACCATTTTAGGAGCTGTACACAGTGAGCACACAATAACCACAGACACGCTCACAGGACTGTGGCTCTGGACAGAGCCACTCTGAGAGGTCTGCTTGCTACGTGCGCACATTCCCACACCCCAAACCCACGTGCACATGCAATTCCAGGTCGGTAACTCCAGATCAGTGTGTGAATCCACAAACAGAACCACTCGGGAACTGCTGAATTTGTCTCCATTGGGCGGTTTTCTGCTTCCAGAAAGATAAATGTCCTCCTCTCAAAGATAAGCTGCCAGCCCCACAAATCACTGCTCCTCTGCTCCTGCACCCTCCCACCCCCCCCGACCCTCCCCCATCACTCATCCAAAAGGAAAATGCAAAGAGTAATAATAATTAGACAAGGACAAATCACTGGGCTGAGTTGGGGATGGCTCCACTCGATAAAGGGCTGTTTCCCTGGCAACCAGGGCAGGTGCTGGGCGGTGGGTGGTCCTGGGAGGCCTACTAGAGGTGGGTGCAGAGAATGCAGCCCAAGGCTCAGCCCCTCCTCCACGTCCAGCAGGAGAAGTTTACCGAACTCCCAATCTAGGCAATTAGGCAAGTCCAACCCCAATCCCAGGAACACCCATAAATTTTTCTCTGGAAGCTCACATGCAGTGAAAGGGAGACTGACGACAATCTGTCATGTCTTATATTCCACACTAAATGGTGCAAAGCTTATCATATTTTTGCAAAAACTTATATTTTACCTTAAAAAGTTAAAATTTCTGAGGCTGGGTGCGGTGGCTCACGCCTGTAATCCCAGCACTTTGGGAGGCCGAGATAGGCAGATCACCTGAGGTCAGGAGTTCAAGACCAGCCTGACCAACATGGTGAAACCCCGTCTCTACTAAAAATACAAAAATCAGCCAGGTGTGGTGGCAGGTGCCTGTAATCCCAGCTACTTGGGAGGCTGAGGCAGGAGAATCGCTTGAACCCAGGAGGCAGAGGTTGCAGTAAGCGGAAATCTCGCCACTGCACTCCAGCCTGAGAAACAGAGCGAGACTCCATCTCAAAAAAAAAAAAAGTTAAAATTTCTAGAGCAAATATGTTATTCCTAAATACTATTACAATTGCTTGTTTTAAAAATTTTAAATAAGGCCAGACACTATGGCTCATGACTGTAATCCCAGAGCTTTGGGAGGCCAAGGTGGGAGGATCACTTGAGACCAAGAGTTCAAGGCCAGCCTGGGAAACATAGCAAGACCCTGTCTCTACCAAAAATAAATCAATAAAAATTAGCTGGGTGTGGTGGGGTGGCTCATGTCTATAGGTGGTTCATATCTATAGGCCCAGCTATGTGGGAGGCTGAGGCAGGAGGACTGCTTGAGCCTAGGCGTTTGAAGTTGCAGTGAGCTATGATTCCCCCACTGCACTCCAGTCTGAGACTGCACTCCCACAGAGCAAGGCCCTGTCTCAAAAAAATTTTTTTTCAATAACATAAAGTAAGTATTTTTAAAAAGTGAAAGTTTTTCTCCTGTAGGCCCAGCTCTACTCCCGTGAGGTGGCACCATTAGCCATCTCTAGAACTTTCTTTTTTTTTCCCCCCCCGATACGGAGTTCCGCTCTTGGCACTCCAGGCTGGAGTGCAATGGCATGATCTTGGCTCACTGCAACCTCCACCTCCCAAGTCCAAGTGATTCTCCTGCCTCAGCCTCCCGAGTGGCTGGAACTATAGGCACACACGACCACGCCCGGCTAATTTTTTCTATTTTTAGTAGAGATAGTGTTTTACCATGTTGGCCAGGCTGGTCTCGAACTCCTGACTTCAGGTGATCCACCTGCCTCGGCCTCCCAAAGTGCTGGGATTACAGGCATCAGCCACCATGCCTGGCCAGCCAACTCTAGAACTTTCTATGGCACATTCAAAATAGAGACACACCTAGCAAAGTAATAATAGATCTAACTCTTACATAGCACTTACTATATGCCTGGCACTGTTCTAAGCACTTTCTATCCATTAGCTCATTTAATGCTCAGAATAACTCTGTAAGACAGATATTGTCATATCCCCACTTTTCAGAGAGAGAGCTGAGGCACAGAGAGGTTAGGTAACCTACCCAGGGTTCCATAGCCAGTGAGTAGCAAATCCAGGATCCAAACCCAGGCAACCTGGCCCAGAACCCAAACTAATCTCCCATACTCTGCTGTCTGTGATCATCCCTAAGATGCTGATGTTCATCTCGTTTTATGCTTTTCTTTATAGAAACCTCGATTCCCTGAGGAAATAGACCTGAAGAGTCTGGGAGGGGAAGGGTTCCAAGCCTTGTTAAAGAGGAGGGGGTGGGGAGGCCAGGTGGGGAGGTGGGGGAGCTGCAAGCCAGGGATGCTGAACTGCACTCCTCCATGGCACCCAGGAGGGCTATGGGGTGCTGGGGGAGGCCTGTATTGACTGCCACAACATCAGAGCCTCGTGAAGAGCCCCTCGTCCTGGCTGGGCACAGAGGAAGTGCAGCTGCCCAGCTTCAGATAGGTCATGTGGTTCAGGATCACCTGGAGAGGCCATCTGGATGGAAAATCAGCCTCTCCTCCCATTTTTCTGGGCCATGTTGGCCTTGGGGGGGTCTCCTACTTTTCTAGCAGAGGAAGGACAGCCCCCAGAAGGACTGGCAGACGCTGGGAGCAGCTGGGGCTGTGAACTGAGTTGTTCTTCATGGGCGCCCCAACCTGCACCCATTCTCTGCCCCTCTTAGCCCTGCCCTGCTCCCCGGGGCTGATCTCAGAAGGCAGCACCCCTGAACCCCCTCAGCCTTGGCTCTTGGCTAAGTCCAGCCAGCAGGAGGCCACCCAGGAGTGGGTGGAAAGACAGGGAAGGGGGTCTGTTCTCTGGTCCCTTCTCTGCCTCCCCTCAGTTTGGCTCTTCCCTCTGGCTCCTGCAGCCTCAACAAGAGCAATCACGCCCCCAAGAGGGTGACCACTGGTTCCTGGGGAGACATAACCTTATATATTGCAATAATTTGTGACCCTCCAAAGAGCCACAGCACAGGGCCAGGCATGGTGGCTCATGCCTGTAATCCTAGCACTTTGGGAAGCTGAGGCGGGAGGATCACTTGAGGTCAGGAGTTCGAGACCAGTCTATGATACTTTGCTCTAGCAGCCTGAGCTAAGACAGATCTCATCTTAACTTGATTACATCTGCAAAGACCCTATTTCCAAATAAGGTCCCATTCACAGATATTGGACTTGAACATATGTTGGATGGTGACACAATTCAACATGCAACAGGGTGTCATGATGAAAAACAGGTTGAGGCCGGGCATGGTGGCTCACACCTGTAATCCCAGCACTTTGGAAGGCTGAGGTGGGTGGATCACTAGAGGTTAGGAGTTCAAGACCAGCCTAGCCAACATGGTGAAACCCCATCTGTACTAAAAATACAAAAATTAGCCAGATGTGGTGGCAGGTGCCTGTAATCCCAGCTACTCTGGAGCTGAGGCACAAGAATCGCTTGAACCTGGGAAGCAGAGGCTGCAGTGAGCCAAGATCGTGCCACTTTACTGCAGAGTGAGACTCCGTCTCAAAAAAGAAAGAAGAGAGAAAGAGAAAGAAAGAAAGAAAGAAAGAAAGAAAGAAAGAAAGAAAGAAAGAAAGAAAGAAAGAAAGAAAAGAAAGAAAGAAAGGAGAGAGAGAGAGAAAGAAAAGAGAGAAAGAAAGAAAGAGGGAAGGAAGGAAGGAAGGAAAGAAAGAAAGAAAGAAAGAAAGAAAGAAAGAAAGAAAGAAAGAAAGAAAGAGAAAGAAAGAGAGAAAGAAAGAAAGAAAGGAAAGAAAGAAAGGAAGGAAGGACGGGTTGAGAAACACTGATGTGTGCTTACAGCCCAGGCAGGGACCTCCGCTTTCCCCTCTTCTCCCTCCTGTCCCTTCAGCCCCAGAGGCAGCAACAGCTTCCTGCTGCCCTAGTGCCTGGGTGTCTCAGCATTTCTTATTGGTTCCTTTCATCCTGGCCACTCTTGTATAAATAATCTCTTTATTAAATGCTCTTAAATAGAACCCTAGCATTGTTATAAGCATTTTGTGTACATCTCTTTCCTGCCAGAATCTTGACTGATTTATTTTGATTTCAAAAAATAATGATGTCTGTTACTAAGGACTAGGGGAAAAAATAATGATAGGGCACACTGAGAACTTGACGCTGCAGGTGGGGCTGTTTAAATTGGTAAAACCACTTTGGAAGAAAGTCTGGCAGTATCTAGTCCAGCTGAAGACATGGAAATTCTTCAGCCAAAGTTTCCTCTCCTGGATATTTATCTCCTGGTTTCCTCTCCTAGAGAAATGTGGGCCCAACTATTTCAGGAGATATGTAATAAGAATGCTTCGGCCATCTGCCGAGCGTGGTGGCACATGCCTATAATCTCAGCACTTTGGGAGGCCAAGGCAGGCGGATCCCCTGAGGTCAGGAGTTTGAGACCAGCCTGGCCAACAAGGTGAAACCCCATCTCTACTGAAAACAAAACAAAACAAAACAAAAAAATTAGCCAGGCATGTTGACACCCACCTGTAGTCTCAGCTACTCATGAGGCTGAACTAGGAGAATCACTTGAATCTGGGAGGCAGGGATTACAGTGAGCCAAGATGGGGCCACTGCACTCCAGCCTGGGTGACAAGAGTGAGACCCTGTCTCAAAAAAAAGAATGCTTAGGACAAATACCTAATGCATGCGGGGCTTAAAACCTAGATGACAGTTTGACAGGTGCAGCAAACCACCATGGCACATGTATACCTATGTAACAAACCTGCACGTTCAGCACATGTATCCTAGAACTTAAAGTAAAATAAAAAGAAACAATGCTTCAGCCAGCATTGTTTGCAATAGCCAAAACCTAGAAACAATCCAGAATTATAGCCATTGCATTATTATTATTACAGCCATACAACGGAATAATATTCAGCAAGAAAAATGAACTTCAGCTGCACACAAAAACATGAATGGTTCCCCCAAAAACATAATGTTAAATGAAAAAGGTAAGACACAAAAGAATATGCGTGTATTAGTTCACTTAGATAAAATTCAAAACAGGCCAAACCTAACTATGTTGTTCAGGGATATATACTTAGGAGAGGAAAATTACAAAGAAAAGCAAGGATTCTACCTGGCTTTTCTTACTTTTCTACTTAAATTTCTGACAAGCACTCTTTATAAGTGCCAAAGTCATGAAAACACAAGAAGAGACCAAGAAACAGTCATGGATGGAAGAAACTAAGGAGAAATGATAACTAAATCCAATATGGGATCCTGGAGTGGATCCCGGAACAGAAAGAGAACATTCATGGGAAACTGGCGACATCCATGAAGTTCGTAGTTCGGTAAATAGTGTTGGACCAGTGTCAATCTCAGTTTTGATAAACATGCTGTGGTTATGTAAGATGTTTCCATTAGGGGAAGGCGAGTGAAGGGTATGTGAGTATACAAAGGGCATACAGGAATTCTCTGGTTTATTTTTGCAACTCTTCTATCAATCTAAATTTATTCAAAATGAAATGAATTTTTTTTTTTTTTTTTTTGAGATGGAGTCTCGTTCTGTCGCCCAGGCTGACATGCAGTGGCGCGATCTCAGCTCACTGCAAGCTCTGCCTCCCGGGTTCACGCCATTCTCCTGCCTCAGCCTCCCGAGTAGCTGGGACTATAGGCGCCTGCCACCACGCCAGGCTAATTTTTGTATTTTTTAGTGGAGACGGGGTTTCACCGTGTTAGTAAGGATGGTCTCGATTTCCTGACCTCATGATCCGCCCACCTCGGCCTCCCAAAGTGCTGGGATTACAGGGGTAATAAAATGAGTTTTTAAAAGCAATGATTGTTACTATAAATGAAGAGCAGTTACCTCTTGAGGGAGTTAACTGGGGAGGGCACATGGGGGTGCTTAGCACTGTTCAATGTCTAGGCCTGGGTGGTAGATACGTGGGTGTTTATAAGTTTAAACTAGACATCTCTGTTTTATGCACTTTTCTGTATATTAGTTATCTCTCAAAATTTTTTACATGTTAAAAATAGATGAAGGCTGGGTGCTGTGGCTCATGCCTGTAATCCAGGGCTTTGGGAGGCCGAGGTGGGTGGATCACCTGAGGTCAGGAGTTCGAGACCAGCCTGACCAACTTGGTGAAACCTCGTCTCTACTAAAAATACAAAAATTAGCTGGGTATGGTGGCAGCCGTCTGTAATCCCAGCTACTTGGGAGGCTGAGGCAGGAGAATCGCTTGAACCCAGGAGGCAGAGGTTGCAGTGAACAGAGATCATGCCACTGCACTCCAGCCTGGGCAACACAGCGAGAATCGGGCCCCCTCCAAAAAAAAAAAGATGAAAATGACTGTCAGGCACAGTAGACACGTAGATTAGAAAATCACAGTTGTGGAAAGAGGAAAAAGAAGTAAGGAAAGCAAATATAAATCCTTATCTGGTAAAGAGAGAAAAAAGGGAGGGAGCCAAGAAGGAGGTCGCACTTCCTTTACCTCAAATGTCCAGCAAATTCATACCCATTCCATATATATAGGCCTTTTTACACAAACAAGATGCTACCACACACATTATTCTGCTCCCTGCACAATACATCGTGGGCATCTTCCACGTCGGCACATACACGGAGCAGGGCACATTCTTCATCCCACTGCACAGCACGGCATTGTGTGGCTCCGCCATCATTTATTCACTTGGTCCCCCATTGATGGATACCCAGGTTGTCTCCCGTGTCTCACGATGACACGCCAGGCTGCTGCTACGCGCCCCCCTGCACTCGAGCTGGGTACACCCCGGCCAGGGTTTCCACAGACTCAAGACCCCTAAATGGAACAACGGGTCAAAGTCAGAAAGCTGTTGTCAAGTATTGGCTGATGTGATGCGGGATTTTTATTTTCTGCTCTGTTGCTGGCATTTATTTATTTTTTACTATTTTTATTATGATAATGTATATATAACATAACACTGGTTGTTTTAAGTATGAAATGTACAGTTCATTCAGAGACATTAAATACATGCTTGCTGCTGTGCAACCATCACCATTATCCATCTCCAAGACTTTTTACATCACCCCAAACAAAACCCTGTACCTGTTAAGCAATAACTCTCCATTTCCCCCTCCCTCCAGCCTTGGTAACCTCTATTCCACTGTCTCCACGAATTTGACTGGTCTATATATTTCATATAAGAAGAACACAAAAGGACAAGTGTTGTATGAGCCCCATTGTTTTTTGGGTTGTTTGTTTGTTTGTTTGTAAGACGGAGTTTCACTCTTGTCGCCCAGGCTGGAGTGCAGTGGCACAATCTCGGTTCACAGCAACCTCCGCCTCCCAGGTTCAAGCGATTCTCCTGCCACAACCTCCTGAGTAGCTGGGATTACAGGCGCGCACCACCATGCCTAGCTAATTTTTGTATTTTAGTAGAGATGGGGTTTCACCATGTTGGCCAGGTTGGTCTCAAACTCCTGACCTCAGGTGATCCACCAGCCTCGGTCTCCCAAAGTGGTGGGATTAAAGGTGTGAGCCACCATGCCTGGCCCCCATTGGTTTTTTTCTCCCAGAACTCACTCCAATTTAGGCACCCGCCTGGCAGAAGGAGCGATGTGGAGGAGCATAGAGGAGGAAAGTGGGGATGTTCCTGGCTTTGAGGTTCAAGAGGTAAGATGCAGAAGAGTGCTTGTTGAGTGAGCTTTTCTTCCTGCAAAAAGGGAATCAAAACAAGGGAAACATTCTAAGCTGGAGGGAGGAGGTCGAGAACAGACTAGGGATGAAGGTCTCCAGAGAAAGGCCGTGTGGGTTGGTATGCTGCTCAGGTAGGCGCTGAGTATGGGATGGGGGAGATAGTGCCTTGAATGAGTTTGGAGATCTGAAAGTAGAGGTGACCTGGGCTCCAGCCAGCTCCCATCTGCAATCTTCAGCCATGCTAGCAGAGATGGTGGGGGAGATACGCAGCCGCAGGCGACTCCCCTATATGTTCACAGCTCCAAAGTAGCACGGAGGAAGAGCTGAATGAGTGTGTGCACCTGAGAAGATCAGAAAAGTGAGCTGGGACCCACACCGGAAAGGCTCTCAGTGCTGCACAGTAAGGAGCAAATGGCGCAGATAACTCAGCGCTGGTCCACAGACACCTTCACCAGCACCATTGTTGCAGTGAGGGGTCACAGCCTAGCAAGGACTCACTACATAAGCACCCCCAAATACAGTGCCTCGCCCCCCAGGAAGCAAGGAAAGGTTCTTTACTAAGGTAAAGCAAAAATCCCCCAGGAAGGAACGTAAGAGAAGAGATCTTAATGGGCTGAAGACCCCCTCAAATGGCGAGTTTATCTTGAATTACCTAGAATTAATTTTCTACCTTCTGGTGGAAAAGGGAGGGAGAGGGAGGTATTGAGACAAAAAACAAATTCAATCACAGACTAACTAAAACTGACATATCTTGCCCACCTGAATTTCACTTTTTTTTTTTTTTTTTGAGACAGAGTCTTGCTCTGTCACCCAGCCTGGAGTGCAGTGGCACCATCTTGGCTCACTGCAACCTCCGACTCTCAGGTTCAAGCGATTCTCCTGCCTCAGCCTCCTGAGCAGCTGGGACTACAACTGTGTCACCATATCCAGCTAATTTTTTTTTTTTTTTGGTAGAGACAGGGTTTCACCATATTGGCCAGGCTGGTCTCGAACTCCTGACCTCAGGTGATCCGCCCACCTTGGCCTCCCAAAGTGCTGGGATTACAGGCGTGAGCCATCGCGCCCGGCCGCCCACCTGAATTTTAGAGACTAAAAAACTCAAAACTACCATGCACATTTTGCATCTTATATCATTTCCAAGTTGATATCCATTGGGGTTGGACCAATTTGTGCTCCCTTAATAAACACATCAGTGTGCCATTTCCCCACACCCACACTCGCATTTGTTGCCAACCTGAAAGGTACACTTTTATTAAAAATAAAATAAAATAAGTTCACTTCTTTCTGACTGCACAATCGGTTTCATCCACCACTCCATGGTATTATGAATTCTGTCCACAACGGCTCTTGGCACATAAATGGGAAGAGAATATCACAGCAATTTTAATGAATTTGGAACAGCAAGTTCTTGGCTGGGAGAATTGTGTGGCTTATTGAGGGATGTTCTTCCCTTTGGGGATTGTGAACATCATGTTCAAGGCAATATCCAAATGGAAACGACTCTATCAGAAGAAAGCAGGGAGGGGGTATGGTAGGGTGTCCTGCAAAGCTCACTGAGGGCAGAATCCAGAGGCTGGGGCTCCCAGAGCCCCAAAGATACCCCTGCCTGCCTGGCAGTCAGGCTCTCTTCCTCTTCTTCCTCCTCTCCAACAGACCCATATCCCCACCAACCATTGTCACCATCTCTAAGGCCCCTGGGCAGCATCCTGGACATTAGCTCTAGGTCCTCTGTCACCTCTCTAAACATTTACCTCTTTCTTTGCACCAGTGCATAGATTCTCAGGGCTGGAGGGGGCCTCACAAATGGTCAAGTTCAACTACACAACAGATGCCAGTTGAAACTCCCTGGTGGCATATCAGTAATGGGGTACTCACACCTCCCCAGTGCAGCCCACTCCATCCCTGAACCCCCTGACTGTACGGAGCCCTTTTCCTAAGGACCTAGAAGCTCAGAGGAAAGCTCACATTCCTCCAGGGACACAGAGTGAGTAGGGTCCCTCTTCCACATGACAACCCTCATTTCTTTGAGGACGGCATCCTACCCCCCAGTATGAGTTCCCCAGGGC
This sequence comes from Homo sapiens, assembly GCF_000001405.40. Taxonomy (NCBI): domain Eukaryota; kingdom Metazoa; phylum Chordata; class Mammalia; order Primates; family Hominidae; genus Homo; species Homo sapiens. The sequence goes on along the minus strand of NC_000020.11, from coordinate 39,057,441 downwards.
TGCCGTACCAAATGGCCACAAGCTTGGTGATGTCAAACAACAGACATTTCTCCTTCTCACACAGTTCTGAGAAGGAGGGCAGTCCAAAATAGAGGTGTTGGCCGGATTGGTTCCTCCTGGAGGGTCCGAGAGAGAACCTGTCCCATGCCTGTCTCTGAGCTCCTGCAGCCGCCCGCAGTCTTTGGCATTTCCGGCTTGCAGCTGCACCTCTCCAGTCTCTGCCTCTGTCTCCACAGCAGCTTCTCCTCTGTCTATGTCTTTTCCTCTTCTGCATTTAGGGCTTACCCAGATAATCCCAAATGATCTCATCTTAAGATCCTTAGTTTAACTGCATCTGCAAGAACTCCTTTTATCTTTTTTTTTCTTGTTCTTTTTTCTTTTCTTTTTTTTTTTTTCTTTTTTTTGAGACAGAGTTTCACCCTGCCGCCCAGGCTGGAGTGCAGTGGCACAATCTCAGCTCACTGCAACCTCCACCTCCCAGATTCAAGCAATTCTCCTGCCTCAGTCTCCCAAGTAGCTGGGATTACAAGCATGTACCACTAAACCTGGCTAATTTTTGTATTTTTAGTAGAGACAGGGTTTCACCATGTTGGCCAGGCTGGTCTCAAACTCCTGACCTCAGGATATCTGCCTGCCTTGGCCTCCCAAAGTGCTGGGATTACAGGTTTGAGCCACTGTGCTTGGCCATTCCTTTTTCAAAAAAAAAAAAAAAAAAAAAGGCTACATTCACAAGTTCTCAGTGGACATATCTTTTGGGGCAAATTATTCAACTCAACGCACCCTCTAAGTTTTCTATTCTTCCGACAGAATGGTCTCAGTCCTCCTGCCATTCCTCAGATGGTGAAATGTCAAGGCTGCTCTATTCCCACTGGTACTGATGCGATGTACCCAATTGTCCCAAATACCAGCAGACATATCTCCATCTCTCCCACCAAAATGTCACACAAACACTTGTCAAGAGCCAGCTGAAGTTTCAAAACACTCTTCATCAAATTTCCTTGAGCTACAAGGGGCAGCATTAAGAAAAGAAAGCACTCAGGCCCACTTAGTTCTGCCGTTGACTGTGGTGAGCTTTTCCACTACTCTGAGCCTTGGTTTCCTTGTCTGAAACATAGGGACAATCATACCCAACTCATATATCAATGCTCCAAGCTCTCGAATAATCTCTTGTCTCACCTTAGGCTTCACATTCTTCTTAGCAAGGCCCTTCCCAGTTCAGACTCCCTGTATCGTCCCCACTCCACTGCCTCTGCCCTTTCAAGACCCTTGGCCCCTTCCTGGGCTATATCTGCTGTAGTGTCCTGGTTACAGTGCTACTGATTGAAGAAACAGAGGCCCAGACAAGCTCATACTCACAAACAGAGGCTGGTCCAAGACCAGCAAACAAAGCACAGATGGCCTCATGGCCCAATGCAACTGCCTTCACCCCTGCACCTACACCAATGCTTCCCAACGTTCTTCACATTATGGCACACAGAGAATGTGATAAAATCCGTAAGATTCACTGGGTACACAAATGAAGCTGCTCTGGTCCAAAGGTCCCAGCCTGGGGGCTCCACCAGGGCCAGACCTCCCCAGCCTCTTACCAAAGGCAGAGGGGATCTGTACCCCAGCATCTTTGGAGCCCATCTGCCATCCACCTTCAGGGCAAACACAGTGACCTGAGTGTCTGTGTCACCCAGTCCTCCAGAAGAGGAACTCAATTGGTCCTTTGCCAGCCTTGGACCTGAGAGTTCCCCTCCCAGAGAGATTTCCCCAAAATTGACTGAGAGCCAGTGCAACAGAAAGAGTTAAGGAGTCTACTTAAGATGTGAAATTAGCATGTCTACCAGTACCTATAGTTTCTGAGTTTTTTTGTTTTTTGTTGAGACAGGGTCTCGCTCTGTCATCCAGGCTGGAGCACAGCAACACGATCATAGCTCACTGCAGCTTCAAACTTCTGAGCTCAAGTGATCCTCCCGCCTCAATTCCCAAAGTGCGGGGATGACAGGCATGAGCCACCGTGCCTGGCCAGTCGCTGGGATTATCATTGCTGATATTCCTTAAGGAAGAAGGCGAGGGAAGTAAATGGGGGAGACACCGAAGATAATGTGCTGGATGCAGAATTCAGACATTGAAGAGGACAAGAGAAGACGTTTCTTCTTGGTCACTCTCATAACAGTTTCACTGGTCCTTAGGGTGGAGGGGTAGGGAATTACTACCAGAACAAGGAAGCTTATGGCTTTTTGTTTTCATAGTATACACCACGCTTAGGATACAGTCATTATGTTGAGCACCCACTAAGCCTTGGGCACTCTGCATGCATCATCCCCTCCCCCATATCAACCTCTCCTAGACCCAATACAGTTCACTGAGGGTGCAACCCTAAGCAAGGCAGGCCAGCCCTGCCCTCCGAGAGCTTCGCCTCTCAGGGAGCAGACCAAAAGGTGCAAATAAGCACATTGATAAGGCTGATATGGATTAAATGGCTTTATCATGTATTGTTATCTATATTGTACACTATATATTATTTATTTACATATAGTTAGCATCCATGTAGCTAAAAATAATAACATAATAAAGCAGAGCAAGAGTATTGAGAATGCAAGGGGTATTATTTTAGGTAAGATAGCAGGAAAGACCCCTCTGAGGAAAGGATATTTGAACAGAGATCTAAAGGATTGAAAGTGGGAGCCAAAGAGAGAGCTACAGGGAGAGCATGCCAGGTGGAGGGAACAGCAAATACAAAGGATCAGATTAGAATGTGCAGAAGAATTACTCAAGACATTTTTTTAAATGCAGATCCCTTGGCCCCTAGACTCAGAGATTCTGGTTCAGTAGATCTGGGAGGCACCCAGGAATTTCCATTTTTATATATCTCCAGTGATTCCAATGCAGGTGTTTCAATGACCACATTTTAAGAAAATATAGTTTTATATTTCTCCCATGGTTTCGATCCTTGATCATTCTCAATGACTTTGTTCTGTGCTTTTATAAAACCAAAAAGGCTTTGGGGGTTTAAGGTCTACACACCATAAAGTCAGAGCCTGGTATATCCTCCCAGCCCCTTCCAATGCATCCATGCACCCTTCAGCAATCAAGAGAGCAGATGATTCCCAGCCAGGGGATCTTGGGGGAGGGATCTTGGGGCTAGATGGGCTGTAACTGCTGGTGGGTGAAGGGTCTGAATGGTGTGCAAGCCAAATGCACTGCCCCTCTCCTCAGGGCTCTACTCACCTATCTTGGGGCAAGATACAGGGATGGCAAATGTTCCTCCATTGGTCTACCTGTCTGACCCCCCAGATTCCCCACTATACTCTGGAATAATGGCCAAGGCAGCCTGGGCTCTGGAGTCAGAGGGCTGGGTTCAAATCCCAGTTCCACCTCCTATAAGCCACCTGACTTAAGCAAGTGATTAAGCCTCTGAGCTCCAATGAATTCATCCAAAAAATGGAAATAAAAGTAGTATCCATACCTTCGAGTTAGTATATGACACATGGAAAAGCTCTTAATAAAACCTCTCATCTGCAAAAGCATTCCAATAAAATTTCATTCTCAATGTGAGTGATGTAATTATTAAATCAAAATAAATTCTGTGTATGCACAAGCCCAGTCTAATACGGTAGCACATTTAACAAAACACAGTCCAACAATCAGAAAGTGATCGGGAAAGGTTCTACTCTTTACTTGGATTCCTGAAAGAATGTCAAAGGATGTCATTACCCAACACAGTTCTTAAAATTCTATTTGCAGCCGGGCACGATGGCTCATGCCTGTAATTCCAGCACTTTGGGAGGCCGAGGTGGGTAGATCATCTGAGGAAAGGAGTTCGAGACCAGCCTGAGCAATATGGTGAAACCCTGTCTCTACTAAAAATATAAAAATTAGCCGGGCGTGGCTGCATGAGACTGTAGTCCCAGCCACCCTGGAGGCTGAGACAGGAAAACTGCTTGAACCCAGGAGGTGGAGGTTGCAGTGAGCTGAGATCACGCCACTGCACTCCAGCCTGGGGAACAGAATGAGACTCTGTCTTAAAAAAAATAAATCAATAAAAATAAAAATTATATTTGCATATCCTTTATTCTTTAATTTGCTCCCCCAACAGCTACCCAGCCACCCCCGAATCCTGCCATTTTCTCTCCCTCAACTCCCAGTCCAAACGATGTTTAGCCCTTACCATGCCGGCCCTTCACTTTTCCTCCCCCTCTTTCTTCCTGTTCACACCTGCCTCTCTCTGTTGTACAGCTTAGCCTTTTAGATACAGTTTTCCAGTCCCTACTTTTCCGTCCATCTCCCCACCCCATAATAATCATGACTGTCATTACAAATGTGGCACCTTTGGGACTACAGGCAGAGAAAGTGGTGATATCAGTGAAACAATGGAGAAAGAGTTTAACCCCCAAGCACACATGCTCACCCCTCAAAGGCAGATTCTGTGTGCTACGGCACATGCACGTATACGCACACATGCAAGGCACATTTGTGCCCACATATGTGCCATAGCATATGCATGTGTAAATGCCATGTGATGCGGTGCACGCATGTCTATGCACACATGCAAGGCATATTTGTACACATGTGCTGTAGCACATGCATATGTGTGCACACATACCATAAGCAAATGTAGGTTGTAGCATGTGCACGGGCGTGCAAAGACATGTGCAGGCACATTTGAATGTGTGCGACATAGTGTGCACATATGTGTCTGCACATGCCCTGTACAAATGGCATGTGCTGTAGTGCAAGCACACATGCCATACAAGCACCAGGGTTCTGTGGTCCAGACCTGGGGCAAACCATGAGTCCCAGGCCAAACGGCAGCCGAGCCAGGCCTCCCCACAGTCTGTCCTCCCTCCCACTTGCCTCAAGAAACAAAGACAGTTTATCAAGAACTCCCCAGTAAGCGGTTTTTTTAAGACCTTCAGCAGCAGCCGCCGGGCTGAGCTGAATGTCTCACTTTATTAGTGAGTTTGGCCTTGGGTGTCTGGCTGTTTGATCAATCCTGCCGGGGGTCAGTGATATTTCCTCCCAGCCCCCCCGCCCCTGCCCCTGCCCCTCTGCCGCACCTGATGAACAGCTTGCCCCTGGACCGCTGATCACCTATTGATTTTCCAGCCCGAGGCTACATCCGCCGCCAGCTGCCATCTCCAGCCCTGTCACCAGGACCACTTGGTGACTAACTGATCCCCCGGTCCCCTCCCACCCCCACCCCTCACTGCACACCCAGCTCCCCCACTCATGGCCCAACCTGCCCTTCCGGCTTTTTCTGTGCCCAGTTCCTACCCTCTCTTTCAGGGCTCAGTGCTGGGACCCTGGACACCAAAATCAAGTGACTCCCCAGCTAGCTTTGATGCCTGGCTGCATGACCTTGGACAAGTCACTTTAATCTCCTTGTGCCTCAGTTTCCTCATATGTAAAAATGGGGCAATATTGGAAGCTACCCATCATGTATATCAGGCAGCAGTTTCCACAGTGTATTATGGGCACCTCTGGGGTCTCTGAGACCCTTTCAGATGGTCCATAAAATTCAGAATAATGTTGACAATAATACAAACATGTTATTTGTGGGGGTTTTTTGCTCTCAGTGAAAGCTTTTTAAAACTCCCAGTGGAATATTACAGGGGCTACATGACATGTGGTATCTCAAAAACTTGCAGATGCAGATATAAAAATCAAACTGTCTTCTATTAAGGCTGACATTATAGAGATCTGCAAAAATATAAAACAAAGCCACACTTCCTTCTCTTTAAATTTTGTGTGTTGTGAAATATAGTTATTTGTCATAGGAATATATTATTTATGCTCACATGTAGTGTTTATTATTGCTATTTTAAATAAATTATAAATAAATATTATTAAAATTTGTTTTGACTCCTAAAATGGTAATTAGTGATAGATACAACCCACATGAACAAGAGCTTTGAGGGCCTTGATCATTCTTAGGGTGTAAAGGGTTCCTGAAGCCAAAAAGTTTGAGAACTGCTGGTACAAGATGCTAGCACTGTGTCTGGCTCACTGTAAGCACTCAGTAAATTATTATTGCTATGATTTGGAGTTGCTATCATTGGGAGTTAGAGTGATTTCTCCAGTCAAGCTGGGGAGGGGATTTGGGGGTGCAGATTTGGGGAGGTTGCCCCTGATTAGGGACATAAGTGGCACAAAGGTGAGATCCCCCCTGCCGGCTCCTAGCAGCCCCCTCACCTGGCACTCACTGCCAGCTTGGAGTGTCCAAAGCCATGGCCAAGGGAAAGGAGCACGTGGCTGATCTTGGCCCTAGCAGCTGGGATTGGCTGCACCTCGAGATAAACCTCCCTCAAAATTGCTCAGAGGGAGGCAGTTGGTGCAAAGAAGGAAGAGGCTGGAGAAAGAGATGTAACAATAGCTACTCCTCGATTAGCCTTACCATGTGTCAGGCATCATTGTAAGCACTTAAAGTTAAGTCATTTGAGCCCTGCGACAATCTTAGACAGTTGTTTAAAAATGTACATGGGATGATTTTGTTGTAATCAGGTATGGGAAGATGACAGACACAGAGTCAACTGCCTGAAAGGAAGATTGTATTACTTACAGTTCCCAAGAGGAGGGCACAACATTCAGGGCCACCTGAACAAAATGAACAAAAATGCAGAAATGGGGTGACCTGGGACAGTCTGGGCATCCCAATGGCCCCTCAGATTTACCATGGCCCATCTGCTTCTCCTGGCAGGCCCTTGGGTCTGCAAGAGCCCTGATGGTGGAGAGAGGGCTGCGCGGGTGGCCCCCTCCTGAGGGCTGGCTTTTGACCCCTCTCCCGCACCCACCCCAACTCCACTCTGAAGGACCCTGGCAGGCCAGGTCAATAATTAGAACTCCATAAAGGTTTGCTGGTGTTGATTTTTGTCGTTGCTTTTTGAACTGGGCCTGTAAAATGGAGAGGTTCATACCTTCCTTGGTGAAGTGGTCAAGATTTAAAGACTTGGTGAGTACAGTATAGCTTCTTGCAACGTGGACAGAGAAGGGGACACCGTCACGAGAGGTGCGGGGGCTGTTTTCACTCCGATGCGCTCAGACCGGGACTGAGCTGCTGTGGACGTGCCCGGTGGGCAGGCGGTGAGCTCGCACCGGGCAAGACACGGGTCTGACCCCTCCCCGCACTCACCCCCTCCCTGGGCGCTCGCAGGACCCGAAGCAGCGCAAGGGCGTCCTGGCTGCCCAAACGCGGGGCTCCAGCGCCGCCTGCCGGCCGCCGTGTGCAACGCCGACCCGGAAGTCTCGCCGTCTCTGCCTGCGCTGGGGACGCGCGGGACACCCGGTTCCGGGAATCCCGGTGGGGGTCCGACCTTGCTTTGGGCGCAGGGAACGCGGCTCTGCAGGACGGGCTGCCGCCGAGGGCATCGGCAAGCTTCGGGGTGTGGACCGTGCCTGCGCCCGCTGCATCCGTTTTGGGCAAGGCTGTGGCTTTTTGAGCCTCAGTCACTCTTTGCGGAGGACGAACAGGGTGGGAATTCGACTTCTCCCACCGCAGCGTCCCTGCAATCTCGTTCTCGACGACGTCCCAGCCTCCCTTCTAGTCCAGTCCCACCCCCAACATTCCTCCTACCCTACTCGCTGGGCACTTCCCGCAATTCCAAATCCCGGCGTGTGGCTCATCCACGTGAAAACCCTTCAGAGCTCCTGGTTGTCGCATAAAACGTTGCTTTCATATTAAAACGAACATGGATTCTGGGAGGCAGAGGCTGGACGATCCCTTGGGCCCAGGAGTTGAAGGTTACAGTGAGCCATGATCCCCACTGCACTCCAGCCTGGGCAACAGATCGAGATTCTATGTCAGAAAAATAAAAAATACATAAAAAGTAAATAAAACTAACATGGATCAGACAGAATGAAATTGAGAGAATGTGGAGCTGCCCAGCTCAGAGCCACCAAGCCCCTAGGAGTCACAGGGGAAGGAGACTCCCAGAGCTCCTGCAAGCCAGCCAAGAGGGGGCCCATTCTCCCAGGGAAACAGCATTGTCAAGGTGGGCTCCATCTCCAAACCAAGCTCCAGAAGCCAGGTCAGGAATTGGGACAGGGCACAGGAGGGACAGCTTGTCTGTACTCCTGCATGTCTGGGCCTCAGCTGACAGTGACCCAGAAGGCTGGGCCCTGGAAGAGCTGGGCCAGAGGACCCACTTCTCAGATGGCATCATGAACCACAGCCCATGAGTAGCCTCTCCAGCATCCTGGTTATCAGGTAGCTGGCTTGCTCGGGTGGCAGTGTCCCAGCAAGCCAGGCAGGAGCTGCATGGCCTTTCGTGACCCAGCCTCAGAAGTCACACCACATCACTTCACACAACCCTGGGTCAAAACCACTACCAACTTGGCCAGATTCATGAGAGGGACATAGACCCCACCTCTGCATGGGAGGCATGTCAAAGAATCTGTGGGGGGAAAAAAAAAGGCACGGCACCAGTCCATCTATTTTTATTTTTTTTTTTTTTAGACAAGGTCTCGCTGTGTTGACCAGGCTGACATGCAGTGGTACAACTGATCACAGCTCACTGCAGCCTCAAACTCCTGGGCTCAAGTGACTTTTCCGCCTCAACCTCATGAGTAGCTAGGGCTGGAGGCACACATACCACACTCGGCTAATTTTTTAAATTGTTATTTTTTTGTATAGACAGGGCCTATGTTGCCCAGGCTGGTCTCAAACTCCTGGCCTCAAGCCATCCTCTAGCCTCAGCCTTCCAAAGTGCTAGGATTATAGGCATGAGCCACCATGCCCAGCTCCATCTAGAAACTATGGTTTTGTGGCCTAGGGAAGGTGTCACCTGGATAAGGTATCACCTATGTTTCACCTCCAAACTCAGGTGCTCCCTCCAGAAATGGCACTGGTCTCTCCATCCCCACTGGATGAAAGATGGCCAAGAGAGACCTCCCTGAACCAGTTGCAACAGCTCAGGGCCATGACAGGATGAGGCCATGGAAAGGGGACACTGCAGGAGATGGCCGAAAAAGCAACATGATTTGCCTCAACTGTCATTTCTTAAATCCAGACACAGGGAAGGGAGGGGAAGTGGGGGACACACAAGGAATAATGGGGGGGAATCAAGGAACTGGGAGAAGAGTTCTTATAGTGCCTCTGCCCTTCCATATCTGCTCTATCAGGTTGTCAGAAGCAAGGGACCAGAAACACAGTCCACTTCCCCTGAGCCCATTGCCAGGAGTGGACAGCAGTGTGGGGACTCACTGCCTCCATGTGGCCAGCAGAGGGCAGCATAGCGCTGCTCTGCTGCATCAGATGCCTGGCAACTTGGCAGGGCCAGTCTGGAGGACTCAGGACTCAACAGGACCAGACTCAGGACCCTCCACATCCCTGGCTAAGGACGGGCTGCAGCCTGGATGTGGGTCATGTTTTAGCACGTGAGCTCCAGGGAAGCAGGGACTGTGCTCTGTGTGCAGTGGTCTCTTATCTGCAAGTGCTTCTGGGTGTCCAGTGTCAGTGAGTTGTGTTGTGAAGGGCACAAAGGTGTCCATCAGATTGTTCCTGGGTGGTTCTGAGCAATGTGTGTGTCCTGATGCCAACACTCATCTGGTGTCCAGCAGCTCCACGAGCCTTCCACTCACTGCTCCCCCTGAAAACTCCAGTGTCCCGAGCCCCAGGGCCAGGCGGGCCCCACTCCGGGCCTCTGTGCACCCCCACCCCCTGACATGGTCCTCCCCTCTGCTTAGGTCCTGGTCACCTCTGGCCTCTGCCCATCTTGAGGGTGGGGGCCCTCATCACCGCATCTGGTTCTTTCCGGGGTGACTTCCTATCTCCCTTGTTTAAATAAAAGGAGTCCACCTTGAAGGAGATGCGGGGACCTGCACACCACGGCACCAGGGAGGCTGGGATGGGCATGGAGGGAGGGGCAGCGGGTGCCCTCTGTGACACACGTGGAGGGAGCAGAGGCTCCTGTTTCCTGAGCAACCCCTGACCCAGCTCCTTTCTGGAATTTTACAATGGAGCTCACTGTGGCACCTGTGCACATGGAAGGACAGGAGGGAGGGAGGGAGGGAGAGGGAAGGAAGGAAGGAAGGCTTGCTGGTTTTAAGTTATTACCACCCCATTGCACTGGTAAGGAAACTGAGTTGAAGACAAAATTATGTCTTGCCAAGGGTCACAAAGTTATCTAATTTTGGGTGTGGGGCTTAAACCAGGTCTCCTCCAGACCCAAAAGAGTATATCCTAAATGATCCCATGTGTATGAAATTCTAGAAAAGGCAAAGTTAGCCCATAGTGACAGAAAGCAGAATAGTGATGCCTGAGGCTGGGGGGCAAAGTCGGGGTGGCTGTTGACTACAAAAGATCATGAGAAACTTTTTGGGTGAAAATGTTCTATATTTGATTTTGGTGGTCACTGTGGTGTACTGATTTGTCAAAACGTATTGACTATCCAATTAAATGAGTGCACTTATTACATGTGAATTATACCTCATTAAAGGTGGTCATTTTTTAATTCGGATCTTCTGACTTGGAGCTCAGTGCTCCTGTCCTCCCTACTCAGATGATGCCCAGTTGTGGTGTCACTAATCTGGGTCCTGTGGCCTGTAAGGGTTATTCACATACCCAAAGGGTGTCCGAATTCCATCTGTGCATGAACAAGATCAATCAAGAGAGGCTGTGGGGATGCAAAGCCCTTTTGTCCTAATCCTGGCTGGGGCAACAGACTAATCAATTGGCAAAAATCCCATGTGAAAAATCTAACTCTCATGCCTATAATCCCAGCACTTTGGGAGGCTGAGATGGGAAGATCGCTTGAGTCCAGGAGTTCGAGATCAGCCTGGGTAACATAGTGAAACCCCGCCTCTAAAAAAAAAAAAAAAAAAAAAAAGTTAACTCCATCTATGCCCACTAAGAACAGGGCCAGGCATCATCACAGTTCAGGAGAAGTGACCTTGGTTTATTAATCTGGGGACAGGAAACCTACCCTGTCTCCCTAGAAGCTGAGTTCCCACGACCCCATCACCACTGGGTCAAGAAATCGCCCCAGAATCTGCCCTCCTTCTGAGTCTGCAACTGAAGTCGGGAAGACCAAGGGTGATTTAGAACACCCTTCTCCAAGCAATGGAAAGCTTGGAGTAAGACTTACATTGTACAAGTTCCCTGGTGGTCTCTTCCAGTTTGCATGCTGCCTCACTAACCTGGCCCAGATTTCTGCCTCCTACCAGGCAATCTTTGGAAAAGCAGACACCAGTGCTAATTAAACTGGTTCTAAATGATCAGTAAGCCCAAGAGAGAGGAGGGAGCCACATCTGGGTGTAGCAAACACAGCTCAAGTCTACATGCTCCTCGGATGGCAAAAGCTCATCAGGATCTTCAAAGCCTTGGTGTATCCAGTTCTCTTTCGCCTCCTGAAGGCCAAAGGCTCAGAAGCAGAGTGCCAAGTGCCGAAGTGGAGGGAACAAGAGTCCCTATGGGCTGAGAGCATAAATTCCAACCTAAGGATACTGATCAGCAGGAAGGACTTAAATGACACTGTCTGTCCTACTGGTTCCTGCCCTGGAAGTATGAAGGCGCTCTGCCCAGATAAATCCTATAAGCTACCCTCCATTTTAGTAGCCTATTTAATCATAAACTGGGGAGGGCTTTTCCAGTGAGTTCCTTCACCTCTACTGAAAGGGGCCGCGGGGCTGCATGTCTTTGACTCCTTGGTGATTAGACAAGCTCTGCGGCTGTTGCTGGCTTTCAGATTGCCGATGAAAATTAACTGTACCATGGGGCATGTAGAATAAACACGAGTTAAAAGGGTGTCCCAAGGAGATCATGTATCTGAGTAAAAATGCGCTGTGATAGGGAAAAAAAGCATCAAAATGTCTCATGTTGTTGGCCGACTCACTCCATCCAGGGTAGAAGTGGTTCCTGCCAGAATATGAGCTTGGAGGTGGGAGGCAGGCTTCTGAAGCCAACTCCACAACCTCCTGCCTCCCGGGGCCACTGGTGAGCAGGTCTAAAACCTTAGACAAGAAGGGCTATGTGTCCTAAAATCCACATCTCCTCCAGATGAACACTTGAGGCTCCTTATCCCCATCTTACTTCATTTTACATTTTATTTTATTGCCAATCCTTGTGTCCTACCCCCACCCCCACAGGCAACACTTGCGATGCACATCTTGTTTGTACATATTTTTGCAATCGTATTGGTTTTGTGTGCATGTAGTTTTAGTCTCCGTGAACAGGACTATCACATCAGTTTCTTTTTTTTTTTCTTTCTTTTTTTTTTTTTTTTTTTGAGACAGACTCTCGCCCTGTCGCCAGGCTGGAGTGCAGTGGCACGATCTTGGCTCACTGCAACCTCAGCCTCCCAGGTTCAAGTGATTCTCCTGCCTCAGCCTCCCGCGTAGCTGGGACTACAGGTGCACACCACCACATCCAGCTAGTTTTTGTACTTTTAGTAGAGACAGGGTTTCACCATGTTGGCCAGGATGGTCTCAATCTCTTGACCTTGTGATTTGCCCACCTCGGCCTCCCAAAGTGCTGGGATTACAGCAGTTTCTTAATTCTTCCACTCAGCTATTTCTCAGGTCTGTGTTCTATGAACCTGCTCTGTACTGATCCACAGTGTCATCCAATACATTGTCCCTGCACACCTCCCAGGGATGGACATTAGTCCCCACCCCATCCATCACACCAGTAAGCATCCTTACATGTGTCTCCTAAGGACCCGGGTGAGAATTTTGTTGGGAACACACCCCCAGAAGCAGAGTTTCTGGGCTGTGGGGCAGGAACACACATGAGTAGTCCCAGGTGGCTCTCCAGGACTGCCGTACCAGCTGCGCACAGAGGCCGCCGCATCTCCATCCGCCACCTTTCCACTGTGTTGCTAATCTCATTGGTGCAGAGTGATGTCTAATTGTTGCTTTAGCTTGTGTTTTCCTGATGACTAACTTTGAATATCTCTTCAGTGGTTTGGTGGAGTGTTGGGTCTGCCCCTATACATTGCCTTCCATTCCCTGTGCCCATTTTTTTCTGCTGGAGTTGTCTTTTCACTGGTGATTTATAGGAGCTCCTTGTACATTCCTGACATTTAATCCTTTGTTTGGAATACCTTCCCCCAGCTCCCACACCTACAGGTAGGCCTTTTGCCAACCACTAAAGCAAATTAAGCATAATAAGAAATGAAGAGGCCGGGTGCGGTGGCTCACGCCTGTAATCCCAGCACTTTGGGAGGCCAAGGCGGGCGGATCACGAGGTCAGGAGATCAAGACCACGGTGAAACCCCATCTCTACTAAAAAATACAAAACATTAGGCAGGCACGGTGGCGGGTGCCTGTAGTCCCAGCTACTCAGGAGGCTGAGGCAGGAGAATGGCGTGAACCCGGGAGGCGGAGCTTGCAGTGAGCCCAGATCATGCCACTGCACTCCAGCCTGGGCAACAGAGCGAGACTCTGTCTCAAAAAAAAAAAAAAAAAAAGAAATGAAGAGAAGGGGGGCAAAGGAAGTAAAATAAAATGGGAAGTCAACTGTTGAGTTTTAAACTAATACACTAAAGTAGAAGATGAAAATCACAGAAAAGGCCAGACACAGTGGCTCACACCTGTAATCCCAGCACTTTGGGAGGCCGAGGTAGGTGGATCACTAGAGCTCAGGAGTTCGAGACCAGCCTGTGCAACATTAAGAAACCCCGTCTTTACTAGCTACCGGGGAGGCTGAGATGGGAGGATCACTTGAGCCCAGGAGGCCGAGGCAGCAGTGAGCCCATATTGCACCACTGCACTCCAGCCTGGGTGACAGAGCGAGACTCTGTATCAAAACAAAACAAAAAGAAACAAAAGAAGATCACAGAAGAAAATATTTATAGAACCACGACAACAAATGTCCAAAATAATAGTTAGACAAACAAGCAGAGTACAAAAAAGACCAAGACGTTAACATAAATGTCGAGGAAAAAATACTTTTGAAGAGCATTAAAAATAAACACGACTGCATTCTTTTTAAAACTTCGCAGTAAAAAGGAAAATAATGCAGAGGTCAGAGAGGTGGAGATTAAAGGGGTGAGGCATACCCATGAGGAAAAACAAAAAAACAACAGCAAAGGGAAAACACAGGGACAGCAGACACCAAGCAAACTGAAGACCGCACTTGAAAACAGAACAAGCCTAAAATGCGGGGAAGAAAAGCAACCAGAGAACGAGGCTAAAATAAACAGCCTGAGGGTGAGCTGGTAAGGCCTTATCAGCCAGCTCCTGCTCTCCTGGGGTCCAGGGCGATGTAGAGGCTGATGGCAGTGGTGGGGACGCAGAAAGGAACTCAGGCGACCTTTGGGTCCTATATGGGTCCGCCCATCAGGCTGAGGCCAGCAAAGAACCTGGCTAGGACGTTCATACTTGGAGCCACTGATGAGGCCATGGTCAAGAAGCCATGGGCAGTAGCCTGTGCTGGTCGTTCACCTGGCTATGGAGATCCTGGGGTATTAAATCCTGTGCCTGCACCACCCCTCCCTTGTGAACCTCCCAGCCTCCCTAGCCTGCTCATTGCCTTCAGGAGAACCCACAAGTGGGAGCGGTGGCCATGTGTGCCAGAGGGCCTGGGGGAACGCTGCGCTGGGAATCTCTTTGGCCGCACTTAAGCAGGCAAGGAGACGCCCTGTTCCAGCAAGTCCAATGCCACCCAAGAGTGCAAAAGGGAACACTGCCAGGATTCACCAGAGACGTCAACGTGTCATCCTTGCTTGCTGGAGGGAGCAATGACTGTGAGGACCCAGGGACAAGCCCTCTCCAGACCGTCTGCCACGCAAATTCCACCTGGTCATCCACAGTAGCCAGCTGTTTGTGCAATTATTTGATTGGCTATTTCCAGTTCCAATGACTCAGAAAAAAAGAAAAAAAAAAACAGATTAAACTGACAAGAAATCCAGAGTTCCATCATCCTGTTTCATCACAAATTAGAAGGCTGAGGAGAAAATTCAGATGAATCATTGGAGAGTGGAAAATACCTGATCTTATCTTGAGGTGAAAAAGGGATATGGGGCTGAGACTTGCCAACTCGAATTCTTCCAGGGGATAGAAATGTCCTCCAGCGGCGCCAAAGTTCACTTGAAACCCAGGTGGGTGCTTGGCAGTTCAGATCCACTTCCCAGAATGATGATCTTGGTGCTGATGCTGCCAGATGCCCTGCCCGGCCCACTCAGCCACAACCCAGTAGTTCCCAGACTTGAGGATTACATCAGTTTTTGTTTCATCATTTTGAATTGGTTTTTAATTGGGTGATAGATGAACGACTGTTGACATTTTATTTTTCCAAAGAAAACATTAAAAAATAAAACCACCATCTACTATCACCATTGTTTCCTAAAAGCATCTTAGCACCAAGAAAAGACTAAAGGATGGCCGGGCAAGGTGGCTCATGCCTGTAATCCCAGCACTTTGGGAGGCCAAAGCAGGCAGATCACTTGAGGTCAGGAGTTTGAGACCAGCCTGGCCAACACAATGAAACCCTGTCTCCACTGAAAATACAAAAATTAGCTGGGTGTG